>NT_187660.1:1192195-1504896 GCF_000001405.40 Homo sapiens | reverse complement strand
TTACAGAGTAAATAGAAAGATTGTGTGTTCAAGATGTAAGGAATAGTTGATGTCCCCAGATACGCTATTATTTCAAAATTTTAACCTTTACCAAGATTCTCATTCTCAGTTTTACCATGGAGAATGAAAAAAGTAGTACATTTAATAAGTTTCCTTTCTGAATATATCTCTGACTAACGATTATTTAAGCATATTTTAAATTTCTTTTTCATACTTTTAACGAAACACTAAAGCTTTTTAAAAATTGATAGTTCAGTTTTAAATTTATGTCACAAAATATTTCTTCACCATCTTCCAGGTGCCCAGGTGATTTTATATGTTGTTTAATTTAATTTTCCATAGCATTTTCATAGATTTCTTTATTCGGAAGGATTACCAAGGACAAAAATGTTACTAATAAAAATTTTTTAATTTAGAAAAGAAAAGAAAAGATTCACCAATTAAACTGTCAGACTGATGATAGCTAAGGATATAGTTATTTGGCAATTTTTGCATTTTTTTACATTTGTGATCTATTTGGGCTTTGAATCATCATTTAAGTCATGAGCATAAAATAGTTCATAGTATTATTTAGTAAATATTTTACAATATTTTTGTACATTTCTAATATGTTAAGTTCCTCTGTGTGCAAGGTCTGTTATCTCACTGATAATTTGTACCTTTTGACTTTTTTTCCTTTTTTGATTGGGCTTCTAAATTAATAATTAAACAGTATATTATTCTACTTATGAAAGTGAGAGTCCTTTTTCTTTTTGGTTATGGTAAAATATACACAGTATAAAGTTTACTAAATTAACCATGTTAAGTGTGCAATTCAGTGGCATTAAGTACATTCACATTGTGTGAAACCATGACCAACATCCATTTCCAGAACTTTTTCATCATCCCTAATAGAAACTTTATACCCATCAAACAATAACTTTTCATTTCTCTGCTTCCCCAGCCCCTGATAACCAATATTCTACTTTCTGTCTCTATGAATTTATCCCATTCTAGGTCACTCATGTAAGTGGAAGCATACAGTATTTTGTTTTGTTTTGTTTTTGTTTTTGTTTGAGACGGAGTCTTGCTGTGTTGCCCAGGCTAGAGTGCAGTGGCGTGATCTTGGCTCACTGCAACCTCCACCTCTCTAGTTCAAGCGATTCTCCTGCCTCAGCCTCCTGAGTAGCTGGGATTACAGGCGCCCGCCACCATGCCCAGCTAATTTTTGTATTTTTAGTAGAGATGGGGTTTCACAATGTTGGCCAGGCTGGTCTCAAACTGATCCACCCGCCTCAGTCTCCCAAAGTGTTGGGATTACAGGTGTGAGCCACCGTGCCCGGCACAGTGTTTGTCCTTTTGTGTCTGGCATCTTTCACTTAGCATCATGTTTTCAAGTTTCTTTTTTTTTCTCATCGGCAAGTTTTGTCTACTTATGTTTATGAGAGATGTTTAGTCTCAATCCTGTTGACTTCTGTTATATGTGGTGTGATTAAAATTCTCATATCTTGGCTCAGAACTGCAGAAATGTGTTCTTCATTTTCTGTAACTGATTTCTACTTGGCATGTAGAAGTGAGTTACTTCTGTGGCCACTGATTTAGAAAAATTGAATTCAACTCTTACCACTGCAGAGTGGTTCCCCCTTTACCAGTTTAAAACAGTCTCCCCAGGATTAACTTTGTCTCTTTCCAGAAGGTATTCAGCCCCTCCTATCCTCTTTCCTTCCGTCTTCTCCTTCTCTCCCTGGTGGCGGCTGGGTGTGGGGGAAGCAGATTTAGCCTCACGACAGCAGGAGGGGTGGGCATCCCTGTTCTGTGCTTTGTCCTCCCAGCCCTTTCTGGCCTGCAGCGACCACCCAGCTGATGAGCCTGATGACCCTTATGGACTGTGGGTGTAGGTGTGAGGGTGACATCGCAGACCCTTGCACCCTAAATATGCAGGCCGCTCCTCCGCTTTTCCTGCCTTGCTCACCGCCCCCTGTAAACTCCAGGCGCCTTTAAGACCAGCCTGCAAACACAGGGCACAGATCCCCAGATGCTCAAAAACGTGTTTCAGATTTCTGGGACCCGATCACCTTTGTTTGCTATTCTCAGCCTGGTGGCAGAGCCATGAGGGTTCTGGGTGCCTGAGAAGGGCCCCTGGCTGAATTCCATTTTAATGAACTATATTCCAGTCCTATCTCCCTCTTCCTGCCTGTTCTCTGTATTACTGTCCCTTTCTCTTTGGAAAATCTGTTTCTTGGGCCACATCCCATGTCATTCCCCCTCCAGCCAGTCCTCCAAGCCGCTATCCCCAGAGTTCTTCCTCCTCTGAGTGTCCAGCACGGGGCTGTGGCAGTAACTCGGGAAATGTCTGCCGAAGGGTGATCTGAGCAGGATATTCACAGCAGACGCTGCTCTCTCTGTGTGTGACAACCTAGTTCAGTTAGCTGAGATCATCTGGTTAAGCGTTTCATGATTCTGTTTGTTACTATTTTTAAAAGGCAATTATTATTTGAATGAGCCAATTATGTATTGTTGCTGAATCTGTCAGGACCACAGGTTAAGACAGTCAGTGGCACATTTTGGAGGAGGACCTTAATTTTGAGACTATCTCATTTTTTCCAAAGCCTGTTTGAATTTCTTCTTGAGGGGGTAGCCACCTCTATTACCAACACTCTAATCTCAGAATTGAAAGCCTCAGTCTCCAAGCCAACACCAATTATGTCACCAGGGTCCTCGGAAGAGCCCCATAGTAACCAGGGCAACCCTGATTTAGCTTCCTCATCCTGAGTAATAAATTACAGGAGAACATAGCCTTAGGCTGGGGCTGCTGGACTGTCTGGCTTGAAGTCTTCATCTCTGTTCCCATTGTTGCCCAAAGGCACAGCCTTTATTGTACTAATCACAGGTCAGGGATAGTTTTGGCCTCTCTTGGCTTCATGAGAAATTTAGCATTTGACAGCTATTTGTGCGTTGTCATGATGGCCCAGAATTTTTCCGTTTGTAGGAACATCATTCTGTTTTCATTCTTCTTCATGTGAATTTGCTATTATTATAGATAAAGAGATTCCATGCAAAAGCTGCAATTTGAAAGTTGATTCCAAACCCCCAAAGTTTCCTAGCAAAGTAAACTTTCCTAGCAAAGTAAACATTCCCAGCAAAATAAAAATTGGTATGTTTTAAGGTAACAGTGGTTCCATAGAAATATCTATCTGTCCATGGTGTACATTCAGTCATTCTTTGATTCAGTGGATTAATACATTTTACAGAGGGAGCGCCCCGTGTCCGGCATGTTCTGAGTGCTAGGAACACGGCAGTGTCAAGACAAGTCCTGGAGACAAGCCAAATCCTGGCTCCGCTCCCTTCTGGTGAGCAGCTCGGGCTCCAAAGAAAGACGTGGGGGGCTGTGGTGGACAGTGTCAGACAACAGGAAGTGCTCCAAGGAAAGACACGGGGAGCTGCGGTGGACAGTTTCAGACAACAGGAAGTCCTCCGAGGAAAGACGTGGGGAGGTGTGGTGGACGTGGCCAATACCTCTCTGAGCACCTGGCCTGCAAGCCGAGGCCTAAAGGATGCAGGGAAGTGGTTGGGGACAAGGCCCGGAGGCTCATTTCAGTTTGGAGAACAGGAAGGTGGGGGTGAGGCGCAGGGGCTGACGTGCTCAGAACTTGCAGCTTCAGCCCTTGCCATGTGTCCCCCGGTTCCGTGGGCGTTGTTCTCACCGCATGCTCGACCGTGATACTACTTCTCTCCACTGACTTTGCACCTGCCAGGCAGGGAGAGCAATGCACTGGCCTCTGGTAGTTTTTTTCTGTGATTTCATGACTGGGGCACTTGGTGAGCCTCAGGTCTCCAGCCACCTGTTAGGGGATGCTTTTGTCATCCCTGTAGATAGGTCCTGGTAAGCTGCGGGTGAAAGTGATTCCCTGCCCGATTCCCACAGTTCCCCACCAAAATGCAACAAGATCTTCAAGGTTCATCATCTGTCACAGCTACATGGACTCGGGTGGATCATCTAATCATCTAGCATTTCTTGGGAGATCCCCGAAAGTCAGTGTGTATAGTTTTTGTTTTCTCTTGGGCGGGACTTCTCCTGCTTCTGAGAGGTGACAGCGTGCTGGCAGCCCTCACAGCCCTCTCTGGCTCTGGGCGCCTCCTCGGCCTTGGTGCCCACTCTGGCTGTGCTTGAGGAGCCCTTCAGCCCGCTGCTGCACTGTGGGAGCCCCTTTCTGGGCTGGCCAAGGCCGGAGCCTGTTCCCTTAGCTTGCAGGGAGGTGTGGAGGGAGAGGCGTGAGCGGGAACCGGGGCTGTGCCTGGTGCTTGCGGGCCAGCGTGAGTTCTGGGTGGGCATGGGCTCAGCGGCCCCGCACTCAGAGCGGCCGGCCAGCCCGCCGGCCCGGGCAGTGAGGGGCTTAGCACGTGGGCCAGTAGCTGCTGTGCTCAGTTTCTCACCAGGCCTTAGCTGCCTTCCCGCGGGGCAGGGCTCAGGACCTGCAGCCCGCCATGCCTGAGCCTCCCCAACCTCCGTGGGCTCCTGTGCTGCGGGAGCCTCCCCAGTGTGCACCGCCCCCTGCTCCACGGTGCCCAGTCCCATGGACCACCCAAGGGCTAAGGAGTGTGGGTGCCCGGCAGGGGACTGGCAGGCAGCTCCACCTGCGGCCCGGTGCCGGATCCACTGGGTGAAGCCAGCTGGGCTCCTGAGTCTGGTGGGGACTTGGAGAACCTTTATGTCTAGCTAAGGGATTGTAAATACACCAATCAACACCCTGTGTCTAGCTCAGGGTTTGTAAATACACCAGTGGACACTCTGTATCTAGCTAATCTAGTGAGGAGGTGGAGAACTTTTGTGTCTAGCTCAGGGATTGTAAATGCACCAATCAGCACCCTGTCAAAGCGGACCAATCAGCTCTCTGTAAAACAGACCAATCGGCTCTCTGTAAAATGGACCAATCAGCAGGATGTGGGTGGGGCCAAATAAGAATAAAAGCGGGCTGCCCGAGCCAGCAGTGGCAACCCGGCGCAGTTCCCTTCCACAAGTGTGGAAGCTTTGTTCTTTCAATGTTTGCAATAAGTTGCTGCTGCTCACTCTTTGGGTCCAAGCTGCCTTTATCACCTGTAACACTCACTGCAAAGGTCTGCAGCTTCACTCCTGAAGCCAGTGAGACCACAAACCCACCGGGAGGAACGAACAACTCCAGACGCGCCGACTTGAGAGCTGTAACACTCACCACGAAGGTCTGTAGCTTCACTGCTGAGCCAGCGAGACGACGAACCCACCAGAAGGAAGAAACTGTGAACACATCCGAACACCAGAAGGAACAAAGTCTGGACACGGTGTCTTTAAGAACTGTAACACTCAGTGTGAGGGTCCACGGCTTCGTTCGGGAAGTCAGTGCGACCAAGAACCCATCAATTCTGGACACACTTCTGAGTACAGAGGTGGAGCTATCTGTGTTCACAGGCAGAGCTGGGCGCGAGCTGGGGGCGGGCAAGCTTCAGACTTTACTTCATGTGCACTGGGACGTCTGTCAGTCCTCTGTCAGCTGAGCCCTCTCCAGAGAGTGCCTGCTTTTCGTCTGCTGGGATACCTGCAGTGTAGAAGGATGAGGCCTTCCTGTTGCAGGGACTGGGGAAAGGGCTGCAGGCGCAGGGGCTCCAGAACCAGCCTCTCTGGCTACCTTTCCATTCCCTCCACCCCCACCCTGGCCAGGAGCGCCACTACAGGAGTTCTACTGGGCCCGCATTGTGTTTAGCAGGGCTTTAGTGTCTGCAAGAAGTGTGGTCTCCAGTGGGAAAAAAGACCATCCGAACTGTTTCTCGGATTTATAGCTCATTTTTAGGGGGTATTAGTGGCTAAACTGATATCCAGTTACACGTAGCTGAGTCAACCCATGTATGTGTGTCTGTGTCCACTGGACTCCCCGCTAGCATGTCTACGAAGGAACAGGCTCACAGGTGCAGATATGACAGCAGAAGAGGTGTCCCCACATGGAAGATAGAGAGCCATTGGAGCTGGGCACCTTTCTTTGCAGAGAGGAAGAAACAGAATCCCAGAGGCTGCCGGGAGCCAAGCCAGACAAACTCTCTCCAGCCCAGAACCAGGAGGACTTGTCTGGAGGGAGCGGCTGCCACCCACGGCCTAGTGAACCTGGAACTCGAAACTTTTCAAGAGAAGCTAAGAATTGCGATTTTTTAATGTGGTGTTCCCCAACTATACCCTCAAATACTATATGATCTCCCCCAAGAATAAAAGAAAGTAAACTTTAAAAGTCACTGTCCATTGGCCGTCAGGTGACCAGTCAGCAGCAGCCCTGCCCAGCTTCTTTGTTTGATTTGTTCTTGTCATTGAAGTTGAGCAACGGAGAGTAATTTGTTAAGGACTGACCAGGTGTCCAGTGCTGTATTCATGTTTTCAGTTTTGCCTGGAAACACACGACACTGCTATGAGCAGTTTTCTCCTGTATAGCTCTGAAAGTCATGAGATTGTATCACATGCTATTCTGCTGGATTAGAGACCAGACAAAAACTTAAACTCATAAAAACGTTATTCTTTATTGCTTTGTATTTATGGTATGTTCTAGGAAAGGACAAATACCAACTGGCAGGCATTTTTGTCTGTAAATAGAGTAATTCCTAGTGGGGTGAGCGTGAGGGAGCTGGTGGCCCTGCAGGGCCCCCTCGGAAGCTGGAATGTCTGGAGACTGAAGCAGGCCCCTGAACCTCTCCTGAACATCTCATTCTGCACTTCTCACAGCACATTCTCCTGAGCATGAGTGACGGGAGATGCAAATGGGTGTTATTTTAAATGTAAGAAGGAAGAGGAGGAGGAAAACGTGGTCCACTCAGCATGCTCAGCCTCTCTTCTTGGAGGGTGACAGTGTTACCGAAAAGGGGTCCCAATCCAGACCCCAAGAGAGGGCTATTGGATCTTGCGCAAGAAAGAATTAGAGGCGAGCCCATAGAGTAAAGTGAAAGTTTATTAAGTAAAGGAATAAAGAATGGCTCTCCATAGGCAGAGCAGCCCTAAGGGATGCTGGTTGCCCATTTTCATGGTAATTTCGTGATGATATGCTAAACAAGGGGAGGATTATTCATGCCTTTTCTTTTTGACCATATAGGGTAACTTCCTGACATTGTCATGGGATTTGTAAACTCATGGCGCTGATGGGAGTGTAGCAGTGAGGATGACCCAGAGATCACTCTTGTCACCATCTTGGTTTTGATGGGATTTGGCCAGCTTCTTTACTGCAAACTGTTTTATCAGCAAGGTCTTTATGACCTGTATCTTGTGCTGACCTCCTACCTCATTAGAATGCCTAACCATCTGGGAATGCAGCCCAGTAGGTCTCAGCCTTATTTTACCCAGCCCCTATCCAAGATGGAGTTACTCTGGTTCAAACACCTCTGACAACAACACACACTGAAATGTTACAAGTTGGAGAAGTCATGCAGGAGAGCTCCTAATTTAATGTTTTTGAAACACTGTTTTCCCAAGTTAACTTGACAGAACCTCATGTCGATTCTTTCCAATCTTTTGTTATTCCAAGCACTGCTGCTGCGAACATTCTTGCTTGGGTCTCTGTGGTGGAAAATCGTGCAGTGTTCCTTATTTTCCTGTTACCCAGCACGATTCTCTTTAGCCCTTTCTCCCTTTCTGTCAGCAAAGTGGAGCTCTACTTTGATGACCGTGCTAATTAATGAAATTTCTGAGTCGGGCCTAAAAGTGCAAGTCTACATTATTAACAGAAGAGCCTCAGAAGGAGACGAAGGCAAGACAGGGAGGAGGAATCTCTAACTTATTCCATGTCTCTCGTGTGATAAGAGTGCCTCAGGAGTGCCAGTCTTATTTTCCTGTTCAAGAGGAGGCTTGTGTGAACGTTACTAACTCAGCAAGCTAAGCTGTCCTTGAAAGTGTCGGTCGTGGTGGCTCACACTTGTAATCCCAGCACTTTGAGAGGCCGAGGTGGGCAGATCATGAGGTCAGGAGTTCGAGACCAGCCTGGCCAACACAGTGAAACCCTGTCTCTACTAAAAATACAAAAATTAGCTGGGCGTGGTGGTGGGCACCTATAATCCCAGCTACTTGGGAGGCTGAGGCAGGAGAATCACTTGAACCCAGGAGGCAGAGGTTGCAGTGAGCCAAGATTGTGCCACTGCACTGCAGCCTGGGCGACAGAGCTAGACTCCGTCTCAAAAAAAAAAAAAAAGTGTCATTTGCATTAAAAGGTGGTGTAAAAATTCCCAGGGCTGTAGGAACGGTTGCTGTGTCCTAGGAAGACATGCTTTCAAAGAGAACTCCAGATTCTGGCTTGGTGCTCTCACTTGACAATTTCCTTCTTGGCAGGAGTTCCAACTGGCATCGCAGATTCCCACAGTCCTCAGATTTATTCTCATCCTGTCTCTCTCTCCCTCTTCACGATGGCACACATGAAATGAAAAATTAAAAGCCTGTGACTCAGATCTACTATTTCACAAATAATTTGAACATCTGTTGCAGAGCAAGAGATGAATTAGCAAACGGAATATGACGAAATGAAGACCAAAATAAAGGTGAAATATCTGATGCTAGAAATGAAAAGCAGGTAGTTTTTTTTTTTCCCTAAAAGGTCAACGAATGTTATAAGACTTAATTGTATAATTTATATAATAAAGGTTCTATTTTCTGGAATTAAATAACTTTTTCCTAAATGTTTTGTGTATACACGTTCATGCACCAAAGAAAACCCTAGATTCTCATCAGATTTGAGATTTTAAAGGAGTTCTAAATTCCTTTAGATATATATTTTTCGATGTAAGTTTCCCACCGTTCCTGTGGAGCAGGTAGAAACGCAATTAGCAGATAAAGCACAATTAGAAACAAAGAATGCGGCAGCTCCTCTCCTTCCTCAGCCACATGAGTGCATTTCCTGTGCCACGTGGCTGTGTTCTAATGGGCTTTAATTGCATGAAAAGTGAAAAATCACAAATACTGATCGGTCATAAAGGCCAGGCTTCTTTGCATAAAATATAATAATAAATGCAATGCAGAGCCAAAAATAACGTGCGTTTAAAGGTAAAAATTTAAATTCTAATGAGCTTGGACAGAATCATAACAGACCTAATAGGAACCTTTCTGATCCTGGTTTCTCTGAATTCACATGCGCTAAATGAAAACTAGTAGGCCAGGCTTTGCGTAGGCCAAGTCCCTGAAGGTTCTAGGCTGGGCACTGGAGCCAGCCCACGCAGACCCCTGAGCCAGCCCAGCGGGTCTCCCCAGCCCACAGCCTCAAATAAGCCCTAGAAATCAGGCAGGTGGCCAGGGCTGCTGCCATTAAGCACAGCGACTTCTGGCCTACTGTCTCGCCTCTCTACTTAAAGCTTTAATTTCCAATTTTCTTTTTTATTTTTATTTTTTATTTTTCCATAAGTTATTGGCGAACAGGTGGTATTTGGTTGCATGCGTAGGATCTTTAGTGGTGACTTGTGAGATTTTGGTGCACCCATCACCAGAGCAGCATAACTGCATCCTATTTGTAGTCCTTTATCCCTCACCCCCTTCCTACTTTTCCCCTCAAGTACCCACAGTCCATTGTATTACTCTTACACCTTTGCATCCTCATAGCTTAGCTCCCACATATTAGTGAGAACATACGATGTTTGGTTTTCCATTCTTGATTTACTTCACTTAGAATAGTAGTCTCCAATCTCATCCAGGTCACTGCAAATGCCATTAATTCATTCCTTTTTATGGCTGAGTAGTATTCCATCATATATATATATTTATGCACCACAGTTCCTTTGTACACTCATTGACTGATGGGCATTTGGATTGTTTCCACAGTTTTGCAATTGCGAACTGTGCTGCTATAAACATGCGTGTGAAGTATCCTTTTCATATAATCACTTCTTTTCCTCTGCATAGATAACCAGTAGTGGGATTGCTGGATCAAATGGTAGTTCTATTTTACTTCTTTAAGGAAGCTCCACACTGTTTTCCATAGTGATTGCATTAGTTTACATTCCCACCAGCAGCATAGAAGTGTTCCCTGTTTACTGCATCCACGGCAACATCTACTATTTTTTGATTTTTTGATTTTTTGATTATGGCCATTCTTGCAGGAGTAAGATGGTATTGCATTATGGTTTTGATTTGCCTTTTCCTGATGACTAATGATGTTGAGCATTTTTTCATATGTTTCTTGGCCATTTGTATATCTTCTTTTGAGAATTCTCTATTCATGTCCTTAGCCCACTTTTTGATGGGATTGTTTGTTTTTTTTTTCTTACTGATTTGTTTGAGTTCATTGTAGATTCTGGAAATTAGTTCTTTGTCAGATGTATAGATTGTGAAGATGTTCTGCCACCCTGTGGGTTGTCTGTTTACTCTGATAACTGTTCCTTTGGCCATGCAAAAGCTCTTTAGTTGAAGTCCCGACTATCTTTGTTTTTATTGCATTTGTTTTTGGGTTCCTGGTCATGAAATCCTTGCCTAAGCCAACATCTAGAAGGGTTTCTCCAAAGTTATCTTCTATAATTTTTATAGTTTCAGGTCTTAGATTTAAGTCTTTAATCCATCTTGAGTTGACTTTTGTGTAAGTTGAGAGATGAGGATCCAGTTTCATTCTCCTACATGTGGCTAGCCAGTTATCCCAACACCATTTATTGAAGAGGGTGTCCTTTCCCCACTTTATGTTTTTGTTTGCTTTGTCGAAGATCAGTTGGCTGTAAATATTTGGGCTTATTTCTGGGTTCTCTATTCTATTCCATTGGTCTGTGTGCCTATTTTTATACCAGTATTATGCTGTTTTGGTGACTGTGGCTTTATAGTATAGTTTGAAAACAGGTAATGTGATGACTCCAGATTTGTTCTTTTTGCTTAGTCTTGCTTTGGCTACCTGGGCTCTTTTTTGGTTTTGTATGAATTTTAGAATTGTTTTTTCTAATCCTATGAAGAATGGTGGTGGTATTTTGATGGGGATTGCATTGAATTTGTAGATTGCTTTTGGCCGTATGATCGTTTTCACAATATTGATTCTACCCATCCATGAGCGTGGGGTATGAAGACAAAGGGCATATACTCTTAGGAGTTCTAGGGCCCTGCCCACCGTAGGTTCCTCTCCACACCCACCACAGCCAATGCTTTCTGGAAAGTGCCACCTCCCGTCAGGAGGCCAACCAGCACAAAAATAGAGCATTAAACCACCAAAGCTAAGAACCCTCACATAGTCCATTGCACCCCGCTGCCACCTCTACCGGAACAGGCACTGATATCCACGCTGAGAGACCCATTGACGGTTCACATCACAGGACTCTGTGCAGACCACCCTGAGTACCAGCCTGGAGCCTGATAGAACTTGCTGGGTGGCCAGACCCAGAAGACAGACAACAATCACTGCAGTTCCGCTCATAGGAAGCCACATCCATAGGCAAAGAGGGAGATTACCACACCAAGGGAACACCCCATGGGAAAAAAAGAATCTGAACAACAGCCTTCAGCCCTAGACCTTCCCTCTGACAGAGCCTACCCAAATGAGAAGGAATCAGAAAACCAACCCTGGTAATATGACAAAACTTTAACACCCCCAAAAAATCACACTAGTTTACCAACAATGGATCCAAACCAAGAAGTCCCTGATCTACCTGAAAAAGAATTCAGGAGGTTAGTTATTAAACAAATCAGGGAGGCACCAGAGAAAGGCAAAGCCCAATGCAAGGAAATCCAAAAATGATACAAGAAGTGAAGGGAGAAATATTCATGGAAATAGACAGCATAAGGAAAAAACAATAAAAAATTCAGGAAACACTGGACACACTTATAGAAATGCAAAGTGCTCTGGAAAGTCTCAGGAATAGAATTCAACAAGTAGAAGAAAGAAATTCAGAGCTTGAAGACAAGGTCTTCAAATTAACCCAATCCAACAAAGATAAAGAAAAAAGAAAAAATATGAACGAAGCCTCCAAGAAGTCTGGGACTATGTTAAATTGTAATGCCCAACCTCGTTTTTACTAACCATGTTTTTAGACTCTCCCTTTTTCCTTTAATCACCTAGCCTTGTTTCCATCTGAATGGACTCTTCCTTAGCTAAGAGAACCAGACAGATTCTATCTTGGCTCTTTCACTGGCAGCCCCTTCCTCAAGGACTTAACTTCTGCAAGCTGACTCCCAGCACATCCAAGAATGCAATTAACTGATAAGATACTGTGGCAAGCTGTATCCACAATTCCTAGGAATTCCTCTGATTGATAACGCCCCAAGCCCCGGGCCTATCACCTTGTAATTGTCTTAAAGCCCCTGCACCTAGAACTGTTTACTTGCCTGTAACCATTTATCCTTTTAACTTTTGCCTACTTTACTTCTGTAAAATTGTTTTAACTAGACCCCCCCTTCCTAAACCAAGATATAAAAGTTAAATCGAGCCCCTTCTTTGGGGCTGAGAGAATTTTGGAGCGTCAATCCCTCTCTTGGCCGCCGGCTTAAATAAAGGACTCTTAATTTGTCTCAAAGTGTGGTGTTTTTCTTTTCTTTTCTTTTCTTTTTTTTAAACAATGGTTCACAGTATTAAGCCATTTTTATTATGGATGATTTTAATTTACATCTTTTTACTTTTGTATGTTTTATAAAATGTCTACATTGAGTATTTGTTACTTTTATAATCAGGAAAAAACAAATATTGCTAATGAGTCAATAGGAAGAAGAAAGCTACAGAATGTTTAGAAACATAAGTTCATTTTTAAATGTTTGCAAACCATGGAACTCGCTCGGGTGTAACAAAATGACCAACCCTAAGAATGATCAGTGTCCCTGAGAAAGAAGAGAATTCTAAAAGCTTGGAAAACATATTTGGGGGAGTAATAGAGAAAATTTTCCCCAGCCTTGCTAGAGACCTAGATATCCAAGTACAAGAAACACAAAGAACACCTGGGAAATCCATCACAAAAAGATCATCACCTAGGTACATTGTCATCAGGTTATCCAAAGTTAGACAAAGGAAAGAATCTTAAGAGCTGTGACACAGAAGCACTAGGTAACCTATAAATGAAAACCTATCAGATTAACAGCAGATTTCTCAGCAGAAACCCTACAAGCTAAAACGGATCAGGGCCCTATCTTCAGCCTCTTGAAACAAAACAATTATCAGCCAAGAATTTTGTATCCAGTGAAACTAAGCAGCATATATGAAGGAAAGATACCATCTTTTTCAGACAAACAAATGCTGAGAGAATTCGCCACTGCCAAGCCACCATTACAAGAACTGCTAAAAGGAGCTCTAAATCTTGAAACAAATCTTGGAAACACATCAAAACAGAACCTCTTTAAAGCATAAATCACACAGGACCTATAAAACAAAAATACAAGTTAAAAAGCAAAAACAAAAAAACCAAAGTACTCAGGCAACAAATAGCACAATGAATGCAATGGTACCTCACATCTCAATACTAACATTGAATGTAAATAGCCTAAATGCTCCCCTTAAAAGATACAGAACCACAGAATAGATAAGAACTCACCAACCCACTGCTGCCCTCAGGAAACTCAGAACTCCATGCTTCAGGAGCATCAGAACTCAACAACCATCTGCTGCCTTCAGGAGACTCACCCAACACATAAGGACTCACATAAACTTAAAGAGGTGGAAAAAGGCATTTCACGCAAATTGACACCAAAAGGGAGCAGGGGTAGCTATTCTTATATCAGACAAAACAAACTTTAAAGCAGCAGCAGTTAAAAGAGACAAAGTGGGACATTTGTATAATGGTGTGTTAGTCTAGGTTCTCTAGAGGGACAGAACTAATGGAATATATATATATATATATATTATATATATTTGAGTTTATTATTAATTCACATTATTACAAGGTCTCACAATAGGCTGTCTGCAGGCTGAGGAGCAAGGAGAGCCAGTCCAAGTTCCAAAACTGAAGAACTTGGAGTCCAATGTTTGAGGGCAGGAAGCATCCAGCATGGGAGAAAGATGTAGGCTGGGAGGCTAGGCCAGTCTCTCCTTTTCACATTTTTCTGCCTGCTTATAGTCTTATCTGCACTAGCAGCTGATTAGAGTGTTCCCACCCAGGTTGAGGGTGGGTCTGCCTTTCCCAGCCCACTGACTCAAATGCTAATCTCCTTTGGCAACACCCTCACAGACACACTCAGGATCAATACTTTGTATCCTTCAATTCAATCAAGTTGACACTTGGTATTAATCATCACAAATGATAAAAGGCCTTGTCCAACCGGAAAATATCACAGTCCTAAACATATATGCACCTAACACTGGAGCTCCAAAATTCATAAAACAATTACTAACAGACCAAAGAAATGAGATAGACAGCAACACAGTAATCGTGAGGGACTTCAGTACTCTACTGACAGCACAAGACAAGGTCATCAAGACAAAAAGTCAGCAAAGAAACAATGGATTTGAACTATACCTTGGAACAAATGGACTTAACAAATATATGCAGAACATTTCATCCAAGAACCACAGAATACACATTCTATTCAACAGCAAGTGGAACTTTCTCCAAGATAGCCCGATAGGCCATAAAACGAGCCTCAATAAATTTAAGAAAATTAAAATTGTATCAAGCACTTAGACCACAGTACAATAAAACTGGAAATCAACTCCAAAAGGAACCTTCAAAACCATGCAAATACATGGAAATTAAATAACTTGCTCCTTTTTTTTTTACATTTTTTTTTTTTATTATTATACTTTAAGTTCTAGGGTACATGTGCACAACGTGCTGGTTTGTTACATATGTATACATGTGCCATGTTGGTGTGCTGCACCCATTAACTCGTCATTTACATTAGGTATATCTCCTAATGCTATCCCTCCCACCTCCTCCCACCCCACAACAGGCCCTGGTGTGTGATATTCCCCTTCCTGTGTCCAAGTGTTCTCATTGTTCAGTTCCTACCTATATGTGAGAACATGCGGTGTTTGTTTTTTTGTCCTTGCGATAGTTTGCTGAGATGATGGTTTCCAGCTTCATCCATGTCCCTACAAAGGACATGAATTCATCCTTTTTTATGGCTGCATAGTATTGCATGGTGTATATGTGCCACATTTTCTTAATCCAGTCTGTCATTGTTGGACATTGGGGTTGGTTCCAAGCCTTTGCTATTGTGAATAGTGCCGCAGTAAACATATGTGTGCATGTGTCTTTATAGCAGCATGATTTATAATCCTTTGGGTATATACCCAGTAATGGGATGGCTGGGTCAAATGGTATTTCTAGTTCTAGATCCTTGAGGAATTGCCACACTGTCTTCCACAATGGTTGAACTGGTTTACAGTCCCACCAACAGTGTAAAAGTGTTCCTATTTCTCCACATCCTCTCCAGCACCTATTGTTTCCTGAATTTTTAATGATCGCCATTCTAACTGGCATGAGATGGTATCTCATTGTGGTTTTGATTTGCATTTCTCTGATGGCCAGTGATGTTGAGCATTTTTTCATGTGTCTGTTGGCTGCATAAATGTCTTCTTTTGAGAAGTGTCTGTTCATATCCTCACCCACTTTTAGATAGGGTTGTTTTTTTCTTGTAAATTTGTTGGAGTTCTTTGTAGATTCTGGATATTAGCCCTTTGTCAGATGAGTAGATTGCAAAAATTTTCTCCCATTCTGTAGGTTGCCTGTTCACTCTGATGGTAGTTTCTTTTGCTGTGATAGTATATCTAGAAAACCCCATCATCTCAGCCCAAAATCTCCTTAAGCTGATAAGCAAATTCAGCAAAGTCTCAGGATACAAAATCAATGTGCAAAAATACAAGCATTCTTATACACCAATAACAGACAAGCAGAGAGCCAAATCATGAGTGAACTCCCATTCACAATTGCTTCAAAGAGAATAAAATACCTAGGAATCCAACTTACAAGGGATGTGAAGGACCTCTTCAAGGACAACTACAAACCACTGCTCAAAGAAATAAAAGAGATACAAACAAATGGAAGAACATTCCATGCTCATGGATAAGAAGAATCAATATCGTGAAAATGGCCATACTGCCCAAGGTAATTTATAGATTCAATGCCATCCCCATCAAGCTACCAATGACTTTCTTCACAGAATTGGAAAAAACTACTTTAAAGTTCATATGGAACCAAAAAAGAGCCCGCATTGCCAAGTCAATCCTAAGCCAAAAGAACAAAGCTGGAGGCATCACGCTACCTGACTTCAAACTATACTACAAGGCTACAGTAACCAAAACAGCATGGTACTGGTACCAAAACAGAGATGTAGACCAACGGAACAGAACAGAGCCCTCAGAAATAATACCACACGTCTACAACCATCTGATCTTTGACAAACCTGACAAAAACAAGAAATGGGGAAAGGATTCCCTATTTAATAAATGGTGCAGGGTAAACTGGCTAGCCATATGTAGAAAGCTGAAACTGGATCCCTTCCTTACACCTTATACAAAATCTAATTCAAGATGGATTAAAGACTTAAATGTTAGACCTAAAACCATAAAAACCCTAGAAGAAAACCTAGACAATACTATTCAGGACATAGGCATGGGCCAGGACTTCACATCTAAAACACCAAAAGTAATGGCAACAGAAGCCAAAACTGACAAATGGGATCTAATTAAACTAAAGAGCTTCTGCACAGAATAACTTGCTCCTGAATGAGCATTGGGTCAAAAATGAAATCAAGATGGAAATTAAAAAATTCTTCGAACTGAAAGACAATAATGACACAAACTGTCAAAACCTCTGGGATACAGCAAAGGCGGTGCTAAGAGGCAAGTTCATAGCCCTAAACGCCTGCATCAAAAAGACTGAAAGAGCACAAACTGACACTCTAGGGTCACATCTCAAGGAACTAGAGAAACAAGAACCAGCAAAAGAAAGGAAATAACAAACCCAGAAAAAGAAAGGAAATAACCAAGATGAGAGCAGAACTAAATGAAATTGAAACAAAAAAATACAAAAGATAAATGAAACAAAAAGCCGGTTCTTTGAAAAGATAAGTAAAATTGATAGACCATTAGCAAGATTAACCAAGAAAACAAGAGAGAAAACCCAAATAAGCTCAATAAGAAATGAAACGGGGGAGGTATTACAACTGACACCACTGAAACACAAAAGATCATTCAAGGCTACTGTGAATAACTTTACACACATAAACTAGAAAACCTAGAAGAGACGGATAAATTCCTGGAAAAATACAACCCTCCTAGCGTAAGGCAGGAAGAATTAGATACCCTGAACAGAACAGTAACCAGCAGTAAGATTGAAATGACAATTTAAAAATTACCAACAAAAAAAAGTCCAGGACCAGACGGATTCACAGCAGAATTCTACCAGATATTCAAAAAGGAATTGGTACCAATCCTTTTGAAACTGTTCCACAAGATAGAGAAAGAAGAGACCCTCCCTAATTCATTCTGTGAAGCCAGCATCACCCTAATACCAAAACCAGGAAAGGACATAACCAAAAAAGAAAACTACAGACCTATATTCTTGATGAACATAGATGCTAAATCCTTAACAAAATATTAGCTAACCAAATCCAACAACATATCAAAAGATAATCCACCATGACCAAGTGGGTTTCATACCAGGGATGCAGAAATGGTTTAACATATGCAAGTCAATAAATGTGATACACCACATAAACAGAATTAAATACAAAAATCACATGATCATCTCAACAGATGCAGAAAAAGCATTCAACAAAATCCAGCATCCCTTTATGATTAAAACTCTCGGCAAAATCGGGATACAAAGGACATATCTCACTGTAATAAAAGCCATCTATGACAAACCCGCAGCCAATATAATACCGAATGGGGAAAAGTTGAAAGCATCCCCTCTGAGAACTGGAACAAGACAAGGATGCCCACTCTGACCACTCCTCTTCAACACACTACTGAAGTCCTAGCCAGGGCAATCAGACAAGGGAAAGTAATTTCCCATATTCTGAAAACGATTTGTCCTAAAGAATTCTGAAGTGAAGTGAGACATAGATCTGAAGTCACTGGAACAGGGGCTGGGTCATGCTGGGAGGGGCTTGTGGAGCAGCCTCAGGGCTGCAGGGCACACATCGAGTGTGTCTGAGAGGTGGTTGAGTGCACTCTGCCACACAGCACCACGGTCACAGAACACCATGACTCTCCACTGGCTTCATCGTAGAGGGGATGATGGGCAGATTTTCATCATTTTACTATAGGACAAATGAGGCCTCCCTCATTTATAGCAGTAGCAAAAACAAAATGCAGAAATCTTCGTAGTAAAAGACTGAAGAAATAATTTGATTTTTTACTCTTTCCATTATTATGTAGTAACCTGAATAACTGCATATTTTACAGACAATCCCCTTCTATTAATCATCTGATCCTAAGTGTTAGGAGTAACATGTGGTACCTGCACAGTTCATACCCATGGATTGCATTCTGGGACGTATCTTAATGCATTTGAAGCACAGGTGTCTATTGAAAATATACATAGGAAAGAGATGAATTGGGATAAGAGATAGTTAGAGAAGGCTGTATCATCTTTAAGTTGCAAGCCTATCTTAAAAGGTACCTGGGATTTGTTGTAGTCCATTACGGTGGGATGCCAGACACAGAGACCACTGCTTTGAAAGAAGAGTTTATTACTCGCAGTTTCCAAGAGGAAGGGCCATGCTACCCAGGCAAGACCACACAGAGAAGCTCAGAGGGATCTAGGGCAGCAGTCCCCAACCATATTGGCACCATGGACCAGTTTTGTGGAAGACAATTTTTCCATGAACTGGGGGAGGGTCCAGGTCAGGGATGGTTTCAGATGAAACTGTTCCACCTCAGATCATCAGGCATTAGATTCTTATAAGGAGCGTGCAACCTAGATCCCTTGCATGCACAGTTCACAATAGGAATCGCGCTCCTATGAGAATATAATGCTGCTGATGATCTGACAGGAGGCGGAGCTCAGGCAATAATGCTCACCCACTGCTTGCCTCCTGCTGTGAGACCCAGTTCCTAACAGGTCAAGGACCAGTACTGGTCTGTGGCCCAGGGCTTGGGGACCCCTGATCTAGGGGACAGCATGGGCCAGATCCTTTATTGTGGTTTTTGTGGGGAAGAATGTGCAGGCACGTTTGACCCAGGTGAGAATTGGCTGGTTTGACCTGTTGGCTGTAGGAGTAGCCCCCAGTTGTCTAGTACCTTACCTGGCCCTGGGATGATTTAGGGCAGGGGAAATAGTGGCTTAGTTGTGAGAGTTAAATGAAGGGTGTAGTTCGAGGTGTGGGCTGTGGATTGGTTGGTCTGCATAGGAAAAGTGGGCTTGCAGGTGAGTTTCTTATTATCTGAAGGAATTAGCTAGCCCTGGGAGGGCAGTCTCTCCTGGATTAGTAGACCCCAAGATGTCAAAGCATCTTAAAATGCAGAAAGTAAAAAGCATTATACAAAACCTTCTTGAAACCTTTACAATCCAGTTGAATTAACCCAGGTGACACTTTTGCATCCAACTTTTTACTTTTACATCCTTCCACTAATTTCAGAGTCAGTTGTGAGCAGCCACCCGATGCCAGGGAGCAGTTTGTGCTCTGAGGGGGTGACAGCTGGGTAGAGTGACCCTGCAGGGGTACCAGGGCACAGAGAGACTCACAGGAAGAGGGAAACTCAGTCCCCGAGAGCAGAGGGAGATGCTCAGGCTGAGTCTTGGAAGAAGCCCACCTTTTCCCTGTGTGAGACCCGCACTTTCCAGGCGGAGGAACCAAAATCAAAATGCAACTTTCTCTTTTGCTTCCACCATCCCTGGAAGGTCTCCTCATGACCATGGTCCTTCTCTCTCTGTGGGAAACTGAGGCAGGCCTTGAGGTCCACTCAGTCATAAGCAACAGACTCTCCCCTGGACTACTGTGTATTTTTTATTTGTTTTTGTTTTTGTTTTGAGACGGAGTCTCTCCCTGTTGCCCAGGCTGGAGTGCAGTGGGGTGATACCGGCCCACAGCAACCTCTCACTCCTGGGTTGAAGTGATATCCCTGCCTTAGCCTCCCAAGTAGCTGGGATTACAGGTGCCCACCACCACGCCCAGCTAATCTTTGTATTTTTAGTAGAGACGGGGTTTCACGATGTTAGCCAGGCTGGTCTCCAACTCCTGACCTCAGGCAGTCTGCCCACCTTGGCCTCCCAAAGTGCTGGGATTACAGGCATGAGCCACCACGACCAGACAGATTTGTGTATTTTTTAAAAATTAATCCTCTGTGTTAGCTCAGACATAGCCAGAGAAGAAAGCACACATTGTAAGTACTGAACCTAGTAACTCTTGACAGGTGAACAAACCCATGGAACCAACACTTAGATCAGAAGTAAAACATCTCCAGCATCCCCGGGAGCCCCGCCCCTCCTTCTCCCAGTCACTCATACCACACTCCTCATGGGCACCTGCTATCCTAACTTGTAATGTCACAAAAGAATTCTTCCTGGCTTTCAGCTTTATAAATAGAATCATATGTAATTGACCCTTTTATTTCTTGCTTTTTTCATTCAACATGTCGGTTAGATTCACTCATCTTGTTGCAAGTAGCTCTGGTTTCCAATTTTCCATTGTGTGAGTACCTCGCAGTTTTGTTTTCCCCACTCTCCTCCCAGTGTGAGGCTATTGTGGATACACAGGCATGGCTATTCTCGTGTATTGCTTTGGATGAACATCCATCTGTTGGTTACACCAGAGGGGAAGTCTGTAGGTTATAGGATGTAGGGTATACCTATAGGTATATAGGTATAGGTATGTTTAGCTTTGGTAGATACTGCCAAACTGTGTGTTTTCCGAAGTTGTTCGTATTAATTTTCACTCCCACCAGGGGTGTATGTGAGTTCTGTTTACTGAGGAATCTGATATCTGTGGTGTGCTGGCGCCTCCCTCAAACCTCAGCTGTCGCTTCCTGCAGAAGCACAGAGAGAATTGCTTCCCCTGCCACTGGGCAGAGGCTTGAGAGCACTCTGAGGCTGCCCTATTTGCCAGCATTTCTCGATCATTTCAAAGTAGATGACACATGTTTTTAAGGAGTCAGCTAATTCCCTCCTAGCAAGCATCAACATTTTACAATGTCTTTATGTATTTGGTCATAAACATTTTATTTTCTCCTATTTTTGGCCCTATCTACTTATAGGTAGGACAGGGATGGCAAGTAGGTTTCACGTTGTGTGCCAGCTTCCTCTGCCTGGCATTAAGTGCCCAGAACAGTGTGTTGAGTAGGATTCTAAGGCTGTTATCTGGACTCAGGGTGGGGGGAGGGGAGGGTGAAAGCAAAAGAGGGAAATGGTGGGATGTGTGGTCTGTGTTTGCCATCCCTGCTGTAGGGGACACAAAAGGCAGTCTCAGTTCTCAGAAGTCCCGGCATTTGTAAGCCCCCCAGGGGACAGGGGGGCTACAGGCTAGGAGGGGCCAGCGTGGGGGTTTGTGTCCCTAGCTTGGCAGGGAAGGTGGGGTGACCCCCACTGATGGCTGCATTCCCAACCTAGTGGGGAGGCTGGGGGGATCCCTCAGTGACACGCCCATCCACATGATTCCACGCCCATTGTGCAGAACAGGGAAACCCTCCAGTGATGAGCTGGCTTTGTCCCCAGGCCTGGCAGGGACTGGATTTAGCACCTCTCCAGGAACAAACAGGTGCCCAGTCCCTCGTGCTCTGGAGTAAGGAAGAGAGAGGTGAAGCCAGCTGGACTTCCTGGGTGGAGTGGGGACTTGGAGAACTTTTCTGACTTACCAGGGGATTGTAAAACGCACCAATCAGCACCCTATAGCTAGGTTTGTAAAATGCACCAATCAGCGCTCTGTAAAATGCACTAATCAGCGCTCTGTAAAATGCACCAATCAGCAGGATTCTAAAAGTAGCCAATCGTGGGGGAGGATTGAGAAAAGGGCATTCTGATAGGACAGAAACAGAACATGGGCGGGGACAAATAAGGGAATAAAAGCTGGCCACCCCCCCGCCCCCCAACCGGCAGCGGCACACCGCTCGTAGGAGGTGGAAGATCTGTTCTCTTGCTCTTCGTAATAAACTTTGTTATCACTCACTCTTTGGGTTCGTGCAATCTTTAAGAGCTGTAACACTCGCTGGGAACGTCTGCGGCCTCATTCTTGAAGTCGGTGAGACCAGGAAGCCACGGGCGGGAACCAATTCTGGACACAATGCCAGTCCAAATGCTTCCACGCCTAGTGTGTAGCACAGGGGAAACACCCCAATAATGGGCCGGCTTTGTCCTCAGGTCTGGCAGGGACTGCATTCAGCATCTCTCCAGGAACAAAAAGGTGCCCAGTCCTTGATGCTCTGGAGTAAGGAAGAGCTGGAGGGGCTGGCTGAGGGCACTGCTGCAGGAGCTGCTTGGCGAGTAGCTTTGAGCCACTCGCGGGAAAGTGGCTCCGTGTCATCCAACCTACGGAGCATGTCTATGTTGGCCCTGAGTTTATGCCGGGGAGACAGTGGTGAAGGTAGTTTTGATTGGTCCCAAACTGTCGATGTTGGTGACACGTGTGTGAATATAAAACGTTTAGGCAGAACACGGAAGGGATTAAAACCAAACTAAATGAGTTAGTAATTACGTGTGGTGGTAATTTTTTTCTGAAACACCTTTATTGTGATATAATTCACGTATCATACAATTCACCCACTTAAAGTGTAAAATTCAGTGTTTTCTTAGTATATTTACCGTATGTGCGTCACCACCCCAGTCAATTTTAGAGCATTTTCATCACCTCAAAAAAACATACCATACCCTTTATGTCGCACCCCGGATTGGCCCCTGTCCCCGACTGAGTCCCAGACAACTGCTAAGCTGGTTTCTGTCCCTGTGGGTTTTTCTGTTCTGGATGTTGAATGGAATCATGCGGGGTGTGATCTGTGGTATCTGGCCTCTTTGACTTAGCATAATGTCATCAGGGTCCACCCATGTTGCACTGTGATTACTGGAGTTTTTGGGGTCTTACCAGTGCCTTTAAGTGCCTTGAGCATCACCAGCATAAGGGTTTTTGCTGTGGTCTGAATGTTTGTGTCCCCCACCCCCGAATTTCTATGTTGAAATTCTAACCTCCATGGTGATGGTATTAGGAGGTGGGGTCCTTGGGAGGTGATTAGGTCATGTGGGTGGAGCCCGCATGAGTGGGTTAGTGCCTTTATAATAGAAGTCCCAGAAAACTGCCTTGTCTCTTCTGCCAGGTGAGGACACAGTGATCCATCTGTGAACCAGGATGTCACCATACACCAAATCTGCTGGTGTTTTAATCCTGGGCTTCCCAGCCTCCAGAACTCTGAGAAATAAATTTCTACTGTTTATAAGCCACCCCGTCTGTGGTATTTGTTAATAGTAGTCCAGAGAAAGGCAGTTATGTCGTCCTGTGTCATTGGGGCTGGTGTTGTGGGGACCCTCTCCCACCACCAGCAGGGATGCTGCAGGACAGTGGCATTGCTCAGAAAGCAGGACAAGGACTGAGTGAGGCAAGTGAGATGCTTACCTCTGCAGCAAGACTTAAGGTGGCTCATTCTTGAGACAAAGGAAGCAAAAATTACTGGGTTAGGGAGAAATCAACAGGTTACTGACAGTTTTTGTGAAAGTGATGGAAACCTACAAGTATTCAAAAAGTTGAATTGACTTCTGTTCATCACAGAACACAATCAACAGAAGAGGCTCCGTGGGTGAAAATATTTACCAATTGTATAGTTGATAAGAGGTTACTATCCGGAATGTATAAAGAACTCCTACAGCTCAACAAGAACACAAACAACCCAATTTGAAAACAGGCAAAGGATTTGAATAGATATTTCTCCAAATAATATATACAAATGGCCAGTAAGCACATGAAAAGGTGCACAACATCACTAATGGTTAGGGAAATGCAACTCGAAACCAGAGTGAGATACCACCTGACACCCACTGCAATGACTATGATTTTTTGAAAACCCAGAAAATAAGTGTTGGTGAGGATGTAGAGAAGTTGGAAGCCTTGTACACTCTTGGTGGAACGTAAAATGGCACAGCTGCTGTGGAAAACATTATGACATTTTCTTAAATCATTAAACAGAGAATTGCCACATGATCCAGCAATTCCCCTTCTGGGAATTTACCCAAATAATTGAAAGCAGGGACTCAAATAGATATGTGCACACCCATGTTCATAGCAGCATTATTCACAGCAGCCAAGAGCTGAAAACATCCCAGGTGTCCATCTACAGATGAATTATCAAGAAAATATGGTAGATGCATCTGATAGAACATTCTTCAGCCTTAAAAAGGAAGGAAATCTCGACACGTGCTACCACATGGATGAACCTTGAAGACATGCTGAGTGAAATAGGCCAGCCACAAAAGGACAAATACTGCCTGATTCCACTTGCAGGAGGTACCTGGAGTAGTGAATCCACAGAGAGAGAAAGTAGAATGGGAGTTGTTGGGGGCCTGTGGGAGAGGGAATGGGGATTTGTTTAGTGGTGACAGAGTTTCAGTTTGGAAAGATGAAAAAGTTGTGGAGGTGGATGGTGGTGATGGTAGCACAACGAGGTGAATATGTTTAATGCCACTGAACTGTATGCCGACAAATGGTGAAGATGGTAAATTTTATGTTGTGTGTATTTTACCACAATTTAAAAATTAGGGTCTAGTTTTTGTAGCTTTGTTTGAACCTTTGGGAAGAAAACTTAGGGTCTAGTTTCTACAAATTTTTTCTTTAATGTAAATAATAGCAACATCAATAACACCGGCAAATAGCGTTGGCACTCTGCATTTTTACCTGTCTAATCTCATTTGATCCTCACTGGGGTCCGGGAACCTGAAGCCCAGAGAGGTCACATGGCTTGTCCTGGGTCACTCCATGGCAGTTAGGACTGTGAGTAGTCTGACTCTGTCACCCGTGCTGCGCCTCCTTCCTCCTCGAAACAGGCTCCTCACATCCAAGGATACTGGCCTTGGTGTGCCCACTGTAAGTTCTCGGGCTTGACACATGCCAGCCTCTTCCCAGCCCTCTGCCCTGCTCTGCCTACATGCTCAGCCTTCCCACACTGCCTTCCCTTTGAGAATATCTGAAGGTCACATACCCATCCCATTTGTACTTCTGTAAGAGAATCGTGGGGGCATCCCCCTCTTTTTGTTGTATAAGCCCTTTCTACTCCCAGACAGGCTGATAGACCATAAATAAGGGGGGCAGGCTAGCTGTTAAGTGCCCCAAAGAGATTTGTGAAAAATTACTGTGGCCTCATTTGCAAAGCTCTGCGGTGTCGTTCCCAATGACCCGAACACTGAGGGGTACTCTTAAAATAAATCTGTCAGCCGCCTGCACACCCAGATGTCGAGGTCAGGGAACTAACCAGGAGGTTTTCAGAATTTTCCTAAGAATTAATCACAAACTCAGTGAAATAACTGATGGAAAAGATTTATTTGGATGTCTATTCCCTGGGGTCATTGAAGGGTTATTTTATTTGATAAATCATGCTTTCCAGACAAGCTGATCTCCCCTCCCTTTCCCCGGATGATCCTTCAGACTGAGGAAAATGTCTTGCCATTTATGATAGCTACTTCAATCTTAATGCCTAGCCTAGAGATGTGATCATATGAGATAATTCCTTGAATGTTTTTGAGACGTGGGAGAGTGAACTGTTTCAGGAGAGCTGGACTCCTGTCCAGTTGATCACAGCAAAGGGAAACAGTTGAAGCCAAAGAGGATATAGATCAAAGGGTACAAAATTTCAGTTAGATTGGAGTAAGTTTTAGTGATCTATTTCACAAAATGATGACTAAAATAAATAATGCCTCGTATATTTCAAAATTGCTTAAGAGTAGATTTTAAATGTTTTCACCACAAAAAGATAAATATATCAGCCAACAAACATGAAAAAAAGCTCATCATCACTGATCATTAGAGAAATGCAAATCAAAAACCACAATGAGATACCATCTCATGCCAGTTAGAATGGCAATTATTAAAAAGGCAGGAAACAACAGATGCTGGTGAGGCTGTGGAGAAACAGGAACAATTTTGTTGTTGTTGTTGTTTTCAAGACAGAGTCTCGCTCTGTCACACAGGCTGGAGTGCAGTGGCGCGATCTCAGCTCACTGCAAGCTCTGCCTCCCGGGTTCACGCCATTCTCCTGCCTCAGCCTCCCCAGTAGCTGGAACTGCAGGCACCTGCCAAAACGCCTGGCTAATTTTTTGTATTTTTAGTAGAGACGGGGTTTCGCCATGTTAGCCAGGATGGTCTCGATCTCCTGTCCTCGTGATCCGCCTGCCTCGGCCTCCCAAAGTACCGGGATTATAGGCGTGAGCCACCGTGCCCGGCCTAGGAACGGTTTTATACTGTTGTGGGAGTGTAAATTAGTTCAACCATTGTGGAAGACAGTGTGGCAATTCCTCAAGGATCTAGAACCAGAAATACCATTTGACCCAGCAATCCCATTACTGGGTGTATACCCAAAGGATTATAAATCATTCTGCCACAAAGACACATGCACATGTATGTTTATTGCAGCACTATTTACAATAGCAAAGACTTGGAACCAACCCAAATGCCCATCAATGATAGACTGGATAAAGAAAATGTAGCACATATACACCATGGAATACTATGCAGCCATAAAAGAGAATAAGTTCATGCCTTTTGCAGGGATGTAGATGAAGCTGGAAGCCATCTTTCTCAGAAAACTAACACAGGAACAGAAAACCAAACACTGCATGTTCTCACTCATAAGTAGGAGTAGAACAGTGAGAACACATGGACACAGGGAGGGGAATATCACATACCAGGGCCTGTCAGGGGTTGGGGGCAAGGGGAGGGAGAACATTAGGACAAATACCTAATGCATGCAGGGCTTAAAACCTAGATGATGGGTTGACGGGTGCAGCAGACCACTATGGCACATATATACCTATGTAACAAACCTGTACATTCTGCACCTGTATCCCAGAACTTAAAGTAAAATAAAAAAAATTTTTAAAATGGGAGGTGATTTGTGAATTAGCTTGATTCAATCATTCTGCAATGTAAACATTACTAAGACATCACACTGTACCCCATAAATATGTAATATAGAATTATTTCTCAACTAAAAATAAAATTAAAAAAAGAAACTAGATAAAGAGCAGCATAATCAACCCAAAGCAAATAGGTGTCAGGAAATCATAAATGAAAGAGCAGAAATCAATGAAATGGACAACAGAAAACCAATGGAGAAAAACCAATGAAAAAGGAGCTGATACTTTGACAACATCAACAACATTGACAAAACTCTAGCAAGAAAAAAAGTTAGAAGACACAAATTCCCAATGTCTGGGAAGAAACCGGGATATAACTACAGACCCAGCAGACATCAAAAGGATAATAAGGGAATAATAGGAATGGCTTTACACAAATGAACTTCACAACTTAGATGAAATAGATCAATTTCTTGGAAAACACGAACTAACACAACTCGTACACTATGAAGTAGAGAATTTGAATAGCCCTATAATTATTAAGGAAATTGAATTTATAATTCTAAAACTTCCAAAAACAAAATCTCCAGGTCCAGATGGTTTCACTGGAGAATTCTATTAAGCATTTATAGAATTAATACCATTTCTACACAATTTCTCTGAAAAAATAGAAGGAACATTTCCAAATTGATTTTTGTGAAAGTAATATTGCCATGCTACCAAAATCCAGACAAAGACAGTATAGAAAAATAAAATTACAGGCCAATATCCCTTATTAATGTAATATAGATACAAAAATCCTTAACAAAATAATAACGAATAAAATTCAACATATCTGAAAGGAGTTATATACATCATTGCCAAGAGGGATTATTCCAGGGATTCAAAACTGGTTTGATATTCAAAAATCAGTCAATTTATTCTATCATATCAACAGGCTAAAGAAGAGAAACTGCATGGCTGTATCAATTGTTGGAGAAAAAGCATTTGACAAACTCAAGCACCTTTTCATAACTAAAAAGGAAACTTAGAAAAATAGGCATAGAGAACGTCCTCAACTTGAAAAAGAGCATCTACAAAAGACCTACAGCTAACACACTTAATGGAGACTGAATGCTTTTCCCCTAAGATCAGGAACAAGGCAAGCATGCTCATTCGTACCATTTTTTTCAATATAGAACATAATGCTGTAATTTCAAGCCAATGTAGTATGGCAAGAAAATAAAATAAAAGGCATAAAGATTAGAAAAGAACAAATATAACTAACTCTGTTTGTGGATGACATGAGTATCTATGTAGAAAATCCCAAAGAATCTTTAAAAAACAAACAGAACAAACAAGCCTCTTAGAATTAATAAGTGAGTTCAGCAAAGTTGTAGGATACAAGATAAACATACAAAATTCAATTGTATTTCTTGTGTATTAATAGTGAACTGTATAGTAACAGTAATACTGCATATTAATAGCATATGGACACTGAAATTAAAAATCGCTTAAAAAGATACATAAGTGTAAATCTAACAAAACATACACTGAAAACTGCGTTAACAATGAGGAAATAAATAAATTGGAAAATTCAATGTAGTAAATATGTCCATTTCCCCCCAGTTAATATGTGGGTTTGGGCTGGGCACAGTGGCTCACACCTGTAATCAATCCCAGCACTTCAGGAGGCCAAGGCAGGCAGATCACCTGAGGTCAGGAGTCCAAGACCAGCCTGGCCAATATGGCGAAACCCCATCTCTACTAAAAATACAAAAAAAATTAGCTGGGCCTGGTGGCGGGCACCTGTAATCCCAGCTACTCAGGAGGCTGAGGCAGGAGAATTGCTTGAATCCAGAAGGCAGAAGTTTCAGTGAGGTGAGATCACGCAATTGCACACCAGCCTGGGCAACAAGAGCAAAAATTCCATCTCAAAAAAAAAAAAGAAACTGGGTTTGATTCAATCCCTATCAAAATCCCAGCAACACTTTTTTTGGAGACAATGACAGTCTTATTCTAAAATGTATATGGAGACGAGGTGTGGTGGCTCACGCCTGTACACCCAGCACTTTGGAAGTCTGAGGTGAGAGGATCACTTGAGGCCAGGAATTCGAGACCAGCCTGGCCAACATGGCAAAACCTTGTCTCTACTAAAAATACAAAAATTAGCTAGGCATGGTGGCGTGCTCCTGTAATTCCAACTATCTGGGAGGCTGAGCCATGAGAATCGCTTGAACCCGGGAGGCGGAGGTTGCAGTGAGCTGAGATGGTGCCACTGCACTCCAGCCTGGGTGACAGAGCAAGACCTGTCTCAAAAAAAAAATGTATATGGAGAGACAAATAATTTTGAAAAATAAGAATTAAATGGGAGGAATTAATTTTTTGATTTCCAGACTTATAGCCACAGTAATCAAGACTTGGTGGTTGGTGGAAAGATAGATCAATGGAACAAAGAGAGAATCCAGATAGAGACACACAAATATGCCCGACTAATTTTTGACAAAAGTCAAAAGGAATTAAGCAAAGAAAAGATAGATTTTTCAACAAATGTTGGAACAATTGGACATCTATAGGCAAAAATAGTCAACCTCATCCCAAGTCTCATATCTTTCACTAAAAGTGACTGAAAATGGGTCATGCAATCAAATGTAAAAATAAAATTATAAAACATTTAGAAAAAACATAGGAGAAAGATCTAGGGCTAGGCAGAGTTCTTAGATCAACACCAAAAGTGTAGGAGCAAAAATATGTAAGTTGGCCTTCATCAAAATTTAAAACGTTTACTCAATGAATGATCCTTTTGAGAGGATAAAAAGATAAACTATAGACTGAGAAAATATTTACAAGCCGCATATATAACAAAACCATGTACTATATATGATTTGTCTTTTATGCTGAGTTAAAATTGTTTTATTATTTGTTTAGTGTCTCTGTTCCTAATTTACTCTCAAACTTCCCAGGAGAACTGAAAATCTCCTCTGAATACAGTCCTACCCATCAGGCATTCTGTCAGCTTCATTTTCTTAGAGACGTTTCCATTGAGCCTGTTTCCTGCTTCAGTCTGAACAAGTCAGCCTATAGGCAGTCTATATATTTACCATGCTAGGACATCCTTTTCCCATTCTCTTAGAACTTCCTCTATCTCTTTTCTGTGTTAGATCCCATCTTCCCTTTTTTTCTTGGCTTAGTCCCTCATTTCAAGGAAGAAGTACCTCTTCCAGTACTTTCTTATCTAAAATTAAAAAGACTAAAACAAGCACAAGCCAGGATGTGGAGTAATGGGGACCCTCGAACAGTGCTGGTGAGTGTGTAAATTGGTACAGCCACTTTGGAAAGTGGCTTTGTATTCTCTGCTAAAGCTGAAAATCCCCAGGGACCCAGCAGCTCTGATCAATAGGTATTTTGTACCCAAAAGAAATATGCACATGTATGTACCAGCAGACTAGTACAGAATATCAAACAGCATTAATCTTATTGCAAAAAAATTAGCAACAATCCAAACGTCCCGTGACAAGAGAATAGATATATAAATGGCAGCATATTCACACAATGTAATATACAACAGTGAACATGATCAACTATATTTATATGCAGTAAGGTAGATGAATCTTGTAATTTTGAATGAAAGATGCCAAATACTAAAAATATTGTATGATTCTATTTGTATCAAGTTAGAAAACCAGGTGAAACTAAACTATAGTGGTAAATGTATAAAGGTGGAAGCCTAGAAGTGATTATTTAAAAAGTAAGGAATGTGGTGAGCTTTTGGTGCAGCAAGTGGGAGGAATGACAGGGAATGAGGCATGGAAGGCCTTTTAGGAACATGGCCATGGGCCGGTGGGTGCTTGCTTAATGATAAATCATTGAACTGAATATGTTTGCTTTGTGCACTTTTTGTGTATGTGTGTTAGGTTTCACAATATGAACGGTTAAGAAAATGAGGAAAGATGAAAACAAACCCACCCACCCCCAAATTAGATACTATTATATTAGTTACTGCATGGACAAAAATGTCTAAGTCCAACATTAGCAAGCATTGGTGAGGATGTGGATTAGCCTGAATTCACACCCTATTGGTGGGAGTATAATTTGTTTGAATTATTTGAAAAATGGTTTGATCTTACCTAGTAATGTTGTGTGTGCATGTACCATAGGGCAGAACAGTTCTGCAGGGGTGCTCCACGGGTTTCCTGCTGGGACTGGAGAGCTGGCAGCTCCCTGGAATCTGTTCTTTTCCTGCTGTATATTGGAAGTTCCAGGGAGAGGGTGCAGAAACATGAAGCCTGTGGAGGTCTTAAGTTCAGAAGCTGCAAGCTGACACCTCTACCCATATTCTCCTGCTGAAAGCCACTCGCAAAGCCCACCTGACATGGAGCAGGGGGTGGCAGGGGCTAAGTCTTAAGCTAAGCTGAGTTCCTCTGGTGAATATCAGCACATTTCTTGGCTCTGAGGATGCTCCATTACCCCTCCCCCAGTATTTAGGAGAGGCGGACATGTTGATACCTGGAGGTTTTATAAGTATGGCCTCAGTCTCAGCAATATTCATGCAATGAAAAATTATTTGTTATGGTTATAAATGGCCAATATTTGTCTGAAAAGTATTTGTACTTCGAGTTGGCTGCTGTAAACATATTATCTATTGGAAAGCAGGGCACTTCTTAGTCTAAGGAAAATAACTTGTTTCATGTTCAGTGTTATTTTGAATAAAATTGCATAGATTTTACTGATTTTTTTTTTTTTTTGAGATGGAGTCTTGCTCTGTCATCCAGGCTGGAGTGCAATGGCATGATCTCAGCTCACTGCAACCTCCGCATCCTGGGTTCAAGCGATTCTCCTGCCTCAGCCTCTTGAGTAGCTGGGATTACAGGTGCATAGCACCACGCCGAGCTAATTTTTGTATTTTTAGTAGAGACGGGGTTTCACTGTGTTGGTCAGACTGGTCTTGAACTCCTAACCTTGTGATCTGCCCGCCTCAGCCTCCCAAAGTGCTGGGATTACAGGTGTGAGCCACCGCGCCTGGCCTGATTTTCTTTTTTAGTAGTTTTACATCTAGGACTTTATTATTTTTTATTTACGTATTTTTGAGACAGAGTCTCAGTATGTTACCCAGCCAGGCTGGTCTCAAACTCCTAGGCTCAAGCAATCCTCCTGCCCTGGCCTGCCGAGTAGCTGCAAATGCAGGTGGTGTACCACCACACCTGGCTAGGACTTTACTTTTTTAAAGCTGCTTTTCTCCTAGGCACTGGTAACTCTGTTCTCTTCCCTCTCACTGAGACTCTCATACTCTCTCTTCGTCTAACACTGCTTTTTAAAATACTTGAAATGCATTTTTTTCTTCCATGGTTTTCCATTTTCCAAGCCGTTTTTATTCATTCAGCATTTATTGAACACCTACAACTTGTTGCCATTGTCAATACTGTGGTGATAAGATGCACCTGTAGCTGGATAAAGTCAGTCTTCAGTAGCAGTGAGGCAGGAAAACCAGACAAGGCCTCGAGGGTGGCGCTGGAGTTGGGTCTTGATGGATGAGCAGGAGTTTGATAGGCCATGAAGTGAGGCAGGAAATTTCTGACTGTGGAAGGAGAATGAGCCAAGGCACAGAGCTAGGATAGCACATCTCCGTGCATACATCAGCATGAGTGACTTTCAATCTATTTACCTTTATCTCATTTTGTAATCCACCTGCCATTTTCTCTAATGTATAGCTTAAGTTTCTTCAAATGTACTTTTGCTTTTTCTATACATTGCTGTTAAGATAGGAATTTGAAGTCCTCCTGATGGCCTGGGTCAATAGAAATTGTTTTTGCTGTACTACTTAAACACACTGAAACAGGCTCCTTTGAACTGAGCCATTTTCCTGTGTTCTGAACTGTGTCACTCACGCGTACCCTCGGGGGTCGAATGCCTGTTAACGGTGAGGTCTGTCTGTGTTCCTCTGTCTAGATTAAGTTTGACAGTGTGGAGGTGTGTGTCTGCTGTGAGCTGCAGCACCAGTCGTCCGGCTGCAGCAACCTCGGGGAGACGCTGAAGCTGAACCCGCTGCAGGAGAACTGCAACGCTGTGAGGCTGACCTTGAAGGTGACCCCGCTGGGCGCTGCTTGTGCATGCATTTCATTCCATGCCTTACAGACAGTTTAGGAAGCCTTATTAACATATAGATTCCTTTCAGCTCTTAACTTCCCGGGGTAGGTTCAGTGCAAGAGGGAATATCTTTCCAGAGAACATTTGAAAGGATTATATATTTTGATTTTGAAAGTGTTGCTTTCTGGATCTCACTTTGCATTTTTGCCATTTCATTGTCCTACCTCTGACATCTGCAAATTCGGATGCAAATGGTTGAAAGAGGTCTTTACAAATGATGATGGGATCATTCTACGGCTTTTCTGACATTTTTGGCTGTTATACCATCAGGGAACAAATGGGGATTTATTTTGCTTTTTAAAAGATATTTGGAGGAAAAAAATCAGACAGTCTCCCCTGGGAGTCTATTCTTATGTGTAGCATTTGATGTTTAAAAAAAAAGTGATTTGGAAAAATTGTTTATATTATTTTATTTTTTCTTCCGAGTGTTTTATTCTGAAAAGCAAAATTGGCTACTTAAAAATACATAAGAAGAGTGAACCCAATTCTTCTGTTTCCCCTGAATAAAACTGTGCCAAAACTTTTTAAAAAGATGTGGCACAAGCCGGGCGCAGTGGCTCACGCCTGTAATCCCAGCACTTTGGGAGGCTGAGGCAGCCGGACCACTTGAGGTCAGGAGTTCGAGACCAGTCTGGCCAACATGGTGAAACCCCCTCTCTACTAAAAATACAAAAATTAGCCAGGTGTGGTGGTGGGCGCCTGTAGTCCCAGCTACTTGGGAGGCTGAGGCAGGAGAATCATTGGAACCTGGGAGACAGAGGTTGCAGTGAGCCGAGATTGTGCCACTGCACTCCAGCCTGGTGACAGAGCAAGGCTTCATCTCAAAAGAAAAAAATGGATAAATAAATATAAAAAGATGTGGCACAGTCCAAGGAACTCTTAGTTGGTGGTAAAATTGTGTTTGCAGTATGGAGGGGGTTCTAGCATGTGTGTAGGGAATGCAGTATGCAGGGGATGGGAAACTGCAGAGAGCCACCTCGGATCTGGGGAGAGGAGGAAAGCGTTGACCTTGAGTGCTTGTGATTAGTCCTCCATGGGTGGTCTCCGGCTGGTAGACAAGCAAAGATGTACAGAGAGAGAGGATGCGGCTCATCTCCATGGTAGGACTACGCCTGGCTCACAGCGCCTGTCATGTTTTGCACGGAGGAATGGTCCAAGTTGGATGGTCCCAGCAGCTCACCAGAGTGACAGATGCAGCGGGGTTGGAGGAATCAAGAACTGCAGCACTCCAGGGCCCATCCCATCATGGGACCAGGTATTTCATGCTGCCCACATTACCTACGCCCACATTCTACCTCACTGCATCCTGGAGCCTGCCTGGGTCAGTGCCTGAGGTCTGCTGTGGCCTTTCACAGCCCTCCTGGGAGGGGACACGGGCAGCCGTTGCTCACTCTGCGATCTCATTCTGACAACTGCTAAGTCACTTCTTCAACCTGGGAATGTTTTCTTGAGTATGGGGATGCATTTGGGCCTCACGTTACCTCCCGTTCCTCAGTTGGCTGGTTGGGGTGTTCAACAGGCTCCTCTAAGGTCCTGGCGTCCCCCTTGAACGCCTTCACTCATGGGATGCAGGACCCGGTTTTCATGACTCTCCAGCCCCTGCAGCAGTGACTGTGGCTTGAAAGGTAATGCTGGTGAAAAAACAACACTGTCTCTAAGAATGCAGTCTCAGGTCTAGGGGGAGCTGGTGACCTTGCAGTCTCACTCTTATTCACTGTTCTGGTACATTGGTGAGAAAAGCCCTTGGTATGAGGTGGCAAAAACGGCATAGAGTAAAGGCCACTGAAGTCAAGAAGTTCCAGGGAAGGCTGGGAGCCTAGCTGAATGCATGGCACATCCCCATGGGTATTCAGATTGCCCAGGACACTGGTAAGAGTTGAAAGCAAAGGAAAGACTACACTATTTTAAACTCCCTCATGAATTTGTGTACAAAGCCTACTTAGAGATAGGAACTATCAAAACTGGTGGCAGGAGGCTCAAAGGAGGCAGGAGTTGTGATTAAGGTGTGAGGCCAATGGTCTGGAAGTGGCAGCAGTGGCTTAGGTGCTAGGAGAAGAGGCAGCCTGCCCCTGTCCCCCACCTGAGGGCCTATGCAAGGAGCAACAGCCTTGGCAGGGACTGACTTTCATCTGAGATCAAGAGGACCAGGGACTATTGGAAGCGAGTATCTGTTTATTGCTGTCGTCCAATTTTGTTGCTTTTCAGAATTGTCTTAGCTATCATTTCCTTTGTAATTCCATATAAATTTTAGAATCCACTTGTGCATTTTCTACTAGAATCCTGCTGGGATTTTAATTGAGATTGCATGGAGTCCACATGTCACTTTGAAGAGACTTGACATATTCATGATCTAGTTCTTCATTTATTTAAGTCATACTTCATTTCTTCAGTGTTTCTTTTTTTCATCAGTCTTGTGTAAATTTCAGTATATAGATCTTAACATATTTTGTAATAGTTATGCTTAAAGTATTCCACATTTATTGGTGCTATCCTAATGGTATTTTTTAATGGTCTCTTATTCACTGCTAGCACATAGAAATTTGATTTTTGTTACCAATCTTGTATCCTGTGGTCTTGACTAAACTCAGTTCTGGTAGCTCTTTTGCAGATTCTTTGGGTTTTCTTATGTAGACAGTCATGTGCTATGCAAAGAGAGGCAATTTTACGTCTTCCATTCTCCAGACAGAGCCAATAGGACAGATACAGATAGGTGAGAGGGAATTTATTGAAAGAATTGCTCACATTACCATGGAGACTAAGAAGTCCTATGACAGTCCCATCTGCAAGCTGGAGACCCTGGAAAGCTGGGAGTTTGGCTCAGTCGAAGTCAAAAGGCCTCAGAACCAGGGAAACCAATGGTGGAACTCTCAGTCCAAGGCCAAGAACCTGCGGGGAGTGGTTGCACCAGTGTGAGTCCCAGGGTCCAAAGGCCAGAGAGCCTGAAGTTCTGATGTCCAAGGGCAGGAAAGGGTGTCTCAGCTCCAGAAGAGCAAAAGAAAATAATTCGCTTTTCCTCTGCCTTTTTGTTCTATCCAGGTCCCCAGACGATCAGATGTTGCCCCCCAACATTGAGGGTGGATCTTCCCCACTCAGTTCACAGACTCACACACCAATCTCCTCTGGAAACACCCTCACAGACACACCCAGAAACAATGCTTTGCCAGTTCTCGAGTATCCTTCATCCAGTCAAGTTGACACCTAAAATAAATCAGCACACATTGCAATCTGGATGCCCCTTACTTCTTTTCCCTGTTTTATTACACTGACTAGACCGCCCCGTAGAGTGTTGAATAGATATGGTGAGAACAGATGTCCTTCTCTTGTTCCTGCTTTTAGGGATTAAGTATAATGTTAGCGCTAAGTTTTTCATAGATGTTTATTATCAGGTTGTAGAAGTACCCTCCTATTCCTAGTTTGCTGAGAGTGGTTTTTGTTTTGTTTTTAATACCACGAATGGCTGTTGAATTTTATCAGTCTTTTACTACGTCTGCTTAGATGTTGCTATACATTATCTTCTTCAGTCCACTCAAATGGTGAATAACACTGACTTTTGAGTGGTAAGCCAGCCTTGCATTCCCAAGATAAACCCCACTTGGTCATTTTTTCCTCAACTGTGTCCAGTCCACTGCCGACCCTGTCTATCAAAGGCATTCTTCATCTCTGTGCCTGTTTTTAATTCCTAGTATTTGCATTTGACTCTTCCTCATTGCTTCCACCTCTCTGCTACCTTACCTCAGTGATCTTCCATCTTGTCCACCTTTTCCACTAGAGCTGGTATCTGACTGCATACGCCCCAGGTAAGTGCTCATGTCTCTCCTTGGAGACTCTGTCTTTTCCTTAGAATTTGCTGTCCTGTGACCTCAGCTGTCTGATGGGTTCACCTTAAGTTGGGAATTTGCAGAACCCAATGTCTTCTTCTTGTTGTTGTAATGGTGGGGCAATGTTCTTTCCAGCTTTCTCCATCCTCAGCAGAATCTGGAATAATGTTCTGGAATAATGTTCTACATCATTTTTCCCCCTGGGTGCAGAATTCTTGAGGAAACTTTCTCTTAGGGGTTTATAGATGATATGTTATTCTCTTTTGCATTGAATATCTGTATAGGGAAAAATCTGAAAGTCAGCCAAATGCTTTCTCCCCTTTAGGTATGTGATGGTCATTAATGCTGTTTTAAAACATGTCTAGCTCTCCAACTTCCTTTTACATGGTAAGATTGTACTTCCCTGTCCCCTCATGATTGCTGGGGGCCATGTAAGCAAAGCTTATATGTACCACTTTCAAGTCAGAATGTTTAAATGTGGTTTGAGGTCTTCCAGAGCTCTCTTTCCCACTGGCACAGTAATTGGCAGAGTAGAGGTGATGGCAGTGCCATCAGCCTGGGTCACTACAATGAACAGAGCGTCCTGCACCCTACCCACATTGGAAATGTAGCATGAATGACTTAACAAACTCTTTTGAGACAGGGTCTCACTCTGTTGCCCAGGTTGAGTGCAGTGGCGTGATCACGGCTCACTGCAGCCTCAAACTCCCGGGCCCAAGAGATCCTCCCACCTTAGCCTCCCAAGTAGCTGGGACTGTAGGCATATGCCACCATGCCCAGCTAATTTTTTATTGTTTGTAGAGATAGGATCTCACTGGCCCAGGCTGGTCTCGAACTCCTGGGCTCAAGTGATCCTGCTGCCTTGACCTCCCAAAGTGCTGGGATTATGGGCATGAGCCACTGCCCCTATCCCTGTTCGGTTTTTGTAAAGCTTCTCTTCCTGGCTGTTTTCTGCAGCAGGCATTACCTTTTTCCTCTGCTTGCGATGTGATCTTGAGTCTTGGCAACTCCCTCCTCGGCTCCTTCTGTCTTTGTCTTTTTTTTCCATGAGCCCTTGTGTCTTCGTTTTTATCCCTGAGATTGCAGCAGCCTTCTCTCCTTGGTTACGGTTTGCACCCATGGATGTCTCTAGCTAGTTAATTACAGTGGAGTTTTCAGTGTATTTTATATCTTTTTCAGATCCCTTTTCTGAAGTATATGGATACTTCAAAGCACTAAGGCAGATTCCTAACCCTTAAATTCTATCTCAAGCCTTATGCTCTATTTAAATAGTTAGCATAATTAAGATTTTGTACTTCCTTCCCATAATTATAGATACTTCTTCCTCTGAGAGTCATGTGCCACATTATCTAGTTTTCTCATAATTAGTGGTGCAGTCATTTTTAATATAATCCTTACTCTTGAAAAGTCATCCAAGCCAAGCTGTGCCTGATGACTTTGACTGCAGTGAAAGGATCTTCTGCAGGGATCCGGTGTTGCTTTATTAAAACTCTTGGGCAGCAGAACAAATATGGGCCATTGGAAATGGAGCCACTCTGGGAAGAGGCTGCTCTACTCTTTTGCACGGATATCCAGGACAGCCCCTTCCTATCACCTGCAAAATGTTCTTGACGCTTAGCTAAAGAAGGAGCAAAGGAGAATGTTCCTTTGATTAATTTCCCTTTTGCTTGCTTCTTTTTGGTTGGCAATTAGAGCAGGTCCATTGATCTTTTCCATAGTCTAATTTGAGGCTCTGTTTATCTGATTAGTAACACTCCATGTCTGAATTTTCCATATTAAATTATGGATTATCTATACTTACTATGTAATGAACTCAATTTATGTGGGGGAAATCCTATATAATTGGCTTGGGAATCAAAGCACTTTGATTTTAGTTGTGTTTGAATTAACTGATACTGACTTAATGAGATTTGTCCAACTACTTGCTTCCTGTCAGGCACCCTCCCCTCCTTCCTCCCCTCCCATACCTGGAAGGCTGTACAGGCACAGCCCATCCTCAGGGAAAAAAGCAGAAACCAACTTTCTTCATGGCCGAGGAGGAATAAATTTGGAATCCAGAAGAGCATGCAGATGTTGCTTCACTCATCCCTCGGATTGTCTTTTGTTGGTTTGGAGGCCCCGAAACCCCTGGATCTCTGTTCTGCCCTTCCTGACTGGCCCTGCTCCTAGATTCTCTGTTTTTTTTTTTTAGCAGAGAACCCCTGGGGGCCAACAAGCCTCTCTCTTGAGGATATTGATGGTTTCTTACCTCCTTATGGGGCTGAGCGAGGAGCAGGGCAGAGGGCACAGAGGGGACCTGGAACTCCACCACACCACACAGGGATTCACAGAATTGTAGAGCCAGAGGGAGGGTGCATCCTGGGGTCCATTGACCGATGGTGCAGGTGTGAAGGCTGCAGCCCAGAGAGAGGGCAGGTGGCTCCTCCTGGGTTCCTGAGCAGGTCCTGGTGGAGGGCAGGGACCATCTGAGTGTCTCAGCCCTCCAGGACCCATGTCCCTGCTTCCCGATGACAGGGCCTGCCTCTGGGCATCTCATTATGAATAGTCAGGAAATAGGGTCTAAAAATTAGGATTTCAGTATCTGCCTTCTCAAAGCCTTTGACAGTGATGGACAAGTGCTACTGAAAAAGCAAGGCTACAGACCCCCGTTCCTGATGAAACAGTGTCTCGGCTTTTGTAACAAAAAATGACATAATAAATGCTTAAACAATAAAAAGATGTTTAGGTAGATTGATGGCCATTTTTGCCAAGTCAAACCCAGCGCAAGACTGTGACATATTTTTGGACCAGTATTCACAGTATTTTTTTTTAAGTTACAAAAATCAGAACTGTTAACTGGTGAAATATGCTTCGTAACATGTTGACACTGCATCTAGCCACCTTTAGTGCTTTGCTGTATTCAACAATGTCCTTATGCTTTTATTATAGTGACCTAATTCAAATCAAAGTTAAAGATCTTATTCTTCTTTCATGTACCTGGTTTAATTTACTGAGCCACAATAAACCAAATTACCCAGAGAAACCTTATCAATGGACAAGGAGATAAAAGTTTCCCAAGAAATCAATCAGTTATTGAGTTTATGTGCTTTCTTATCTTTGTCTCTAAGAAAGTTAAAAAAAAAAAAAAAGCAAGACAATTTCCAGCCTCCAGTGCTCTACTCTCACACACCACTCAGCACGAGACTTCTGACACCAGATGTATTCATTTCCCCCATACACCAAACCATTCTCCAGCAGACACCAGCTGGGTGTGCTCAGTTCAACTCAATTCTGACACTCTTTACCTGGAGACAGCGTTGGATCCCACATGTTAAGGGCTCAGCCCCACAAGACCACACTCACTTCTCATGCCAGTCACAAGCCCCAGGTTGTGACCTGTACTTCTGGCCAATGGGGTATAAACTGGGGCTTCCACAACCCCCTACTTGGGTTTGATTGAATTGCTAGAGTGGCTCACAGAACCCACGGAAAGGCTTTACTTCCATGCCCTTGTTGATTATAAAGGATATGAGGCAGGATGCAGGTGCACAGCCAGGTGGAGAGATGCATGTGGCGAGGTTGGGGGAGTCCTGAGCACAAGAGCCCCTGTCCCCGAGGAGCGAGGGTACGCCACCCTCCTGGCATGGGGATGTGTTCGCTGACGCAGAAGCTCTCTGAACCCCTCCGTTCAGGGACTTTTATTTAAGCTGCATCATGTAGGCAGGATCGATTTTTAACTCCGTTTCCAGCCTCTGTCCCTTCTCTGGAGAATGGGGAGTGGGGCTGAAAGCCCCAAGCTCGTCATCATGGCTTGGTCATTCTGGTGACCCAGCACCCATCTAGAATTCCATCAAGAGTCGCTTCATTAGAACAAAAGACACTCCTATCACCCAGGAAATTCCAAAGGATTTAGGAGCTGGGGTCAAACACCAAATACTAAAACAGAAGATTCTCTACTATGCAGCCATAAAAAAAGAATGAGTTCATGTCCTTTGCAGGGACATGGATGAAGCTGGAAACCATCATTCTCAGAAAACTAACACAGGAACAGAAAACCCAACACCATATGTTCTTACTCATAAGTGGGAGTTGAACAGTGAGAACACATGGACACAGAGGGGAACATCACACACCAGGACCTGTCAGGGGGTGGGGGCAAGGGGAGGGAGAGCATTAGGACAAATACCTAATGCATGCAGGGCTTAAAACCTAGATGATGTGTTGATGGGTGCAGCAAACCACCATGGCACATGTATACACATGTAACAAACCTGCATGTTCTGCACATGTATCCCAAAACTTAAAGTATAATTAAAAAAAGAAAGAAAAACTAACTATAAACAACAACAAAAAGATTACCTAGTGCCCCTGTCACTCAGGAAGTGACAAGGATTTTAGCAGCTCTTTAGCAGGGACTGAGGAGCAGAGACCAAAGACACATAATACATATCTTATTATTAATATTTCACACAGCCCCATGGTGAGTGCTGTCCAGCTTCAGCCAGACTCCACTGTGCGATACCGCCCCTCTCTCTATGCATGAGCCATGTCCACCTGTTCAGCCATCCCTGGACCAGTATGTGAGAGCTCCTTCTCATACTGCTTTTCTGTGGTGCCTCCCTGGCTAGCAGGCATCCCTGGATGAGCCCAAATATCTGCTATCTCTTTGTTTGCATCCTGAGCAACAAGACCAGTGGAGCATACCGCACAGCCTGTGGGTGAGCAGCTTATATGTCTGTGGTCACCAGCCTGACCTGGCCTCCTCACTGCCCGGCATTTCTCCTGTCTTTTTCTGGCTTACAGCGAGGGGCGTGGCACAAATTATACCCAGTAACTGTTTTTGAAATCAATAAGAGTTTTTAATTTATTCATTCAGAGAAAATTTTTGAGCACCTCTTCTGTGTCTGGGTTGGCCACTGGATGTACAGAGATAAGAGACACTGACTCTGCCCTCCAAGTCTACTGGGGGAAACAGACAAGAAAAACAGACAGTTGGCCAGGAGCAGTGGTTTCCATCTGTAATCCCAGCACTTTGGGAGGCTGAAGCGGGTGGATCACCTGAGGTCAAGAGTTCGAGACCAGCCTGGCCAAAATGATGAAACTTCATCTCTACTAAAAATACAAAAATTAGCCTGGCGTGGTGGCACACGCCTGTAATCCCAGCTACTCGGGAGGCTGAGGCAGGAGAATTGCTTGAACTCTGGAGGAGGAGGCTGAAGTGAGCAGAGATCGCACCACTGCACTCCAGCCTGGATGACAGAGTGAGACTCTGTCCCAAAAAGAAAAAAAAAGAAGAAAAGAAAGAAAGAAAAACAGACAGTGACAGTGTAATATGTTGTGTTTTCACTATGACAGGAAATTAAAATATTAACTTAGAAATTTTTTCAATCCTTCCCTCTGTCCTGAAAGAGAGCCATTATTTTGTTGAGTAGGATGACGGATGCAGTTTTCAGTGTGTATGGGTGATATACGGGTAGGTTAGCTATAGGAAAAGAACGGTAGCATCTAAGAAGCTGAGGAAGTGGGAATATATGAAAAAAATCTGGGATTCTATTGCTGAATGATACCAAACACAGCTCTAGGTATGTGGTAATGGGAACACAGATGGTTGGCCATGTATACACATACCTCACCTCTAATCCTAGCTGAAATGACAGAAAACCTACACAAAAATGGCTGAAGACCTGTACCCTTCCTTAATGGCCAATGCATCACTTGCATTTTTCTAGAATGTTCTAGAATTTTCTGCCAGACATATTGCATATAAGACCAGAACAAAGAAAGAGAAAGAACAACTTTCAACTCAGCTTTATGAGGCCTTCTGGGAGGTTACTGGAAGCCATACTAGGTCTCAAATATGCCCTCATTTTGAAGAACAAGGACTGATAGGTGTTTGATGGGTCAGATGTGGAATCACCTATGGTGCCGGTGGTAATTTATGGGGAGGGTGGGTTCTAAAGGCCTTTATAATTTTTATAAGTAGTGCTCCCACTGTTTGAAATGGATGGTGGACATTTTTAAGGTCTAATGCAATGTGCTGTGCAAACACAGCTTTAAGATACCACTCCTTCCCCTGCACACACAGCCTCCTTCCAGATTGCAGTCCCAGAGTTGAAATTCTGGAGCCACCACTAAGGGAGGTGCTGCCTTTGGAGTTTTTTGGCAGCTGTGATGTGGCAGGATTTAGGGCAGCTTCTTGGGAGACTCTGGGACCCAGATGGCTATGCCATACAGACTCCCTCCTTCCCCCAATGCAGGGACCCACAGTTCGGAGCACATTCAGATAAAAGGAACTACAGAGAGACAGTCCCTCCTTCCTTCCAGCTGTGTGGTCTCTGCCATGCCAGCACAGGCTGGGTGTCAGGATCTCAGGAGAGGGTTCTGTTTAGGGTTAGCACACACCACATGGTCGAAGATGGTCCAGCATAGATATTAGTAGACCCATTTTCACACTCTAAAGTACCCCAGTCACTCTAGTGTCCAAACAGAAAGTACGGGAGGAGCTCCACCGCCCCATTCGGGGGCCAAACACCAGACTGGAGAAAGTGCTGCAGATGGATGAGTAAACAAACGGGAGAGGACAGCATGGAGCCTACCTGGAGATCAGAGGTTATTTTTAAAGCATTTGGTAACTTCAGGGCTCTAAATGAGTATCAGAATGAGAGAGAGGAGAAGGCAATATTGAACCATATGAGATGTTCTAGAATAAAGAGACCGTGGTGGCTCACACCTGTAATCCCTGCATTTTGGGAGGCCGAGGTGGGCAGATCACCTGAGGTCAGGAGTTCGAGACCAGCCTGGCCAACACGGCAAAACCCTGTCTCTACTAAAAATACAAAAATTAGCCAGGTGTGGTGGCGGGCGCCTGTAATCCCAGCTACTCAGGAGGCTGAGGCAGGAGAATCGCTTGAACCTGGGAGGCAGAGGTTGCAGTGAGCTGAAATCACACCACTGCACTCCAGCCTGGGGAACAGAGCGAAACTCTGTCTCTAAATAAATAAAAAGGGACCATGGGAAGAAGGGGCCGTGGAAAAGAATACCTAAAAATGGCAGCAGGGCAAATGAAAGCACAGAATGTGTACTGTGTGAAAACTCATCAGACTCATGCTTCAAATGGGTGCCCTTCGTTGTGTGCCAGTTTTACCTCAGTGAAGCTGTTGGAAGTTTTCATGACAGGTAAGTGAGCAGGGGAAGAACAAAGGACAAAAGCAAAGGCAGGAAAGATAGGACTGGAATAATGCATGAATTCAGAGATGCATGGAGGGCATTGGGTGTGATTCCGAAACCGATAGGCACTGGTTCCAGGAAGCTGAGCAGGGAATCCTATAATCACAGGGGAGTGGAGCACAATTGTTCTGAGCAATTTGATATTCTGAGGTCGGGAGTTCAAGACCAGCCTGGCCAACATGCTGGGACAATATCTGGAAGGTATTATATTATTCTCATATTTTCTGTATGTTGAACTAGCTAATAACTTTTTTTTTTTTTTTGAGACAGAGTCTTGTTCTGTTGCCCAGGCTGGAGTGCAGTGGCATCATCTTGGCTTACTGCATGCAGCCTCAACCTCTCAGGCTCAAGTGATTCTCCTGCCTCAGCCTCCTGAGTAGCTGGAACTACGGCCACACACCACCACACCCATGGTCTCATACCGTTCAATACTGCCTTCTCCTCTCTCTCATTCTGATACTCATTTAGAGCCCTGAAATAACCAAATGCTTTAAAAATAACCTCTGATCTCCAGGTAGGCTCCATGTCCCATGGTCCCCAAAGTGAGAGGGGCCACAGGACAGGGCACTGGACAAAGGAGCAGAGCATCCATGGGAGACATAAAACCTACTAGTATTATTTTGCGCTGGTCCCGGGCTGGTTTCGCTGCATAGGCATCCTTTGGGAACTGGTTTATGCAGCCCTTTCAAATCCCATGAGCTGTCTTCTCCACCACCACCCCAACCGCAGTGAAGTCCATGAGGCGGACTTCATGATTTCCATGAGGAGATGGGAAAATGGAGGCCCCAGGATGTGCAGGGGCTGAGCTGCAGACTCAACTGGTGGTAGATCCAGATTTCCATCTTTAATGCCAGATCCATTGCTTCCTCCACTTCCAACCTGATCCGCTTAGTAGGAGACGGAGACTAGGTGGTGCCTGAAGAATCGCAGCAGAGCAGGGGACAGCCAATGGGTCATTTCCGTGCAAATGACCAGCGGTGCCCTCAGCAGGTCCTTGTTCTGTGCATCTCCTGGCACATCTGAAAGTTGAGCACTGCACCCTTAAAAAAGTTGTCAGTGGCTGGGTGCAGTGGCCCACACCTGTAATCCCAGCACTTTGGGAGGCCGAGGCCGGCGGATCGCTTGAGCTCAGGAGTTTCAGACGAGCCTGGCCAATATGGCAAAACCCCGTGTCTACTAAAAATACAAAAATTAGCTGGATGTGGTGGTGCGTGGCTGTAGTTCCAGCTACTCAGGAGGCTGAGGCAGGAGAATCACTTGAGCCTGAGAGGTTGAGGCTGCATGCAGTAAGCCAAGATGATGCCACTGCACTCCAGCCTGGGCAACAGAACAAGACTCTGTCTCAAAAAAAAAAGTTACTAGCTAGTTCAACGTGCAGAAAAGTATGAGAATAATATAATACCTTCCAGATTTATTCAATCTTACTATGTTTACAATATTTGCTTCTATTCTTTTTCTTTAAATAAGAAATATATTATCATACATTGTTGCAGACCCATCTGAGTCCCCTCCACTGCCACGGCTCTCTGTCCCTCCCTCTGTCTGAAATTAGAGATTGTCCAGAAGCAGCCACTATCCTGAGGCATCAGGGAATTTTTCATTCCCCTGCAGAGTTGTCTGCTTCACTGAAACTTTACATCAAAGTTGACGCATTTGGTACCGTAAGCCAGTTTCTATTCTCACCCCCATCAGGTTTGTGATACTGATCCATGTAGATAAGGGTTGCCTTAGTCATCTTCGTGGGGCTTCTGCATGGTCTTGCATTGAGCGAGTATTCCACAGGTTGCTTCTCCATCTCCTGTTCATGGACACTGGGTTGTTCCCAGTTTCTCATTATTCTAACAGTGCTAGAATGCGGAGTGATGTGCACTCGGCAGCGTGTGTGCACCTGCTGCATTTTCTCCAGCCTGCAGACTTGCTGGCTCACAGGGGAAGTGCATCTGCAGGACTTTAGTCACCGCACTCCACAGCGATGGCAGGGATCCCCGCTCTCCTGGCCAGTGGAAAAGGCAGCCTTGCTTCTCGATGTCCTCAGGCTTTCTGTGTGACTGATGGCTATTTGTTTTGATCTGCTAACTCCCTGGTTTTTTCTCTTTTCCTGCTGAGTTATTTGCTCTTTACTCTAAACGATTTCCCTTTGTCATAAAAGTCTTCTCACGATCAGTGACTCATCACTCAAAGTTGTTTTGGGCATCATTTGTGATAGAGAAGTTTTCAGTTTTAATGCAGGCAAATTCATTTCCTGGATGATGTGTCCTTTTAGTGTTGCATTTTAAGAACTATTTTTCCATCCCCAAGTGATAAAAATTTTCTGTATTTTCATGGAAGTTTTAAAACTTTGCCTCTCACACTGAGCTCAGTAATCCCCCTGGGGTTTAATTTTGTGTGTTGTGAGATACGGATCTAGTTGTATTTATTTTTGTGTATGGATAGTCATCAATTATTACAGCACCAATCTGTTTCTATATTTGAAGATGTCTATTTCTGAGGGCTCTTTTTTTTTATTGGTCTATGGCTTGTCTCTCTTGTTACCACATTACGGGAAATACTGGTTCTGTATTTGTCTTGTAGTTAATAGGGTAAATCCCCACTCTTCCCCTCTTTAGAACTGTCTTGGCCATTCTCATTCCTCCAAGAGAGATGGAGAGAGAGCTCTCTTCTCTCTCCCTTCTCTCTCTCTCTCTCTTTCTTTCTCATATATACACACACACCATCATTGTAACTGTATTGTATTTTTAGGTTAATCTGGGGAGAATTATCATTTTTGGTACAGCTTTTCATTTAGCCTTCTGTTTTTCAATAAAAATGTTACCATTTTTAATATACAGTCTCGATCAACTTACGTTAAATATATATTCCTAGGTGTCATATCATTTTGTCCTTATTGGAAAAGTAGGGAGTTTAAAATTTTTTTAGTTTGGCCGGGCGCAGTGGCCATGCCTGTAATCCCAGCACTTTCGGAGGCCGAGGCAGGCGGATCACGAGGTCAGGAGATCGAGACCATCCTGGCTAACACGGTGAAACCCCCGTCTCTACTAAAAATACAAAAAATTAGCCGGGTGCGGTGGCGGGCGCCTGTAGTCCCAGATACTTGGGAGGCTGAGGCAGGAGAATGGCATGAACCCAGGAGGCGGAGCTTGCAGTGAGCTGAGATAGCGCCACTGCAGTCTGGCCTGGGTGAAAAAGTGAGACTCCATCTCAAAAAAAAAAAAAAATTCTTTTTTTTACTTTAAATTTTTTATTCTCTAACAGTTTGCCTGTAGATTGTTTAGGACTTTTTATTTAGAGGGTTCCATCATCTGGGAATAACGACAGTTTTGTTTCTTCTTTTCCAGTCTTCACATTGATTCTTAATTTTTCCCATCTTCCTGCACTGGTTAGGACTTTCAACACAATGGAATGGAAGTTGAGCCAGTAGCCATCCTTGTCTTGTTCCCGATTTTAAAGGAAAGAGTTTAATAATTAAGAATAATGTTTGCTGAAAATTTCTAATACTAAATATTATTTGCCAGATGAAGGGAATCCCATTTTGTTACCAGTCTGCTAAGAGTTTGCCATGAGTTTTAAATTTTAGCAAATGCTGCATCTATTGAGATAAGTATATATGCATGTGTGTATTTGTATGTGTATATGTGTGTGTATATATGTATATACACATTCATACACATATAACTGTATTCTGTTAATATAGTGAATATACATGAAACTACATGAATATATATTCATGTAGAATGGATTTCTAATGTGGAACCGTTCTTGCATTTCTGGGATAAAACTTAGGCACAATATTTTCATATAATTATGAAAATCTACTTTGCTTTTCTTTTATTAAAGATTTTTCATCATTATTCATAAATTATATGAATCAAGCTTTCCCTTGTTCATACTGCAATTGCCTAATTTTATTTTATTTTTTAGTTTACACTAGCCTAGAAAGATGAGCTGGGAGGTGTTCCCCTCTTTTTCCCTCTGAAAACAAAGTTTGCAGAAGATTAAACTTACCTATTTCTTGAATTGAATGTTTGGTAAAAGTTACAAAATCACCAGGGCTTGGTAATTTCTTTTGCAGTCAGTAGATAGTTAAGTACTGATTCAGTGGATTATAGGTTACTTGGATTTCCTCCTTCTTCTTGAGACTATGTTAGAATGTTTTGCTTTTCTGGAATAAATTGTCCATTTTGTTTAGGTTTTCAAATTCATGTATATGCTATGCCTAGTTATGTCTTTTTTAATTTTTAATATTTTAATTTATTCCTTTTCTTTCTTTGTTAATCAGCCTCTGCCAGAGACTTGCCTATTTTTGTCAGTTTTTTTTCAAAGAACCAGCTTAATATTTATTGATCTTGTCATTGCTTTGTTTCTTATTTCATTAGTTTCTGCTCTCTTCTCCATTTTTTCCTTCCTTCCAAATTCCTTTTTCTTTTTCTCACTTCTCTCGATGTATGCTGTTACTAAATTCAGTCTTTCTTCCTCATATAAGCAGGCAAACTGCATACGCTAAGTTTTGATGTCTAGTAACTTTTTTATTCAGTTCTGAGACTTCTTTAATTTTCCTTATGATTTATTTTTCAGTCCCTGGGTTATTTAGCAGTATTTTTTAAATTTTGCAGATATATGGAGGGTTTTTCCGTTACTTTTTTATTTTTATTTTATTTTATTTTGTTTATTTATTTATTTTTGAGACGGAGTCTTGCTCTGTCACCCAGGCTGGAATGCAGTGGCGTGATCTCGGCTCACTGCAACCTCCGTCTCCTGGGTTCAAGCGATTCTCCTACCTCAGCCTCCCGAGTAGCTGGGATCACAGCCGTGTGCCACCACACCCAGCTAATTTTTGTATTTTAGTAGAGACAGGGTTTCACCATGTTGGTCAGGCTGGTCTTGAACTCCTGACCTCAGGTGATCCGCCTGCCTCGACTCCCAAAGTGCTGGGATTACAGGCGTGAGCCAGTGCGCCTGGCCTACTTTTTATTATTTATAGCAAATTTAATTGTACTGTAGTCAGGTAACCTGATTACAATGTGTCTAATAACAAGTCTTTGGTGTTAGTTGAGATTTTGCTTTGTGCACGACTTTGTGGTGAATTTTTGTAGTAAGTCATACATATCTTTTTGAGGACAGGTAAATGTATATATGGTACATGTCCATTAGATCTGGCACGTTCAGCTCTTCTATGTCCTTACTAACTAGTTGTCTGCTGGACACATTGAGACAAATGTGTTCCTCCACTCCTATGGTGGGTTTGTCCATGTGTCCTCCTGTTCTTGGTTTCCGTCTTTCTCTCTGGTCATTCTCATCATGATCGTCTCTGTAGACTCTTCTTCCTGCTCCTGATTCTGGGTCCTTATCCAAACTCCCTTCTCTCTGTATTGAGCACACCATCCTTGGGCAAATTCATCTGCTTCCATAGCATCAGTCCCATCTCTGCACTGGCCACTCCCAAGTTTAAGACTCCAGCCCTGGCTGGGCGCGGTGGCTCACGCCTGTAATCGCAGCGCTTTGGGAGGCCGAGGTGGGCAGCTCACGAGATCAGGAGATCGAGACCATCCTGGCTAACACGGTGAAACCCCGTCTGTACTAAAAATACAAAAAAAAAAATTAGCCGGGCGTGATGGCGGGCGCCTGTAGTCCCAGCTACTCGGGAGGCTGAGGCAGGAGAATGGCGTGAACCCGGGAGGCGGAGCTTGCAGTGAGCTGAGATCGCACCACTGCACTCCAGCCTGGGCAACAGAGCGAGACTCCGTCTCAAAAAAAAAAAAAAAAGACGACTCCGGCCCTGATCCACGCAGTTACTGTGGAACACCACGCAGACTCCGATGACTCAAACTAAGCTCATCCTCAGTATCCCTTTAGCTCCTGGCAATTCCATGCCCCTTCAGCCATCCCACTCAGAGAATGGCTTCCCATTGCTCAGACCATGGAATGGCTCTTTCCTCTCCTTTGCTCCCAAGTGCCATTATTCACTAAGTCTTCCTAAATATCTATCATATTCATCCTCTTCTCTTGCAGAAAAAAAGGAATTTGCATTGTGCATTTGCACATGGCTCCTATACTCACCACATTTAGTGTTCTTGCACTGTCCAGGAGGAAAATGAAATTGAGCGGAGAGCAGTTCCAAACCAGCAAGAATATTCATACTATTTACTTAGAGACTGGTTAGACCAAAGTAAAGCCATTACCATCCTAGCCTGAAGAGTATTTATTACAAAGTTTGTGGGTAAATTCAATGTCCTAATGGCAAATTTAGCCTGTTATTTCGAGAGAAGAATGGTTCCCATAAACATATAACAAATACAACATCCTGCAGAAAACCTGCCTGTAGGCCACATAAATAGTTCAGTTCTGCAAAGATGATAGCAAAACCTTTCTAGTTTATAGCTCAGTATCACCAGACTGCTTCTTGCCCTTCTCAAGACACAAGATAGGAAGTCTCAAATACAAGATGATCTGATACTGATTAAGTATAGATTTAATTTCAACAAGACCTTTCCCTTTTAAAAAATGTTCTTAGTTCTCTGTGTCCCTCTGGTCATTTGCATTGTCAAGCAAAACTAATCTTGTCTTAGATAAGGAGAAGATTTATTCAAAAAGACTCTTGCAACTAACAGGGGAGAATCCTTGGAACTCAAGAACTGTAAACATCTCAAAATCAATCAGAAAAGGGCTTTTCTTTTATAGGGCAGGGAGGTCAGCAAATCTTAGCAGAAACTTAAGGGGAAGTTGGGTGAGCAAAGGAAGATGACCAGGATATGTGTCTCACTGTGGGACGAGCTGATTACTGGCCCATTCTCCTTTCTAGCGCTCGCCCAGGCCCCAGGGACAAGCAGAATTCAGGGGACTGCAGAGAGGAGAACAGTCTGACTAGCAATTAGTCCAGACAAAAAACAAAAAACAGAGAGAAGGTAAGAAAGGTGCATTGTGAAAACGGAGAGATGCATTGTGAACACTTGGGCAGGATATAAATATTCTTTAGTTCTGTCTTCTCTAATTCATTGAGATGGTAACCGGTTCTTTTTCCTTTTCTTTCTTTCTTTCTTTTTTTTTTTTTTTTTAAGACAGGTTCTTGCTCTGTTGCCCAGGCTGGAGTGCGGTGGTACAATCACAGCTCACGGCAGCCTTGACCTCCCAGGCTCCAGCCATCCTCCTGCCTCAGTCTCTGGAGTAGCTGGGACCATAGACACGTACCACCATATGCAGCTAATTTTATTTTTATATTTGTAGAAACAGGCATGACTATGTTGCCCAGGCTGGTCCCCAACTCCTGGACTCAAGTGATCCTCCTGCCTCAACCTCCCTAAGTGTTGGGATTACAGGCACGTTACATTCTTAAAGAAACTGTGTTAACAAAGTTCATTTCTCCTTGAGTATTTTTAGGCACTTTAATTTTGTCACCACCCGGGTGTCCCTGCAGCACATCCACCCTTCTCCCTGTATCCCTCCCGCCCTGCCTCCCCTCGCCCACCCTCTTCCACTAAGCTCCCTTCACAGTGCTTTCTGCCCCTGCCCATCCCTACCCTCCACCTCTGCACTCAGCCTTCCCTCTCCCAGTAACACTGTCCCCACCAACCTCCGCCACCCTTGACTTGCCTCACTGCCCGGTGCCGCCTGGATGTCCCTTCCTCTGGCCCCTGAGAGTGCTCCCTATGCACCTTTCCCAGGCAGCTCTGCCGTGGCTTGATGCATCAGCCTCACGAGTCCAGATGCTGGCCAGGGCACCCCTGTGTCCCTCTAGACTGAGTTTCGTGGGTGCAGACCCCGCGTCTATCTTCCTCTTTTCATCTCTGTGCTTGCTGCGTTGTGGGCTCGATCTGTGTGCACTGGAGGAAGGAAAGGAAGCAAGGAGGGCAGGAAGAAGATACATATTGAGCAAAGAATATATTCCTGAAAACTGATAGTCACACCTGTGAGAGCGCAAAATAAAGCAAGAAAACAACCACCAATATATTTTCTGACTTTGATTCATAGATGCATTTATGTTCTATTCCAGAAAGCATGTGCAGTCTTGCTGTTCAGTGTATTTTAAAATAGAAGCCCTGTCCTTCCCGTGGATGAGGATCCTGCCATACAGTTGCTTTTTTGCCAGCCATCACATGTGTACTCACATGACAGAGTCCCATACACGAGAGCGGGACCCCTCGGATCACTCCCTGCCATCCTCCCCCAGCCGCTCCCAGAGGGAATCCATTGGCTCAGCTTCTGCTTCTCTTTCCAACCTTGTCGATGTTATCACCACCACCCCTAGCTGCTCAGCTCCCAGGTGGAGAGCTGGGCGTCCCTCCAACTCTTCCTTCTCCCACCCTTGGCTCTACCTCTTGAAAGTCCTGGGCCCTGCAGTATCAGAGCTGCAGGCAACGTGGAGACACTGAATTGGGGTGTTTGGGGTAGCAGGGAAGAGAGGGCAGTGGCCAGATGCATTACAGAAATAGATCATCCAGCAGCAGCAGGGGACAGGACTGAGAGCCAGGCCCAGAGAGGGCACAGACACCAACCTGGGCAGAGATAATGGGACCAAAACTGCAGAGGCACATCAGAGTAGGAGGAGAAGGGCATTAACTTGGTAAATATTTGGAAGATGAAATTAGCAAAGCCTGGCGACCTGGAGGGAAGGAGGGAAAGAGATCTAACCCCTCCTGGGGCCCGGCCTCAGCCTTCAGGTGCACGGTGCTGCCCCGTCCAACAGGGTCTGCGGGCCATGGGCTTGGCAAGGACCTCAGCATGAAGTGGGGCCCGTGGCTCCTGCCCTGCATGTGCCACACTTCCTGGGGGCTTCTCTGGCAAAGGGTCCTGTGACTTCCTCCATTTTATCCTTTGTCTGGTGAGCTGAGGAGGGATGCTTCTCTGCTCTTCCACCCTCTTCTCTCCTCTGGCCTCTTCCCACTTCCAACTACTGACCTCCCCTCTCTTAAAATTATTGTCACCATCCAGGAGAGCCTGCCCCTCATGGCCCCCAAACTGACTGTTCTGGAGGCCCACCCAGCTGCACACACTGAGAACTACCAGCTGCATTAATCAGGAAAGGTGGGGGCTCCTCCCACACTCCAGGCAAATGAGTGTGCCCCCCCACCACTCATCCCCTATGTGCCACGGCTCTCAGGACATTTAAGGAGAATTGTCTAGCCTATGAAGCCTGAGGAAAAGAGGTCTGTATCTTTAAGGAAGAGTTAGAATATCAGTTAAATGCAGATTAGAGACATTACTTCTGGTTATGAACATTAACCAAGTACTCAAGAGGCGAAAGGCTAATAAGATCGTTGAAATTACTTCTGCATGTCAGCCAGTATTTCCTACCAGTGTCTCTTCATTCTTTTTAGCTTCGTCCTTAATCTGCCTGGGCTTTAATCAAACTACTTTCACTCACACTTTACCTTGATGGGAGTAAAAGAAGTAGTCATGAGAGAGGACGATCAAGACCCAGAAAGTAGAGCAATGAAAGATGGACAGTCTGGGTACAGTGGCTCACGCCTGTTATCCCAGCACTTTGGGAGGCCAAGGCGGGTGGATCACGAGGTCAGGGGTTCGAGACCAGCCTGACCAACATGGTGAAACCCCGTCTCTACTAAAAATACAAAAGAAATTAGCCGGGCATGGTGGCGGGCACCTGTAATCTCAGCTACTCAGCAGGCTGAGGCAGGAGAATCACTTGAACCTGGGAGGTGGAGGTTGCTGTGAGCCGAGATCGTGCCACTGCACTCCAGCCTGGGTGACAGAGTGAGACTCCGTCTCAAAAAGGAAGAAAAAGAGAGATGGACAAACATCAGCGTTCCTGTCCCATCAGTTGAACACAAGGAGCACCCTGGAGAATCAGTTCAGACTGCAAAACGCATTCTTGGATGTTCTTGGATGGGCGTCTCATAATCTTTAGGGCTCTTTTCCTTAAGCATTCATGCATGAGGCCTGAAAGTCCTCTGCTGAATTTGTCTGCAGGAGCCTGTGTTTTCAATCCGATCAGACACTCAGATGATTAATCGTGTATGATAGTCATAGCTAATGTTGATTGAGCCTTGCTGTGTGCTAAGCGTTACCGGCAGCACATTTGTGAAACTAATCTTACCCTTACAAGAACCCGGTGAGGTACACGTATCATTTATTCTCATTTTACAGGTGAGGATACTGAGGCACAGTGAAATTTAGTAACTCCCCAAGGTCATGCAGATTGTAAAGGTGGAGCCAGAATCCCAGGCCGGCAGTCTGGCTTTGGAGCCCTGGCTCTCACCGCCATATGCAGTGATACATACACCAGGCTGCTACCCGGGACACTAGCTTAGCTTCAGGACTGTGGACCTGAATGCTCAGAACAAGCTGAGGCCCAGCGAGAAACTGATTACTGTCTGAACTACCAAAAATCACAACATGTTTACTCTCATATATATTCAGTGTCTTTGTAAAAGGTTCTTTGAAAATTGATAAACCACAAATTCATGCATTACCTATGTGCTTATACTCTGAGCAGAATATTTTGTGATGCATAAGTTTTCTATACCAAGCAGGCCAAGTCAAAGGTTTTAGTGTGTTATGAATTCTACCTATGAAATAGATACCTTAGGCAGGGAAAAGTTCTTGTTTTACAAAGCAGTGGCAGTGGCAAAGCTTTATAGTTCCCAGTATGAGGTGTTTCTAGTTTTCTTTTTTTTTTTTGTTGTTTTGTTTTGTTTTGTTTAGTTGGAGTCTCACTCTGTCGCCCAGGCTAGAGCGCAGTGGCGCGATCTCAGCTCACTGCAAGACCCCGCCTCCCAGGTTCAGGCCATTCTCCTGCCTCAGCCTCCCAAGTAGCTGGGAATACAGGCGCCCGCCACCATGCCCGGCTAATTTTTTTGTATTTTTAGTAGAGACGAGGTTTCACCGTGTTAGCCAGGATGGTCTCAATCTCCTGATCTCATGATCTGCCCGCCTCGGCCTCCCAAAGTGCTGGGATTACAGGCGTGAGCCACCGTGCCTGGCCGTGTTTCTAGTTTTCACAGACTCCTGGGACAAGGCAGTTTGTCTCTTCCTTGTCAGCTGAATAAAATGTCATTGAGGTCTCCCTGCATTTCCACTCCATTGTCATGCAAGGAATGAGTTGTCGTTCTGATACATGGAGAAAAAAATGACATGACATCTGCCATGAAAGAAACCTTGATGTACAAGGGATGCAGTGACCCAGGGGGTCTCCCATCAAGGGAAGAGACATGTCCCCAAAATCAAGAGTAATACCTGGAAACAAGTCACATCTGTAGATGGCTTTTACTTAGGAATTTGCAATCATAACAAGTACTCTTTGGAGTTTTTTCCACCTACGATTAAGATTGTGTTATATTTCCTTTAAAATGATGCTTAAAATAGAGCCTGCTATTTCCCCGACTCTTCAATATTCCCCAGTCATCTAAATGAAAGAGTGGGATTTTTTGGCTTTTTTTTTTTTTTTGGCTATCCAGATATTAGTTTTCACTTACAGATAGTTACAATCAATTGCTTATATAATTGCTAATAAAAAGATTATAAGACATATTATAAAGCAATTAAAATTTAGTTACCCTTCAAATATGACTTAGATATAGGTAATTATTACATCTGTTAAATGCCTGAAAATGCTTCATAATGTTTATAGATGAATAACTTACTTATTTTAGTCATTTTGGTCCTCTGGGGTGACTGAAATCAAACCAAATATGATAACCAATCAGAAGATGAATGGTGCCCCAACCCTCCGAGGTGCTGGTGACCATCTCCCCCCGATTCAGAACCTTCCAGTAATGAGATCACTTGCTATCACGGGTGGCTCTGCACACCCTGGCGGAATCCTCCCAGGAGGGCTTCCCTTTACCAAGTGCCCCGGGGTTCACCTACTTGAGTTTAAAGTCTAAGCCAGTCATCCCCTCACAGATGAGATCAAGGCTCAGAGCGATGAGGAAACCCTCAAAGCCACATCCCCAGAAATAAGAGAGCTGAGGCTTCCGTCCAGGGGATCTTTTGTGGGGTGTGAGCCAGAAGTGACCAAAAGAAGATCTGAGAACTTTCTCAGAGGGAAGGCTTCAGTGCCGTCTTCTATCATAGTCACGTAGAAGCAGAGGGGCTAGGCAGCGGCCCCATGGTGAGTTGGCTCCCCAATCACCCAGGTTGGCTTAGAAAGCAGGCCCAGCTTACAGCACCCTCCTGTGCACCCTGCCCCGCCCATTCCTGCAGTGGACTGTCCTGGGAGTGGACACGTGCCCAGGCTGGTTCAGTGAGCCCCTTCCCTGGGCGGGGGACTGGGAAGCGGAGAGAGCTAGACCAGTGTGGAACTATGGTAGCACGATGTGTACTTGGGGGCTGGTCTGCAGAGAAAATGGGAGACAGCCTCCGTGGAAATGAGGCAGAAATAGGCTGCAGAGGGTGCCAGCCAGGGACGGGGGAAGGCGCGGAGATTTTATCACTGGTGGGCCTCCCGCCACAGACTGTAACCTGGGAGGGACAGGAGCCGACTTAGGCTAAAACAGGTGTCCTGACAGGGAAGAGTAGACCTGAGGTACTGGGAGGCCACCTCAGAGTCCAGGTGAGAGGGGGAGGTTCAGCCAGGGCAGGTGGAGCTGGAGCCCAGGGAGGATTGCAGGTGAGGTTGGTAGCCGGGTCAACACGCCAGGGAGAATTTGGATGTGGGGTGTGTGGGATGATCAAGGATGAGGCAGAGATGTTGGCTCCACCAACCACATCCGTGGCATTTCCCTTTAACAAGAATCAAGGGCATTATGAAGGGCAAGGGACCCTGTGTTCCTATTGTCCTCTCTGTCATCCCTCCCTCTCCCTTCTCCCCCAGGCCTCTCATCACCCCGGGCTCTACTTATTGCACTCCAGCAATGGGCACCTGCTGAAATTTTTCTCTGTCCATCCCCACTGGCCTGCTCCAAGTCAGACATCATTCCCCCTCCCCAGGAGTTTGGAGCCCCGTACAATTACTGGGCAAGACACTAGAAGACACTCTTCCCTTCCTGTCTGACACTTCCAACCATCTAGGACTCCTGCTCCTTGGAATTGAATGAGAGAAGTGCTGATTGGATACTGGATTAATATGGTGGTTAGCAAGATAAATTACTCAATAAATTACTGTCCTTCACAATCAAAGTTAAATCAGTACATCACGATGGAACTGGAATTGGCTTTTTTGATCCTATTCCTGAAGTCCAGTTGGTCCCTGGCCTTAAGACTGTGTGGATTTTGGAGGGCCCACTAATGGATTCTTCAGTGATGAGATTTTCTTTCAAGCAGGCTCAAATCTAGTTGGCTTCCAATTCCTAAGCAAAAGAGGTGCATTACGGGCTGTTTCATGAGTGAAAACACTCTAATACTCTTTGTTTCTTTGGGGAATTATTTTGCCATGGGAGATGAAGCACAGTAATTGAAGTCAATTAAGGTTAAAAGAAATGTGCCCCACAGCACTGCAAGAGGAGCTGTTTGGACACCTCTGTCAGTATTGGTTTCTAGACCTTACCGTTCAGGATTATAGATGACAGTAGTGTTTTAACTCATGAAAAAAGATTCTAGGTGGCTTTTTGATAGCACATCACATAGTGGCTAAAGCTGCAAAGTTGCTGATCTTTTTCTTTTTTCTTTTTTCATGTATGGTTTTCCTTGCCAATTATTCCACATGAAAACCAGGAAAACAGCTCGTGGATCATTGTTATTAACCAGTGACTGATTTAGTTGGAGTACTTGAGACCTTTTATGAGTACCTAATCGCCTTTACATGAAATTGCTAATCGGGTATTGCTAATATAAATACAATATTTTCATTGTGTCAAAATTAGAAACTTGAAGGAAAAAAACTATACCTTAAAAAAAAATACCTTACTTGGGTTTTCTTGCTGGGGGCAGGAGGGAGACAGGACCTCCTGCAGCTGTAGACACTGCAGCTGTGCCTGAGTTGGGATCATCTTGCCTGTTACATCCTGGAATGCACAGGGGTGAACAGACAGTAGAGTGTCCAGGATGTGAGTGAGGGTGGCTCTGTCACAGGTGTTGTTTATGAGTGAACCTGCATTCCTCGAAATATGAAATGTTGAACTGCTCAGGACAGCTGGACCTGCAGTCAGAGGACTAATGGTGTTTCGGATGGTTTAATGATAGAAGATAGAAAAGCCCACTGTCTTAATCAGTTCAGGCTGTGCTGTGGTTTGAATAGTCCCCCAAAAGTTCATATGTTGGAAACATAATCCTCAATGCCACAGTCAGTGTTGGAGGTCGAATTTAATAATAGGTGATTGGGTCGTGAGAGTGGAGCACTCATGTATGGATTGTCATTAGCATGGGAGAGGTTAGTTATGGTGAGAGTGGGTTGTTATAAAGGAAATCTGGCTTCTCTCTCTGTCTCACACACTCACTTCAGCTTTCTGCCTTTCACCTTCCACCACAGGAGGACCCCCACCAGATGCTGGCCCCATGCTCTAGGACTTCCCAGCCTCCAGAACTGTGGGCCAAATAGACTTACATTCTTTGTAAATTACCCAGTCTGTTATTCCGTTACAGCAGCAGAAAATAGACTAAGACAGGTTGCTGTAACAGAATGCTTTAGATGGGGTGGTATAAACAGCAGACATTTATTTCTCACAGTCAGGAGGCTAGAAGTCTGAGATCAAAGTGCCAGCATGGTCGAGTTCTGGCAAGCGCCCTCTTCCTGTTTTACAAAGGCAAGCCTTGTCACTGTGTCCTCACATGGTGTGGGGCAGCAGGGGTGGGAGAGAGAAGGGAGATGAGGAATTTAAAATGATCCTGTCACAGACTATGCACACACACACACTCACACACACACACACACAGTCTTGTTGTGGTCTTTGTTGGAATTCCATTGGATTTATAAGTTGATTTGGAAAGAATTAATGTATTTATAGTATTGAATCTTCCTATTCATGACTACAAGATCTCATTATTTATTTGTTCTCAACACATTTTTCCACCTTTTTCTATATTTATTCTTGGCTACTTTACATTTTTTGCTATTGTAAATCGTATCTTTAAAAAACTTATACTTGCTGTTTGTTGCTAGTGAATGAATTTTGCATATTGATTTTTTTTTTTTTTTTTTTTTTTTTGAGATGGAGTCTCGCTCTGTCACCCAGGCTGGAGGGCAGTGGCACGATCTCAGCTCACTGCAAGCTCCGCCTCCCGGGTTCACGCCATTCTTCTGCCTCAGCCTCCTGAGTAGCTGGGACTACAAGCACCCGCCACCACGCCTGGCTAATTTTTTTTATTTTTAGTAGAGATGGGGGTTTCACCATGTTAGCCAGGATGGTCTCAATCTTCTGACCTCATGATCCCCCTGCCTCGGCCCTCCAAAGTGCTGGGATTACAGGCATGAGCCACCGCACCCGGCCTGCATATTGATTTTATATGCAGCAACATTGCACAACTATTATATTTAGTTCTAAATATTTGGAAATGTTATTGAGTTTTCTGTATGAATAATTGTATCATCTTGGACAGTTTTTCTTCCTTCCCAGTTTGAACACACTTTACTTCTTTTGCCTGTCTTCTTCCAATGACTGGGACCTGTGTAGAACAGAAGTGATATTGGCAGCAATCCCCATCTCCTTCCAGATGTTTGCTGTAGGGTTTCTTGAGTTTAGGGAGCTCCTGTCTATTTCAAGTTTATTAGAGGCTTTTACACTAGTGTTGAAATACCAACTGCTATTTTGCATCTATTGAGATTGTCATATAGTTTTTCTCATTTAATGTAGTGAATTCCATTAATAAATTACATTATGTTAAAACATCCTTGTAATATAGGAATAAACCACATTTGGTCATAATATGTTTTTTAAAATGCTACTGTATTTAATTTTTCAATATTTTATTTAGGACTTTTGCATCTAGGTTCACGAGGAAGAATTTTCCTCTCTTCTTTTCACATCTAGATCTGTCTTACTTGTTTTTTAAAGACAGCCAATTATCCCAACACAAGTAATGTGGTGTACTTCTTTTATTATAATAGGATCTCTATTCTGTCCCTTATTGATGCCACCCTATACTATTATTGTAGATTTAGGGTACATTTTGATGTGTGCAAAGCCTTTTTTTTCCCAAAATGTTCTTGACAATGCTTGTTTATTTTCTTCATTCCCATAAATTTAGGTTAAAGCCAAATATTTAAAAATGGTGTTTTGTTCAACATTGTTTTAAAGCTAGAGGCTCATTAGGATCACAGTGAGTCTTCAGAAATCCAGAATTTATAGGAAAGATTTCTGTATGTATATATGCATGTATGTGTATAATCTATCTCATATATACACACACAAAGATACAAAAGTGTGTATACACACAGAAACTTTTTTTGCCTCATTACTTTGCCTTGAATATCAGAAAAATGGCAAATAGTTTTCTTCTTAAAACTTCGTAGAACTGTAAGAAAATAATTAGTCTACGATTATTTACACAGATGATCATGTAGGCAATTTACAGCCATCCACTAAAGAGTAAAAGCTATTGTTTCAGATGACAAAAGCCAGGTTTTCAATTATCAAATAGGGTGCAGTTCTGAACCCTTGCGGAGAGTGTGTGAACTCCCTCCTGGGTCCTTGCCCAGAGTTAAAAGTGCCATTGAGCAAACAGCAGGCACCATGTGGGGAGCAATCCTGCCTTCTTAGAGCAGCACATGTGTTACTGGTGGTGCCTGAGTGGCCAAAGCAAGGCCAAAATCCATCGACATTTTTAGGGATTGTAAATGGATGTTTGCCTCTTGAAATTATAGCTTCACAGATTTCTCTATGAATCACTTACCTTCTCCATATGACAGCCTAATTTTAGCTCCTTTTGTAGGATCAGTATTTAAGCCCGCCACAAAGACCTCTGTAGACTATAACTGCTTTCTACAGAGACAAATTAAACAGTCCTAGATCTGCCCCAGGATGTGTCTCATCACTCTAGAAATTTCGTGGAAAATTTAAATTACAGATTTTACACACACACGCTGATTGTGCTACCAACAAGAGTCTTTGTACAGAGTCTTTCTCTGCATTACTTTCTTTCTTTATTGGGTTTGTAACTATGTGTAGTAGGTTTTTTTAAATTCTTTTTTTCCATAAGTTATTGGGGTACAGGTGGTATTTGGTTACATGAGTAAGTTCTTTAGTGGTGATTTGTGAGATTTTGGTGCACTCAACACCCGAGCAGTATACACTGCACCCTATTTGTAGTCTTTTATCCCTTTCCCGCCTCCCACTATTCTCCCCATTGTATCATTCTTATGCTTTTGTATCATTCTTATGCCCTTGCATCCTCATAGCTTAGCTCCCACATATCAATGAGAACGTACGATGTTTGGTTTTCCATTCCTGAGTTACTTCACTTAGAATAAGAGTCTCCAATCTTATCCAGGTCACTGCAAATGCTGTTACTTCATTCCTTTTTATGGCTAAGTAGTATTCCATCATATATATATACCACCGTTCCTTTATCCACTCATTGATTGATGGGCATTTGGGTTGGTTCCACAATTTTGCAAGTGTGAATTGAATTGTGTTGCTATAAACATGCGTGTGCAAGTATCTTCCTCATATAATGAATTCTTTTCCTCTGGGTAGATACCCAGTAGTGGGATTACTGGATCAAATGGTAGCTCTACTTTTAGTTCTTTAAGGAGTCTCCACACTGTTTTCCATAGTGGCTGCACGAGTTTACATTCCCACCAGCAGTGTAGAAGTGCTCCCTGTTCACCACATCCATGTCAACATCTACTGTTTGTTGATTTTTTGATTATGGCCATTCTTGCAGGAGTAACGTGGTATCACACTGTGGTTTTGATTTGCATTTCCCTGATCATTAGTGATGTTGAGCATTTTTTCATATGTTTGTTGGCCATTTGTATATCTTCTTTTGAGAATTGTCTGTTCATGTCAGCCCACTCTTTGATGGGATTCTTTGTTTTTTTCTTATTGATTTGTTTCAGTTTGTTGTAGATTCTGGATATTAGTCCTTTGTCAGATGTATAGATTGTGAAGATTTTCTCCCACTCTGTGGATTGTCTGTTTACTCTACTGACTGTTTCTTTTGCCATGCAAAACCTCTTTAGTTTAATTTGATCCCAGCTATTGATCTTTGTTTTTATTGTATTTGCTTTTGGGTTCTCGGTCATGAAATCCTTGCCTAAGCCAATGCCTAGAAGGGTTTTTCCGATGTTATCTTCTAGAATTTTTATAGTTTCAGGTCTTAGATTTAAGTCTTTAATCCATCTTGAGTTGATTTTTGTATAAGGTGACAGATGAGGATCCAGTTTCATTCTCCTACATGTGGCTAGCCGATTATCCCAACACCATTTGTTGAAAAGAGTGTCCTTTCCCCACTTTATGTTAATGTTTGCTTTGTCAAAGATCGGTTGGCTTTAAGTACTTGGTTTATTTCTGGGTTCTGTATTCTGTTCCATTGGTCCATGTGCTTATTTTTATACTAGTACCATGCTGTTTTGCAACTTTGGCCTTATAGTATAGTTTGAAATCAGGTAGTGCGATGCCTCCAGATTTTTTCTTTTTGCTTCGTCTTGCTTTGGCTATGTGGGCTCTTTTTTGGTTCCATATGAATTTTAGAATTGTTTTTTCTAATTCTGTGAAGAATGATGGTGGTATTTTGATGGGGATTGCAATGAATTTGTAGATTGCTTTTGCTGGTATGGTCATTTTCACAGTATTGATTCTACCCATTCACGAGCCTGGGATGTGTTTCAATTTATTTGTGTTGTTTATGATTACTTTCAGCAGTGTTTTGTAGTTTTTCTTGTAGATGTCTTTTGACTCCTTGGTTAGGTATATTTCTAAGTATTTTATTTTTTTGCAGCTATTGTAAAAGGGGTTGAGTTCTTGATTTGATTCTTGGCTTGGTCACTGTTGGTGTATAGAAGAGCTACTGACTTCTGTACATTCATCTTGTATCTGGAAATTTTGCTGAATTCTTTTATCAGTTATAGAAGCTTTCTGGAGGAGTCTTCAGGGTTTTCAAGGTAAATGATCATATCGTCAGCAAACAGTGACAGTTTGACTTCCTTTTTACCAACTTGGATGCCCTGTATTTCTTTCTCTTGTCTGATTACTCTGGCTAGGACTTCAGTAGTATGTTGAAGAGGAGTGGTCAGAGTGGGCATCCTTGTCTTGTTTCAGTTCTCAGAGGGAACGCTTTCAGTTTTTCCCCATTCAGTATTATGTTGCCTGTGGTTTTGTCATAGATGGCTTTTATTACATTGAGGTATGTCCCTTGTATGCTAATTTTGCTGAGAATTGTAACCATAAAGCAATGCTGGATTTTATCAAATGCTTTTTCTGCATCTGTTGAGATGATCATGTGATTTTTGGTTTTAATTCTGTTTATGTGATGTGTCACATTTATTGACTTGCATATGTTAAACCATCCCTGCATCCCTGGTATGAAACTCACTTGATCATGATGTATTGTCTTTTTGATATGTTGTTGGATTCAGTTAGCTAATATTTTGTTAAGGATTTTGGCATCTATGTTCATCAAGGATATCGGTCTGTAGTTTTCTTTTTTGGTTAGGTCCTTTCCTGGTTTTGGTATTAGGGTGATGCTGGCTTCATAGAATGAATTAGAGAGAGTTCCTTCTTTCTCTTATCTTGTGGAATAGTGTCAAAAGGATTGGTACCAATTCTTCTTAGAAAGTCTTCTTAGAATCTGTCTGGTCGTGGACATTTTTTGTTGTTGGTAATTTTGTAATTACCATTTCAGTCTTGCAGCTTGTTACTGGTCTGTTCAAGGTATCTAATTCTTCCTGATTTAAGCTAGGAGGGTTATATCTTTCCAGAATTTATCCAACTCTTCTAGGTTTTCTAGTTGATGTGTGTAAAGGTGTTCATAGTAGCCTTGAATGATCTTTTGTATTTCAGTGGTGTCAACTGTAATATCTCCTGTTTCATTTCTTAATGAGGTTATTTGGATTTTCTCTCTTCTTTTCTTGGTTAATCTTACTAATGGTCTATCAGTTTTACTTACCTTTTCAAAGAACCATCTTTTTGTTTCATTTATCTTTTGTATTTTTGTTTGTTTGTTTGTTTCAATTTCATTTAGTTCTGCTCTGATCTTGGTTATTTCCTTTCTTCTGCTGGGTTTGGGTTTGGTTTTTCTTGTTTCTCTAGTTCCTTGAGGTGTGACCTTAGAATGTCAGTGTGTGCCCTTTCAGTCTTTTTGATGTAGGCGTTTAGGGCTATGAACTTTCCTCTTGGCACCACCTCTGCTTATATCCCAGAGGTTTTGGTAGGTTGTGTCATTATTGTCGTTCAGTTCGAAGAATTTTTTAATTTCCACCTTGATTTCGTTTTTGACCCAATGCTCATTCAGGAGTAGGTTATTTAATTTCCATGTATCAGCATGGTTTTGAAGGTTCCTTTTGGAGTTGATTTCCAGTTTGATTCCACTGAGAGAGTGCTTGATATAATTTCAATTTTCTTAAATTTATTGAGTCTTGTTTTATGGCCTATCATATAGTCTATCTTGGAGAAATTTCCACGTGCTGTTGAATAGAATGTGTATTCTGAGGTTGTTGGATGAAATGTTCTGTATATATCTTTTAAGTCCATTTGTTCCAAGGTATAGTTTAAATCCATTGTTTCTTTGTTGACTTTCTGTCTTGATGACTTGCCTAGTGCTGTCAGTGGAGTATTGAAGTCCCCCACTATTATTGTGTTGCTGTCTATCTCATTTCTTAGGTCTATTAGTAATTGTTGTATAAATTTTGGCGCTCCAGTGTTAGATGCATATATTTTTAGGATTATGATATTTTCCTGTTGGACAAGGCCTTTTACTATTATATAATGTCCCACTTTGTCTCTTTTAACTGATATTGCTTTAAAGTTTGTTTTGTCTGATATAAGAATAGCTACCCCTACTCTCTTGTCCATTTGTGTGAAATGCCTTTTTCCACCTCTTTACTTTATGTGAGTCCTTATGTGTTAGGTGAGTCTCCTGAAGGCAGCAGATAGTTGGTTGGCGAGTTCTTATCCATTCTGCAGTTCTGTATCCTTAAAGTAGAGCATTTAGGCCATTTACATTCAATGTTGGAATTGAGATGTGAGGTACCATTGCATTCATTGTGCTATTTGTTGCCTGTGGACTTTGGTTTTTTGTTTTTTGTTTTTGCCTTTTAACTTGTATTTTTGTTTTATAGGTCCTGTGTGATTTATGCTTTAAAGAGGTTCTGTTTTGATGTGTTTCCAGGATTTGTTTCAAGATTTAGAGCTCCTTTTAGCAGTTCTTTTAATGGTGGCTTGTTAGTGACGAATTCTCTCAGCATTTGTTTGTCTGAAAAAGACTGTATCTTCTTTCATATATGATGCTTAGTTTTGCTGAATACAAAATTCTTAGCTGATAATCGTTTTGTTTGAGGAGGCTGAAGATAGAGCCCCAATCCCTTCTAGCTTGTAGGGTTTCTGCTGAGAAATCTGCTGTTAATCTGATAGGTTTTCTTTTATAGGTTACCTGGTGCTTCTGTCTCACAGCTCTTAAAATTCTTTACTTTGTCTTAACTTTGGATAACCTGATGACAATATGCCTAGGCAATGATCTTTTTGCAATGAATTTCCCAGGTGTTCTTTGTTCTTCTTGCACTTGGATAGCTAGGTCTCTAGCAAGGCCAGGGAAGTTTTCCTCTATTATTCCTAAAGATATGTTTTCCAAGCTTTTATAATTCTCTTCTTCCTCGGGAAAACTGGTTATTCTTAGGTTTGGTCATTTAACATAATCCCAGACTTCTTGGAGGCTTTGTTCATATTTTCTTATTCTTTTTTCTTTGTCTTTGTGGGATTGGGTTAATTCAAAGACCTTGTCTTTGAGCTCTGAATTTCTTCTACTTTTTCAATTCTATTCCTGAGACTTTCCAGAGCATTTTGCATTACTATAAGTGTGTCCAATTTTTCCTGGATTTTTTATTTATTTTTTTTTCTTTAAGCTATCTATTTTCTTGGCTATTTCTCCCGTCACTTCTTGTATCGTTTTTTGGATTTCCTTGCATTGAGCTTCACCTTTCTCTGGTGCCTCCCTGATTAGCTTAATAACTAACCTCCTGAATTCTTTTTCAGGTAAATCAGGGATTTCTTCTTGGGTTGGATCCATTGCTGGTAAACTAGTGTGATTTTGGGGGGTGCTGTTCAAGAGCCTTATTTTGTCATATTACCAGCATTGGTTTTGTGGTTCCTTCTCATTAGGGTAAGCTCTGTCAGAGGGAAGGTCTAGGGCTGAAGGCTGTTGTTCAGATTCTTTTGTCCCATGGAGTGCTCCCTTCATGGAGTAATCTCCCCCTTTTCCTATGGAGGTGGCTTCCTGTGAGCCCAACTGCAGTGATTGTTGTCTCTCTTCTGGGTCTGGCCACGCAGTAAGTCTGCCCAGCTCCGGGCTGGTTCTGAGGGTTGTCTGCACAGAGTCCTGTGATGTGAACCGTCTATGGGTCTCTCAGCCATGGATACCAGCACCTGTTCCAGTGGAGGTGGTGGGGGGTGTGCAGTGGACTTCGTGAGGGCTCTTAGCTTTGGTGGTTTAATGCTCTATTTTTGTGCGGGTTGGCCTCCTGCTGTGAGGTGGCGCTTTCCAGAAAGCATCAGCTGTAGTAGTTTGAGAGGGACTGGCTGTGGGCTGGGCTGTAGAACTCCCAAGATTATATGTCCTTTGTTTTCTGCTACCAGAGTGGGTAGGGAAGGACGATCAGGTGGGGGTGGGGCCAGGCGTATCTGAGCTCAGACTCTCTTTGGACCGGTCTTGCTGCAGCTCCTGTGGGGGATGGGTGTGAGATTCCCAGGTCACTGGAGTTATGTACCTAGGAGGATTATGGCTGCCTCTGCTGAGTCATGCAGGTTTTCAGAGAAGTGGTGGAAAGCTGGCAGTCACAGGCCTCACCCAGCTCCCATGCAAACTGAAAGTCCAGTCTCACTCCCACCATGCCCCCATCCAACCGCCCCAAGTCTGTTTTCGGGCAGTGGGTGAGACAGGCTTGAGAACTTGCCTCAGGCTACCCACCTCCCAGCTGCAAAAGAAAGGGCTTGTTCTTCCCACCTGTGGAGAATCTGCACACCAGATTTGCGCCCTCCCCCGAGTTCTGGCCAGGAGGCTTCTAACCCTGTTCAAATTGTTACAAATTTCAGCTAGAGATTTCCTTCTCCCTGTTGAGTTTTACCCTCGCTCCTCTGGCTGCCCTCCTGGTGGATCCCTGTGGTGCCAGGCAGGAATGACCTGCTTGGGGACCCAGGGAGCTCCCAGGGCCTTTCCCGCTGCTTCCTCTACTTCTGTATTTCGCTCGACTCTCTAAATTGACTCAGCTCCAGGTAAGGTCGGAAACTTCTCCTGCAAACAGACCTTCCTTTTCTCCAGTGGGCGTGTGTGTTTGGGAGAGGATGCTCTCCCTTTCCCACTTCCGCAGTTTGGGCACTCACAGTATTTGGGGTGTCTTCCAGGTCCTGCAAGAGCAGTCTGCTTCCTTCAGAGGTCTGTCGGTCCTCTCGGGGTTGCTGGTTTGTTCTTGCAGTCGATCTGGAGCTAAAATTCACAATGCAAGCCTCTGCACATTGCTCTGTTCAGAGCTGCAATCTAGTCCTGCCTCCCGTCCACCATGATCCTATGTGTGCTGCATTACTTTACTTAAAGGTGAAGGTGAATTTTCTGTGTGTGGTTAGAAGCTTGGAAATTATGCATTTCCTTCTAGTCTGAACTTACAATTCAGAAGAGAACAGTGAGCCTGTAAAATTTCAAATATTTAGCAACCACCTATTTTGAATAAGATATTCTACCATACAGAGTAGCAAAAGACTTGGTCTCTGCTCTTGATGTTCTTACAAGATGGAGATGGAAATAAACTGCCAGGAACTGCAGGGTCTGAGCTTTTAACCTACTTTCAAGCTAACAAACTAGTCTGTTACTGTTTACTGTTACTTTCCTGGCAAAAAGACATGAGATTCCTGGTTCAGAGACAAGGGACTTTATTATTCATGGCAAAAGCAGTAGCCAGAGCTCTAGGCTAGTGTGTGTCAGTTCCCCATGCCCTGGGGTCTCAGGGTGATGCTAAGGGCCCACCACGGATGCCTGCACATGTGTGGTGAGCTGCGTTATGGGGCAGAAACACTGAGCTTGGGGAATCCCTGTCTTTGTAGAGAACCTACACTTTGTCTAGGGGAGACGTTACCTCCTTCCTCAAGGTTTCTTGGTGCAAACACAGCCCTGGGAAATGGGTCAGGTAAAGAGCAGTCAAGGCCTTACATTCTTGGCATACCCAGCAGGAACTTCAGGGCATGCTCAGGGCCCATGGCAGACTGCCTCTCCCAACATAGATCTGCACGGAACGTCAGGTCCATGACCAATGTCTACCATCACAAGGCAACAAAGAATAAATGGTGTGGGCATTTAAGATAATAATTCAGATAAAGCCCAACACCCATCCCTTATAATTATTACCACATATACAGCTATTGCTGGATATTTCTTCCGCTTGTGTTTTATGCTGTGGAACTCTCCTTATCATCATACCTTCTATCATTATATCTTGACTGATAATAGGTTCCCATGAGACCTCTCTCCTATTCAAAGAGAGAAGACATAGGAAAAAAACTACTGAATGAACTAGCGGAAATAAATGTAAGATAGTTTGTCCTCATTTTGTCCAGCAAGCAAAGGTATCAACGTCCTGATTTTTTTTTTTTTTTTTTTTTTTTTGAGACAGAGTCTCACTCTGTCACCCAGGCTGGAGTGCGGTGGTGTGATCTTGGCTCACTGCAACCTCTGCCTCCCAGGTTTGAGTGATTCTCCTGCCTCAGCCTCCTGAGTAGCTGGGATTACAGGTGCCTGCCACCACGCCTGGCTAATTTTTGTATTTTTAGTAGAGGCAGGGTTTCATCATGTTGGCCAGGCTGGTTTCAAACTCCTGACCTCAGATGATCTGACCTTAGCCTCCAAAAGTGCTGAGATTACAGGTGTGAGCTACTGAGAGGTGACAGCGTGCTGGCAGTCCTCGCAGCCTTCCCTGGCTCTCGGTGCCTCCTCTGCCTGGGCTCCCACTTTGGCGGCACTTGAGGAGCCCTTCAGCCCACGCTGCACTGTGGGAGCCCCTTTCTGGGTTTGCCAAGGCCAGAGTCGGTTCCCTCACCTTGCAGGGAGGTGTGGAGGGAGACGCGTGGGCGGGAACCGGGGCTGCGCGTGGTACTTGCAGGCCAGCAGGAGTTCCAAGTGGGCGTGGGCTCCGCGGCCCCGCACTGGGAGTGGCCAGCTGGCCCTGCCTGCTGGAGCAGTGAGGGGCTTAGCACCTGGGCCAGCAGCTGCTGTGCTCAATTTCTCACCGGGCCTTAGCTGCCTTCCCTCTGGGCAAGGCTCAGGACCTGCAGCCTACCATGCCTGAGCCTCCCCCGTCTCCGTGGGCTCCTGTGCGGCCCGAGCCTCCCGGGCGAGCGCCGCCTCCTGCTCCATGGCACCCAATCCCATACACCACCCAAGGGCTGAGGAGTGCAGGCGCACAGCGCGGTACTGGCAGGCAGCTCCACCTGCGGGATCCACCGGGTGAAGCCAGCTGGGCTCCTGAGTCTGGTGGGGACTTGGAGAACCTTTATGTCTAGCTAAGGGATTATAAATACACCAGTCGGCACTCTGTGTCTAGCTCAAGGTTTGTAAACACACCAATCAGCACCCTGTGTCTAACTCAGGGTTTGTGAATGCACCAATCGACACTCTGTATCTAGCTACTCTGGTGGGGACTTGGAGAGCCTTTGTGTGGACACTGTATCTAGCTAATCTAGTTGTGACATGGAGAACTTTTGTGTCTAGCTCAGGAATTATAAACGCACCAATCAGCACCCTGTCAAAACGGACCAATCAGCTCTCTGTAAAATGGACCAATCGGCTCTCTGTAAAATGGACCAATCAGCAGGATGTGGGTGGGGCCAGATAAGAATAAAAGCAGGCTGCCCAAGCTAGCAGTAGCAACCCGGCCCTGTCCTTTTCTATGCTGTGGAAGCTTTGTTATTATGCTGTTTGCAATAAATCTTGCTGCTGCTCACTCTCTCGGTCCACCTTGCCTTTATGAGCTGTAACACCGTGAAGGTCTGCAGCTTCACTCCTGGAGCCAGCGAGACCACGAACCTATCGGGAGGAATGAGCAACTTCAGACACGCCGCCTTAAGAGCTGTAACACTCACCGCGGAGGTCTGTGGTTTCACTCCTAGGCCAGCGAGACCACAAACCCACCAGAAAAAACTCCAAACACATCAGAACGAACAGACTCCAGACACGCCACCTTTAAGAGCTGTAACACTCAGCGCGAGGGTCCACAGCTTCGTTCTTGAAGTCAGTGAGACCAATAACCCACCAATTCCAGATACACTACCACGACCCGCTCAATGTCCTGAACTGTTTAATGTTTTTAACGTGTAGGCTATATGTATGTACATTGTCATTGCTGTCGCTTTTCTCTGTTAATCTTATTATTAATATCCATAACTTACGTAGACTGGAGAGATTTTCAAAATAATTTATCAACTGTAGCTTTGCCCAAGTATCTAAAACTTTTTTCTCTTGTTTTTGTTCTATACATCATTTATTAGATACATAACTTCCTTAACTTTATAACATTAATAACATCAAAAAGCTAATAACATCAGAATATCCAGTAGCAAAACTCAGTATCAGCAATGAAAGACCCGCCTCTCTCTCATATTCGCCGTTTTGAATCACCTTGTAAAAGAATTTTATAGAATGTGGATTTCAGTATTTGTAAAGGACTCTGATAAAACTTTCAAAAAGCAGAGATAGCCTAGCCAACATGGTGAAACCCTATCTCTACTTAAAAAAATATACATCAAAATTAGATGGGAGTGATGGCGTGCTCCTGTAGTCCAGATACTTGGGAGGCTGAGGCAGGAGAATCCCTTGAACCCGGGAGGTGGAGGTTGCAGTGAGCCGAGATCACGCCACTGCACTCCAGCCTGGGCGAAAGAGTGAGACTACATCTCAAAAAAAAAAAAAAAAAAGGCAGAGATAATGTCATTTAAGCCAAAAAAGAATTCTGAAGAAACACATAAACGCAATACCAGGTGGTTTGCGGTTACTTAGAAAAACATCAAGTATTTAAACAGCTGGAGGGGAAAAGTCTTTCTGGCATGTATTTCAAATGAATACCTTTCATGAGACGTAAAGCAGGCTGCCTCATGATGCGTATGCAAACAGAGGTCAGAGTTGGTGTTTCTGTCTGTGAGTAGTTTCATTTGGTAGCATATGCGAAATTAATATTATTTGTAGAAAGGCATTCATTTAAATGACAGTGGATTATGTGGTCAATAAAGTTGAAATTTCTAGATTGAGGACAAAGTAAAGGTATTGCTTATATTTTAGCAATGGTACATTAAGAGATGTCGCTATTGGCCGGGAGCAGTGGCTCACGTCTATAATCCCAGCACTTTGGGAGGCCAAGGCGGCTGGATCACCTCAGGTCATCCTGGCCAACATGGTGAAACCCCGTCTCTACTAAAAATAACAAAAATCAGCTGGGCGTGGTGGCGTATGCCTGTAATCCCAGCTACTCGGGAGGCTGAGGCAGGAGAATCACTTGAAGTTGGGAGGTGGAAGTTGCAGTGAGCCGATATCGCGCCACTGCATTCCAGCCTGGGCGACACAGCGAGACTCCATCTCAAAAAAAAAAAAAAAAGATGTCGCTATTTTAGTTATAACTTTGAATTGTTCTCCTGAGATATATAAAATACATACTTAAGAGTTCTAATTATGACTTCATTCACCAGCAGGATTGTTTTAAGACTACAGTGAGTCCAACTTCCTGCTCAAAAATGTGCTAAAGCTTCTGGCTGAGCCTTAAGACATTTTAGAAGCTCTTCCTCACAGGAGAGAAAAGGCACCCAGCCAGCTACTGCGCACATGGATAAATCTGTCAGTTTTCTAGAATCCAGCACAAAATTCATGTCACTTAGAGGAAAACTATGCTGAGGTGTATCTTTGAGGTGAGAATGGTAATTTCATCAAAGAAATGCCCTCTTCTGTAGGGAGCCTGCGGAGGCCCCCAGGCCCCTGAAGTCTGATGGATCTGGAGAGGGGAATGAGGACACACAGGGGCCCGCAGATACATCAAGGACATCCGCAAGGTGAAGGCACATTTGAACTCTGTAGGGATGACTCCTGGTCCACACCTCCAGTTCTGATCTCCATCGTCAGCCCCAGCCCCAAATTTCCAACCATTTGCCAACATCTCAGTGGGTCAGGCCCACTGGTAACTCAGCCTCCACATGTCCCAGACCACTTCAGGTGTTTTATTTTTTATTTTTTTTCTTCCAGACAGAGTCTCGCTTTGTCGCCCAGGCTGGAATACAATGGCATGATCTCGGCTCACGGCTACCTCCACCTCCCAGGTTCAACCGATTCTCCTGCCTCAGCCTCCTGAGTAGCTGGGATTACAGGCATGTGCCACCTCTCCCGGCTAATTTTTTTATATTTTTAGTGGAGACGGGGTTTCACCATGTTGGTCAGACTGGTCTCGAACTCCTGACCTCAAGTGATCCTCCCGCCTCGCATGAGCCACTGCGCCTGGCCTGCTGAGGTGTTCGTTAAGACTGCTTCTCTCCCACAGTCCCTGGCCCACGCGCAGGCATCTCATGTTTCCACTCACCAGAATCATCTTTCTACTATATCTGCACCCTCATCCCGGTCTCCCCTACTCCAGTAAACAGCCACGCCCTTTTGTTCTGAACTTCAGAGTCACCCTCAGACCGGCATCTGCATGCCTCCTCCTGGGCTCTGCTTGACTCCTCTCCGGTACCGCCTCACGGGTCACTGCCCTGTGTCCAGTCTCACTTCAACCGATGTTTACTCCATCTATAGTTCTGTGCTAGGCCCTCCCTGCAAAGGTGTCTTTCTCAATCAATTCTCAAAACAGGTTGCATGGGCTAGGCACCGTGGCTTGCACTTGTAATCCCAGCACTTTGGGAGGCCGAGGAGGGTGGATCACCTGAGGTCAGGAGTTCGAGACCAGCCTGGCCAACATGGTGAAACCCCATCTCTACTAAAAATACAAAAAAAATTAGCCAGCCATGGTGGCGGGCACCTGTAGACCCAGCTACTCAGGAGGCTGAGGCAGGAGAATCGCTTGAACCTGGGAGATGGAAGTTGCAGTGAGCCAAGATCACGCTACTGCACTCCAGCATGGACTGGAGCAAGACTCCATCTCAAAAACAAAACAAAACAAAACAAAAACGCCACCACCACCACAAACAACAACAACAACAAAAAACAGGTTGTATGACCTCTTTCCCAGCATCACACATCTTCAGTGGCATTCCATTACCTGCAAAATACAATCTAGGCTCCTCAGCCTCCCTCCAGCCCCACCTGTGCCTGCTGTTTGCCACAACTAAGCCCCCATCCTGCTCCATGTCTAGCAGCTGTAGGAGCAGGGAGGGCAGTGGAGATGCCTATAGTAGGATCCCTAAGGCAGTCCGCCTAGTCCTGCTACAAACATTAGAAAACGCAAACAAAAAAGCCACCAAGAGCTTCTGGCCAAGATGGAGTAGCAGGACATTGGATTTAACCTCCTGCCTGAAACAGCCCCCCAAAATGAACACAGTGTAGGAAGACACTATCAGGCAATGAAGAACCCTGATCCCTGAGGGGTGGGTGATAAATGAGGTGAGCCCTACGATTGCCCCAGCTTACTGCCTTGAGACAGTTTCCAGGTTCAGTGCTGGAAAGGGAACACAGCAGGGTCCCTGCAGACTCCCTGGGGTGGGCGTAGAGGGCTGAGAGTCTGAGGGGGATCAAGGCCTGGAGACAAGAGTTCTTAGGACAGAGCACCATCGAGGGCAGAGCTGCACCAGGAGAGAAACATGGGGGTCTTCAGAGGGTCTGCCTGGAGTTGTCAGTTGGATGCTGGTTAGCACGTGCATATGAAGAAACGACCTGAGTCTGGGAAAAGAACTGCCTGAAAGGATTAGTGATAACAGTGCCTGGTGCTCACACAGGAACAGTGCCTGTTCCCACATCATTCAGGGACTCGGATAGGCCTTACCTCCAAAGTGGGGAATAGTTAGCCCTAAACTGAGCCTTGCCTTGGTTCTGCCTAACGCTTCTTCTTTTTTTTTTTTTCTTTTTATGAGATGGAGTCTCGTTCTGTTGCCCAGGCTGGAGTGCAGTGGCGCGATCTTGGCTCACTGCAAGCTCCACCTCCTGGGTTCACGCCATTCTCCTGCCTCAGCCTCCCAAGTAGCTGGGACTACAGGCGCCGGCCACCATGCCCGACTAATTTTTGTATTTTTAGTAGAGACGGGGTTTCACGGTGCTAGCCAGGATGGTCTTGATCTCCTGACCTCGTGATCCGCCCACCTTGGCCTCCCAAAGTGCTGGGATTACAGGCATGAGCCACCACGCCCGGCCGGTTCTGCCTAACGCTTCTTAAGTTCAGGACTCATTTTTCTGCCTTCACATGTGCATGGGGTTCTATAAACTTGGGAAAGTGTTTAAACACTGTATGTTAACCACCTTCCATGATATTATCCTAATCACACTTCTTTACTGTTTCACAGTGTGGGCTTGAGAACTGATGAGCAGCTTCTGAGGAAGGGGATTGGGCAGTGATGTTTGTAGGAGAACAGGGAATTGTCCAGAGGATGTTACAGATTGGAACACATGGGCTCATGTATACATGAACGAGCCCTGAGGATGCTGCTAGACTCTGTGTGCCCACATCCTAGCACACGCACAGAGCATGTCAGTGAGGGTGGCATTCCCCGTCTCCTCTTGAGCACTTGCCAACCCCTTGATTAGATAACTGAAACTAATCTGATTAATGCCATAGCCTTTGTGGTGAAAGATTCATGTTTTCTGATAGCTTTTTGAGTGTGTCCAGTATTTTGTACACTTGTATATGAAAAGATTTAATTGAAGGACATACTATCATTCTAGATCTTTTTTTTTTCTATTTCTGACATGGATTTGAGAGTAAGCTTCTCAATGAAGGCTATATTGCACTTCGACTGTTAAAACTCCATCAAGTTTACCCTCTAAGAGCACAAGATGGAGATGTCTGCTTTCATGATCTTAGTCATCTTATATTTTTATTTATAATGCTCAAGGTTCTAGCTAGCACCACGAGGCAAAAAAAAAGAACAATAATAATAATAAAAGGTAATAAAATGGAAGGAAATCAATAAAACACTTGCAGATGGCCTGATTGTCTACACAGAAAATCCCCTGGCATCTTCAAAAAATTGTTAGAACTAATAATTTCAGCAAAGTCCCAAGATATCAATTTCAGCAAAGTCTCAAGATATCACATAGACATACAAAAATCAATCACATTTCTATGTACTAACAACATTTGGAAAATGAAATTAAAAACATAAAAAGGAACCTAAACCTAAAACTCACATCTTATTCAAAATTTAACTTAAAATGGATGATATTAGCTGGGCACAGTGGTATGCATGTGTGGTCTCAGTTACTGAGGAGGCTGAGGTGGGAGGATCACTTGAGCCCAGAAGGTCGAGGCTGCAGTGAGCCATGACTGTGCCACTGCACTCCAGCCTGGGCAACAGAGCAAGACCCTGTCTCAGAACAAAAATGGAGCATAGACTTAAATGCAAACTATGAAACTATAAAAACTTTCAGAAAAAAATGGGAGAAACTGTTCACAATCTGGGGCTTGACAAAGTTTTAGACTTGACACCAAAAGTATGGAACAAAAGTTGATCAGTTGGATCTCAAGAACATTAAAATTTTTTGTTCTTTAAAAACTCAGATATAATGGACTTAATGCTTGTGTCCCTCCAAAATTCATATGTTGAAATTCTAATTCCCAATATGTTATTATTTAATAGGAGGCAGGGCCTTTGGGAGGTTGTTAGGTCATGAGGGTAGATTCCACATGATGGGATTAATACACTTTTAAAAGAGGCACCAGAGAGCTCCCCTGCCCTCTTTTCACTAAGCAAGGACACAGTGAGACATTAGCCATCTTCAACCAGGAAGCAGGCCCTTACCAGAATCCAACAGGCTGGCACCCTGATCTCAGACTTCCAGACTTCAGGACTGTGAGAAGTGACTGTTGTTAGAGCTACCTGGTCTATGGTATTTTTGTAATAGCAGCCTGAGCTGACTAAGACTCTATGTGAAACATGAAAAGACAAGCTACAGTCTGGGGGAAAATATTTGCAAACCACCTATCTGACAAAGAACTAGTACCTAGAATACATAAAGAACTCTCATAACTCAACACTACAAAAAAAAAAAGTAAACATTACAATCAATTAGAAAATGGGCAAAAAACATGAACAGACATTTTACCAAAGAGGATCTCTAGATGGCAAATAAGCACATGAAAAGATGTTCGACATCATTAGCATCAGGGAAATGCAAAATAAAACATTTTATAAAGGAGTATCATTATGCACCTATGAGAATAGCTAAAACACAAACAGTGACACCAAATGTTGGCAATCATGCAGAGAAACCCAATCACTCATACACTGCTGGTGGGAATTAAAAATTGTTCAGCCACTCTGGAAGGCATTTTTTCAGTTTTTAAAATAAAACTAAACATGCAATTACTGTACAAATCAGCAATTGTGCTCCTGGACATTTATCTCGGAGAAACAAAAACTTATGTTCACACAAAAACCTATAAACAAAGGCTCACAACAGCTTTATTTGTAATAGCCCACAACTGGAAAACTGGAATACCAAAAAACCAGATATTCTTCAGTTGTTGAGGATTAAACCAATGTGGTACATCCATATGGTGGAATACCACTCAGCAATAAAAAGAAGTCAACTACTGATACATGCAACAACCTGGATGAGTCTAAAGGGAATTATGCTGAGTGGAAAAAGCCAATTCTGAAAGGTTACATGCTGTGCAATCCACTTATGCAACATTCTTGAAATGACAAAATTATAAAAAATGGAGAACAGACTAGCGATTGACAGGGGATCAGAACTGGGGGTTAAATGGGGAGCAGGGAAAGGGAGGTGAGTGTGTCTATAAAAGGTCAACACTGGGGGGACCCGTGTGGTGATGGGACTATTCTGCATCCTGACTATACCAATGTCAGTATCTGGCTGTGATATTGTACTATAGATTTGCCAAATGTTACCATTAAGGGAGAATGAGTAAAGGGTACCCAAGATCTCTCTGTAGGATTTCTTACAATTGCATGTGAATATACAATTATCTCAAGATAAAAAGTTTCACTTGAGTTATAGGTTGTGTTTGATAAAAATGGCCCACCTCCTTAAATGTTGGCCACCTTATGATTTCCTTAGACATGTTACTGACTACCTAATAATTATCAAAATTGTAAAACACATTGTTGAGTATTATGAATACTTTGCTCATCATTGTAACGGAATAAACGAATGTGTTTCTATGAAAGGCCAATTTTGATTATGAGGAAAACACAGACACACACAAAACAAAACCTCCATGAAGTGGATGGTCATCGACCTCGCTCATTCTGGGCCCTGGCAGGAGGGCTAAGGATTCTGCTATCTATTTCGGGATGAGGCTGACATTCTCCTGCACCTTTCCTCGCAGGATCTCCTCTTCAGCGTGTGTGCCCTCAACGTCCTGTCCACTATCGTGTGTGCGCTGGCCACAGCCATGTGCTGTATGCAGATGGTCTCCTCCGATGTCCTGCAGATGGTGAGTGGCCTGATCCCCTCCTCCTCTGCGCGGTTTGAAACCAGTGTAGGAGTGGACGCTTCTGGCTTCAGCCAGATGCTGTGAGGACAGCGGCCCCTGACAGTCCATGGCACCTGGAGGCCACCTTGTGTTGCCCTCTGGAAGACCAAGCATCTGCACACGTGGCGCCGCTGATGTATTTATTTTAGGTGTTGTTGGAGCTCCATATTGACAGGGTTCTGCCACTGTCGTGTTCTCTAGGATGGCCCCTGGCATGTGCCCTTGAGTCATGTAGTGAAATTCCTGCAGCCCTGGACATCCCCTGGACCCAGCACCTCCAAAGCAAGGTGCCTTCCTCGGGCTTCAGAATTCTCTTTTAATCCGGGAAGTTTAGAGGTGTTAGAAGATCAGTTCTTTTCCAGTTGGAAAATTGCTAACCTGTGCATTTTTGATTTGCTAATGAACCCTGAGCTCATACTCCAGCGGCCAGTCACTGGCCATCATTTGACCCTTTGCCCAGGGTCATACACAAGAAGACCTGTCACTCCCAGGGGCAGCGAGGAGGCCCGGAGCATGGTTCACTAACACATGTTATAATATGTGGGTTATTAATACACATTTCTAAATACACATCTCATAAATAATGAACGCTCTTCCTGTTTCAATGTGAATGGAACACAGCCTACTGATCAGAATGCTACTGAGTACAACAAAGAGAAATTGATGAAAAAATATTGTTCTTCCATGGTAAGGGTAGGAATATCTATGCGCACGCGTGTGTGTGTGTATGAGTGTGTGTCTGTCTCTCTCTGTCTCTGTGTGTGTCTTTCTGCCTCGGTCTCTTTCTGTCTCTCTGTCTCTCAATTTGCCCCTTTGAGACCTACGCTGCTTCCCACGCAATGATTTATGCATCTTATGCAAGAAAAGGCAGCTGGTTCTTATAGTGGGTTTTTTTAATGTGCTCTTCTTTGTCATTCACCCTGTGGCAGTCAACATCCAGTTAATCAAGATACAGGGCCAGAGAGCATCATTACCAAGACGTTAAAAATTCTTTGGTCCTAATTGCATGCCATGGGAGTCTCTCCCTCCCGGTGTATATCCACACAGCTGTCACAGCCAGGCTGCCCTTTCTGAAAGGTATCTAATTAAGCAGTTCTAAGGTAGCCATGAACTTCTGCCCTTGTTCATCGGGGCCTCATGTTGGCAATTTTCTCCAACGTGTTCTGTAAAGGAAAGGTTAAGTACCAGGGGCTTCTCCTCACCTCAGCAGATTTTACTATTGATCTGTAAATATCACATCCATTTGACCAAACTTACAGAACTAAAGGCATGTAAATGCTAAAAGTTTGCATTCTCCTGGTTTTATGCTTTAAAATGAAAATTGCCAACTAAATAAGAATAAAGTAAATTCTCTTTATAAGAGCATATACGATTATAACAGCAGTGTGCAGAGTCGCTCTGTAGTTGTGATGGGTGGGGCATGAGCAGGCGTGGAGCCGTGCTTCTCAAGCCAGGCGCTCCAGGGTCTGAGTCCCACCTCTTCTGCATTCGAGGCAGGTGACTCTGGGTGTGTCACTGAACCTTCCTGTGCCTCAGTTTCCTCACCTGTGAAGTGGAATGAATGGGATGCCTGGAGATCCCTAATACGTGTGATGTGTTGGATTTGAAATGTGTAGGGAATATCAGTCTGTCACTGGGACGTCGCAGCAATGTCTGCAGACGCGGTGGGCTGAGGCTCTTTACCAGCAGAAAACACTGTGCAAGGGAAAGGCAGGCTGCGGCGACAGCGGCTGCCGTCAGAAGCCCTGTTGTTTCCTCGCTGAGTACTTTGTGGGTGAGTTTGCCTCACACCCTGGCTTGGAAGCAGAAATATCCGGCTTCCTGCCAGCACATCCTTTCCGGTCTGTGACGGGTACCGCGGGAGCCCAAGGCTCTGCTCTCGTGATGAGACCCCCGGCTCTGCTGCCGGGCTTGAGAGTCATGGGCGAGGCAAAAGAGAGCTGGTGGTGGGTGAATCCACACTTCCCTGTGGATTCAGAGGGTGGCCATGGCGCCCTATGGGACTGGCACAATCTTGGGCACATCACTGCCTGTGGGACCCCGTTTCCTCGGCTCTAAAGATGAAGCGTGTGCCCTGCTGTCCTCACAGAGCTGCTGATGGGATGAGTCCGCTCATCTGTGGGAATGGGATTTGAAGGAACGTGGTGGCCACATGGAGGTCGGCTCTTGCCATGTGGGCCGAGGCTTGAGCCAGGCTGGCTGTGCGAACCATTCCCTACCAGTAGCTTCCGCAGTTCACCCCTGCGCCATTTCTGCTCCAGGAAGCTGGGCCATGAGCTTTCCAAGGGACAGTTGTAGCTATTCCTAACTAGTTTATGCCAGTGATATTTGTTGTAATTACATATTCTAGTACTATGTAAAGCCATGAAATATGAGTGCAGAAAGATAATTGTTTCTGGTACAGCACAGTCGAGTTCTTTGGAAAGGTTCGGTGAAAGGGGGTGCTGCTGAATGTATTGCTGTCCATTAGATGCAAGTGAGACAACTATGGCGGTTGCGATAAATGCTGATAAAAATCTAGAGGAGCCGGGCCTGGTGGCTCACGCTTGTAATCCCAGCACTTTGGGAGGCCGGCAGATCACCTGAGGTCAGGAGTTCAAGACCACCCTGGTCAACATGGTGAAACCCCGTCTCTACTAAAAATACAAAAATTAGCAGGGCATGGTGGCACATGCCGATAATCCCAGCTACTCGGGAGGCTGAGGCAGGAAATTGGCTTGAACCTGGGAGGCGGAGGTTGCAGTGAGCCAAGACTGTGCCATTGCACTACAGCCTGGGCGACAGAGCGAGATTGAGACTTAAAAAAAAAAAAAAATTAAAAAAAAATCTGGAGGGAGTCCACATACACATTGCTTGACAAGTGCCTTTCAGCTCTAGCCCCACTTTAAAAACACAGAAAAGGGTTGTTAGATTCATGTCTTATGGATGCAGCTTATGCAGGAAAGACCACGAGGCACTCCACACAGCAGACTGACTCTCAGAAAAGGCTTTACTCAGGCAGAAAAAGGTCAGTCCATGTATGTACAGTCAGCCCCCACTGAGCCAACCGTGGATCGACACTATTCAAGGAAAAAACACAATAAAAATAACAAAACAACAACAAAAATATAAATAAAAAACAATACAGTATAACAACTATTTCCATAGCATTTATATTGTATTAGGTGTTAGAAGTATTCTAGAGATGATTCAAAGTATACAGGAGGATGTGTGTAGGTTATGTCCACATACAACATTATTTTATGTAAAAGACTTCACCCTCCACCGATTTTAGTATCCAGTGGCAGAGGAGGTTCTGGAAGCAATTCCTTGTGGATTCAGAGGGACACTTTATAAATGGTTTTTTTCTTTTACCAGGGATCTGTGAGATGGGGGATCGGGTAACAGCTGTCTTGAGATACAATTCACCTATCATACAATTCCTCCATTTAAAATTCAGCGGTTTTAATATCTTCACAGAGTTGTACAACCTTCACCACAATCCATTTTAGAACATTTTTATTATCCCCAAGAGAGACCCTATAGCCTTTAGCAGTCACCCTATTTCCTTCCCACCTCTCAGCCCTAGGAAACCACTAATCTACTTTCTGTATCCATGGATTTGCCTGTTCTGCATGTTCCATATAAATTGAATGATACAACATGTGGCCGTTTGTGTCTGGCTTCTTTCATTTAGCATGATGTTTTCAAGGTTCATTCATGTTTCTACATGTACCAACATTTCATTCTTTTTTACGGCTCAACAGTATATCCTGTTGTATCAGTATACTACATTTTGCTTATTCATCAGTTGATGTTCATATGGGCTGTTTGCCTTCTTGGCTGTTATTAATAATGCTGTTATGAACATCCTTGTACAAGTTTTTGTGTCAACATATGTTTTAATTTATCTTGAGTATATACCTTGGAGGGGAATTGCTGGGTCATAAGGATGATTCTGTTTTTGAGGAACTGCAAGATTGTTTTCCAAAGCAGCTGTGCCATTTTACATTCCCACCGTGAGACCATGAGGGTTCCAGTTTCTTCACATCCACTCCAACATTTATGATCTTTCTTTTAATTGTAACCATCTTAGTGGTGGTGAAGTGGTATTTCATTGTGGTTCCAGTTTCTTCACATCCACGCCAACACTTATGATCTTTCTTTTAATTATAACCATCATGGTGGTGAAGTGGTATTTCATTTTGGTTCCAGTTTCTTCACATCCACGCCAACACTTATGATCTTTCTTTTAATTATAACCATCATGGTGGTGAAGTGGTATTTCATTTTGGTTCCAGTTTCTTCACATCCACGCCAACACTTATGATCTTTCTTTTAATTATAACCATCGTAGTGGTGGTGAAGTGGTATTTCATTGTGGTTTGGATTTGCATTTCCCTGATAATTAATGATGGTGAACATACTTTCATGCACTTGTGGCTATTTGTATATTTTCCCTACAGAAATGTTTTTCAGACCTTTTGCCTATTTTTAAAATTGGGTTATTTGTCTTTTTATTACTGAGTTGTAAAAGTTATTTCTGTATTTCAGGCACAACCCCCTTATCAGATATATAATTTGTAAATTTCTCTCCCACCCTGTGGGTTATCTTTTCACTTGATGCACAAAAGTTTCAATTTGGATGAAGTTCAGTTTCTCTGCTTTTTTCTTTAGTTGTTTGTGCTTCTGGTGTCACATCTAAGAAAGCAATGCCTAAGAGCTTTATAGTGTTACTGTTAGCTCTTACACTTAGGGTTTTTTGGTTTTTTTTTTTCCCCAAGATGGAGTCTTGCTCTGTCACCCAGGCTGGAGTGCAGTGGTGTGATCTCGGCTCACCACAACCTCTGCCTCCCAGGTTCAAGCAATTCTCCTGCCTCAGCCTCCCGAGTAGCAGAGATTACAAGCGTGTGCCACCACCCCAGGTAATTTTTGTATTTTTAGTAGAGACGGGGTTTCACCACGTTGGCCAGGCTGGTCTCAAACTCCTGACCTTGTGATCAGCCTGCCTTAGCCTCCCAAAGTGCTGGGATTACAGGCGTGAGCCACCACACCCGGCCTGCACATAGGTGTTTAGACCATTTTGAGTTCATTGTTATACACTGTGTGAGGTAGGGGTCCAGCTTTGTTCTGTTTCCAACACCATTTGTTGAAAAAATGAATCTTTCCCCGTTGAATGGTCTTGGTAACATTAGTCAGACTCAATTGACCATAGATATACGTGTTTATTTCTGGACTCTCAATTCTATTCCATTGACCTATGTCTGTCCTGATGCCAGTGCCACATGGTTTCGATTGCTGTAGCCTCATAGTAAGTTTTGACGTGTGGACGTGTGAGCCCTCCAGTTCTGTAGTTTTTGAACATTGTTTTGGATATTCTGTGCCCTTTGATTTCATATGAACTTTAGGTTGAGTTTGTCAACTTCTGCAAACAATCCACCTGGGATTTTGATGAGGATTGTGGTTAATCTGTGGATCAGTTTCAGGAATATTGTCATCTTAACAATAGTAAGTCCTCCAACCTATGGACATGAGGTACCCTTCCATTCATTTAGATGTTCTTTAATTTCTTTCAGTTATATTCACGGTTTTCAGTGTGCAAGTTTTGCTTTTTTGTTAAATTTATTCCTGAGTATCTTATTCTTCTTGATGCTATCATAAATGGAATTACTATCTTAATTAAATTTTCAGATCATTCATTGCTAATATATAGAAATACAAATGATTTTTTATATTGATCTCATATCCTGAAACCATGCTGAACTCATTTTGAGCTTTATTGTTGTTGGGCTTTTCTCTGGATTCTTTCTATATGCAAAATCATGTCACCTGCAAATAGAAATCAGTTTACTTCACTCTGGATGTCTTTCATCTTGTCTTCTTTCCTGATTGCCCTGGCTGGAACCTCCACTACGATGTTGAATAGAAGCAGTGAGAGTGGACTTTCTTAGCTTGTATCTAGGGGAAGCATCCAGTCTGTCACCATTAAGTAGTATGTTAGCTGTGGGTTTTTCATAGATGCTGTTGATCAGATTCAGGAAGTTCCCTTCTATTCCTAGTTTGTTGGTTGTTTTTTTTTTTTTTTTTTTTTTTTGAGATGGAGTCTCGCTCTGTCGCCCAGGCTGGAGTGCAGTGGTATAATCTCGGCTCACTGCAAGCTCTGCCTCCCGGGTTCACGCCATTCTCCTGCCTTAGCCTCCTGAATAGTTGGGACTACAGGCGCCCGCCACCACACCTGGCTAATTTTTTTGTATTTTTAGTAGAGACGGGGTTTCACCGTGTTAGCCAGGATGGTCTCAATCTCCTGACCTCGTGATCTGCCCACCTCGGCCTCCCAAAGTGCTGGGATTACAGGCATGAGCCACCGTGTCCAGCCTGTTGGGTCTTTTTTATCAAAAAGAAAGTTGGATTTTGTCAAATGCTTTTTCTGCATCTATTGAGATGACCATAGGGTTTTTGTCCTCTGTTCTATTAATATGTTGAATTACACAGATTGATTTTTCTGATGTTAAGCCAACCTTGCATTTGCGAGATAAATCCCACTTGGTTATGATAAGTAATCCTTTTCATATTAATAGAAGAGTTTGGAAGTGTTTCTTCCTCTTCCGTTTGTTGGAAGATTGTTATGAAGAATTTGTATTAATTATTCATTAAATTTTTTTTGAGATGGAGTCTCTCTGTCACCCAAACTGGAGTGCAGTGGCTTGATCTCAGCTGACTGCATCCTCCACCTCCCACGTTCAAGTGATTCTCCTGCCTCAGCCTCCTTAGTAGCTGGGATTACAGATGTATGCCACCACATCCGGCTAATTTTTTATTTTTTTATTTTTTTTATTTTTAGTAGAGATGGGGTTTCACCATGTTGGGCAGGCTTGTCTTGGACTCCTGACCTCAGGTGGTCCAGCCGCCTCAGCCTCCCAGAGTGCTGGGATAACAGGTGTGAGCCACCACACCCGGCTAAATGTTTTTTTTTGTTTGTTTTTTCCTGAGACAAGGTCTCACTCTGTCCCCCCAGCTGGAGTGCAGAGGTGCGATCATGGTTCACTGCAGCCTCTACCTCCTGGGCTCAAGCAATCCTCCCACTTCAGCCTCCCAAGTAGCTGAGACTACAGGCACACGTCACCATGCCCAGCTAATTTTTTAATTTTTTTGTAGAGACAGGTTCCCTCTATGATGCCCAGGCTGGTCTCGAACTCGTAGGCTCAAGTGACCCTCTCTCCTTGGGCTCCCCAAGTGCTTGGATGATAGGCATGAGCTACCATGCGCGGCCCTTCTTTAAATATTTGATAGAGTTCACCAGTGAAGCCATCTGAGCCTGCACTTTTCCTTGCGGGTAGTTGTATTATTACTAATTCAATCTCTTGTCACATTTTCTATTCTTCTCAAGTCTGTTTTGGTAGTTTGTGTCTTTCTATGAATTTCTCCACATATACAGGATTTAAGTTAAAGTAAAATGGGTTCAGTATGTATGTATTATGTTTGCATGTGTATGTGTGTGTGAAACTCCCCACTTTAAATAACTTTCTTATTCATTAACCAGGCAACCACTAGTCCCAGAGAAGAAGGCGTCTCTTGGCATCTGTGTGTCTTGGTGTTTTGTGCTTTCCTCAGCATGACTTTCTTCTTACCCTGTCATTTCTTTGGAGTGCGTCACTTCCCTCCTCCTCCCACACCATGGCCAGCTTCTGGGTTTTCCTGCGGTGGTTTAAAGTCATTTAGTTCCAGGCGAAATGTGTTAGAGTGTAAGCTCTTTGGGATGTCTTTTCTATGTCACTCCTCCTTAGCCCTTAAATCACAGCATCCCTTCACATCTTCATGACCCCTTTAGATTTAATTTTATAGAAGCTTTACTGCTCACTGCTGTTTCTGTGTTCTTTACCTTCCTGTATGTCGGCCTCTTTGTTCTGAGCGGGTTTTCATTTCTTGCATTCAGTTGTGGCTTTGGTTGTACTAACTCTTCATTTCTGGTGTTTATTTGTATCTGAGACCTTCCAAGTGAGAAGCACTAATTTATAAAGGGAGCATAATTAAGGAGGAAGGTCACTGTGGGCAAGTGTGTGTAAGCCCTTCGGCCACCCTTTCCCAATCAACTAATTTCTTTTCTCAGAAAGAACCTGTGGGAAGCCCCCCGAGCCACAGCTCCAGCCCCCACGGCCCTTCTCTGGTGCCCTGTTGTGCTGCGCCCTACAGAGGGGTGCTGGGCTGAGGGGATGACAGCCATGCCCTGACCTCCCACAGGAAGGAGCACCTCTTCCCAATTTGCCCCCAAGGCAGCCCTGCAGCCTGGCAACTCTGCTCCACTGTGCGGGTCTCAGCCCCACTTTCCCAGCCCCTCTCCCTGCTCCTCCATGTTAGCAGGAAGGACCCAGGCTGTGATTTCTATTGTGATTGATGTGCTGACAACTTACACAATTGATCAAAATTCCAGCCGTAACCATTTTTCAGGAAGAGTCCCAGTTTTGTGTTTACTGATCTGTTCACTTCTTTGCTCACTCATTCATTCATTCAGTTAGTCAGCAATTATCTCAGGGGCTTTGCTATGTGTCCAGTGCTGGTGGGAATCTAGGAATAGCAAGAACAAGTCTCCAAAGAACCTGAAACTCCCATCTTATTTCTGTGGATCAGCAATTTGGGATCATTAACTGCCGATGGAACTAGCATAATGCATGCTTGTATCCATGAGAAGCAAAGCGTTCTGCCTATTGTCAGAACTGATGAAGCTGAGCTACTCTAATATGTGTGGAAATCGTGGCAAAAGACATTCTGATGATACAATGTGGTTGATTGACATCATTTAGCAGAAAAGGTTTTTGATCATTTAAGTGTCTGTAATGTCATTTTTTTTTTGTTTTTAAATGTCATCTCATTCTTCCACTTTTCTGATACATTGTTTTCTTCTTCACTTACTTCCTCGCCAGCTGCTGCAGCCTCAGGAATATCATCTACTATGACATGTATCTCCATTAGGCATGCGCTTATTAACTTCATCTTTCATTATTGTCATTTAGGTAGCTGTCTGCCCTACAGAGTTGACCTCCTTTAGACAGTGCAGAGGGGGCACTGTGCCTTCCATCGCGTGGTAACTGTGGGTTTGCCCATGGAGCTGGTTAAGCGGTGCTGGCTGGTCAGGGACACGACACCACCCCATGGGAGCCACAGCATCACCAAGTTCACCAGTGTCTTCTCTCCGCCTCACCCCAGCACTGGCTGCACCTGCTGGAGAGGGCACTCTGGGGACCCACAGTAACCTTGAGGTCCTTGAGGCCTGGGCTCCACAGAATTGTCTCTGGACAGTAGGTGCTACTTATCTATCAGACCAGGAACTTCATCCAAACAGCTAATGCAGACAATCATAAAAATGATGTGGACACACAATCGTTTTTCTTTGACGTCAGATATGCTAATGAGCATCTGTCAACCAGTCATCTCATTTGGGGCTGTGGTCATCCCTTTGGTTATGGGTCTGTTGTCCTGTCTGGGTGTATTTCTTGCAGAAAGTTTGTGGAAATCACACCATCAATGATTTTCAGATTCAGTTCCTCTAAAGTGGAGCCAGCCAGGGGAAGCCAGCCAGGGGAGACAGACCTTCCCTAGATTTTTATGATTCTTCTCTGCTCTTAGACCTGCCTTGCCTGGACTTGACTTGGCAGCGGTTTCTGCTTGGCTGCCCTCCTTTATTGAGTCTTTCCAAAGCATTCAACTTGGTTTTCACAGAACGAGCAGCTCTTCCTGTCTGCATCCCTATTTCCTTATGCAATTACAGTCATAATGAACACAGGCCTCACCCTGTGCAGTAAGGCACCCTGGAGCCCTGGGTGGGCATGGAACCTACCTGGGGGTGGCGGCAGGACCAGGGGGCCGCAGGGCGGGCTCTCCCCAGGGTCTGGAGCACAGAGCGGGAGCTCCAGCTCATCTGCAGGGTTGTCCAGGAGGAAGTTGATTCAGCAAACTTCGGTAGTAACAAGCCTGCTGTTTCTACCAAGTCTAAGGAAGGCAGAGGGAGAAGGCCCTTCCCTGTAATTCTGAGTCTTTCTGGAAAAATTCAGAGGTGTGTGTGCTCCCTTCAGGAGCCAGGATGTGGCAAGGACATTGGTAGAGGGAGCAGGGAGAGTGGGTGCTGGGCAGGAAACCACTAAATATAAAGGGAGGTGAGCAGACCCGGCTGGGACCTGGAGGAACAGGCAGCTCAGAGCTCCACGGTGTTTCTGCAAATCCCCGGCCCTTGTCCACAGACCCCTGATGCCTGCCCTGCCCCACCTTGTTCCCGATGGCAGGAGATGGAGGCATGGGCTGGATGAGCTCATACTAATGATCCAAGCCTTCCTTTCAGCCACACAGCACTGCTGTCTGGGTCTGTGTGAGCAATGGTGCTTCTCAGGGAAGGGGACTGAGACTCACAGGATCAGAAATGTGCTCACATCCTGTGGGCCCTCAGTGCCCAGGCAGGGCCCAGAGACAACTGACTTGCGGTCTGACTCCCGGTCCCAGGCAGGTTGACCTCTTCACGATCTCCCTCAGATCCCAGACTCTGGGCTGTGTGGATAGACTGAAATGTTCGGGGCTCTGTGTTAAGTGGGCTTTGGGAAGCTGCCCAAGGCCAGGTAGCCTTAGTTCTCATCCTCCATCACTTCCACGTGCACCCACCTGAGAAGGTGGACAGCACACACCTGAGTTCGGATCCCCTCTCCCCGGAGCAGACTGAGCAGGGGCTCTTCTCCAGCGGGGTCTCAAATCCTCACTCCTGTTGTGCGGGGACAGCCCTGGGCACTAGTGATGCCCACATCGGGTGCATGAGCCCCAGCTGGGCACCAGACACAGGTGTACCTTTGTCACCACATGGATCAGAGAAGACAGTTACAGATCAGGGCAAACAGAGCCACCTGGGAAAGAAGGGACTGTTCACAGCCCCTTTTTTGCCCTCCACCTCCAGGTGCAGAGTTGAGCTTTATACCTGGCAGTCAACATGCAGGTGAGGCTGCAGAGCCTGGAGCTTGGGTGGGATGGGGGAGGGGTGGCTGCCCACTGGCTTTTCAGGGTCACAGGCATTTCCGCTGGTCCTGAAGGTGACTGGGAGGCGCCAGGTGAAAGGGAGGTGGGGAGCTGGGAAGAAGGAACAATACGTGTTTGATAGTAGGGATTAGAGCTGGTTTGTTCAAAGAGCGGGGAGTTTGGGGGCGCTGGGTTAGGAAGCTGGAAACCAGATGGAGTTCAGTGAGCCAGGGTCTCATTAAAGTCTTTTCAACTGCAGTGACCTCATCAGATTGATTTAAAAACAGCTGTGGTAGCAGGATGGCGACCAAATTACAGAGACAGAAAATCAAGGCAGAGAGGCACACAGGTTAGAAGCTCCTGCGAGGAGGAGGTGGACAGGGGCTGAGTGGAGTTGCCCCGCAAGGAGGCGTCTGCCCGTCTCCTCTGCAGAAGTTTACTGAGTACCCGCTGTGTGCGATTGTGAGACGGGTACAGAGGTGGGTAAAATAGATGTGCCCCAGATGGTCAGGAAAAGAAATTGCCCTTAGGATTTCAACACAGTTACGGGGAGCAGGTTACTTGGGTGTGGAAGGCTGAAGGAACAGAAGAGGGTGCTGAGCTTACAGAGAGTGGAATAAGTGCGGAGGGCAGCTCTCAGCCCGCAAAGCCGGGGAACAGAAGGGAGGAGGTGGGAAGGCGCAGGAAACCCGCAGCTCCCTCCTCGCCCCGCAGGCCGGCCAGGTGCCCTCTGGCACCCCCTACAGGCGGAGCCTGCCGGCAGCCCAGGCACGGCAGCCTGGGAAGCGTAGTCTGCAGACCTCCAGCCCCAGCCTGCAGAGCAGAGGACAGAGCTGGCCACCCTGGGCCGCGAGACACACCCAGACCTAATTAAACACACACTGATGGTGGGGAAGAGAGGGGAGACGTCAAGCGCCACTTGCAGGATTCTCGCTGGGGAGGCTGAGGAGTCAAGGTCAAAGGATTCCTGGGAAAAGGGTCCAGGAAGGTGGGGCCAACATGTCCCCGAAAGGCGACCCGGAGCAGATGCAGCCGCGTCCTTTGACCTTTACATAGCCTCCAGTGTGTGGCAGCCTCTGCTCACTTGCACCTGCGGAGAGGGTCCCTTGTACCTCTGCCCCTCCTCAAATGCTTGTTCTCCTTCCTGGTGGAATGGTGCCTTGAACTGGAAAGTGTTTTGGTGTCTGCATGTCATTAGTTTTGCTTGGGTATGTCATTGATATTTTTTCTAATTTCTGATAGAGACTAATTGAAAATATTTCCTGATTAGACCTGAGGGCATTTGCCCTCGCCCTGCTTCTCAGCTCTGTGCAGCAGGCATCAGGACTGACAGCCTCCAAGGCGGAGGACCACAGACGCACATGCGTCCCGCTCACAGCGGATGATTCACCTCTGTTTCGGACAATTAAACACACGCAGCCGTGGGTCGGTCCAGCCAGAGAGGCGAGGAGTGTGCTCCGTGTGTTAGGAGGCCCACGGGAGCCATTTTCCTGTGATGTGTTAGACCTTTAGACACGGCCACCAGCCTTTCTTCGTCAACCTAGAGCATGCTTATTTCACAGCGCTTGACCCCATTCAGAATCGTCACCTCACCCCTACCCGTGCAAAAGTGCTTCACGTCCTGGCCTCTGTCAGCTCCAGCCCACCCTACCCCTGCTGCCAGAAGGCACCTCCTACCACGCAGCTCCAGTCCCCCTGCTCCCCAGCTCCAACACCCTTACAGGCTCCCCAGTGCCCCAGAATTAAGAATTGACTTCCAGAGCCTTATCTATTTGCTTTTCTTAAACACATCCTTCCCTGGCTCACCTGTTCTGGGGCTTGAGTGTCTCCCTGAGCGCCCACTAGATGAAATCCCACCAATCTTTCAAGACCCGTTCAGATGCGTTCTTCATGAATGCTTTGGGGAGCGCAGTCCCCACACAGTGCTTGGAGACCTCACTGTTTTCTAATGGAGCTGTCCTTGCTTGTGTAGGGTGATTCTGGGTCCCTGTCTTCCCCTCAACACACACACACACACACACGCATACACACACATACACATACACACAGAGACACACACATCTACATGCACATACACATACACATATACACATGCACATACACATACATACAAACACACACATACATATATACACAGACACATGCACATGCACATACACATGCACATGCACACACACACACAACACACACATACAGACACACACGCACTCACCCTTCCTCTCCTTACCTCACCTGCCCTGCGCCAGGAGGGCCCCTGGCCCAGAGCTTTTGCAGCATGGATCTTCTTGCCGTGTAGACACTCATAGGGCGGCATTGACTGGAGCTGGAGCAATGTCCCAGGCATCTCACGCCACAGGTGACCTCTGGGCAGCAGAGATGTGAAGGTGGAAAGAAAAGCAGTTGGTTGTTGGTTAGTCCTTCAGAAACGGAAAACTAGGCAGAAACAGGTTTCATTTTTGTTAAAGTGATTTCACCTCACTATTAAAGCAGCATCTCGGTGTTCAAGGTTGGCCAGTAGAATGTTCTGGAACTCATGAAGTTGTCTCTCTTTCCTCAGAGCAGTGTTTTACAAACTGTGTGAAATCCTGAGACTGCAAAATATTAATAGATACTACGTGTCCAAAGGGGCCCATTATGAAATATTTGAGAAATGCTGGGTTAAAATGTTAAACAGCTAAATAAGTACTTCAGCACAGCCCTTCTCAGAGCCTTTAACACACGAATGCACAATGCAGGACTCCAAGAAGGGAGCATGTGGCATTTCCCACAGATTGACCACGGGAATTCTGGGGTGGGGTGGGGACATTTCGAGGGGAGGGTCTAGTGTTTTCTCATGAACACACTTTGAGAAATGCCGTCTTTGTTTGTTTGTTTTTTCAGACAGAGTCTCAAAAACACTCCAGTCTGTTGCCTAGGCTGGAGTGCAATGGCACAATCTTGGCTCACTGCCACCTCCGCCTCCCGGGTTCAAGCAATTCTCCTGCCTCAGCCTCCCAAGTAGCTGGGATTACAGGCATGCACCACTACGCCCAGCTAATTTTTTGTATTTTTAGTAGAGACGGGGTTTCGCCATGTTGACCAAGCTGGTTTCGAAATCCTGATCACAGGTGATCCACCCGCCTCGGCCTCACAAAGTGCTGGGATTACAGGCATGAGCCACCACACCCAGCCGAAGTGCCGTCTTAAACCACGCACGTCAGGCAGCCTTCCGTCTGCAGTCTTTGAGTACTGTCATCAGAGGGGCCAGTTGGAGTGGTAGGGACAGCATGAAAGACTTCCCAGACCATATGTTTTCTTTAAAAAGAGGCATTCTGTATAACAGCGTGGGCAACAAAGCGTTTTGAGACTTCTGAGACGAGGCGTTCCTCCTGGCGCCTTCATTTTAAAGTGTGTGCTTAGCAGTCATGGCTTGACAGTTGAAATTACAGGCATTCCAAACTGATCATTAAAGCTCTCGTATAATTAGCTTAATGAGACACAAGCCACACAAGATGTCCCAGATAACTCTGTGGTTGTCTCTGTTTTCCAGTTCCTTCCGCAGAGGTCACATCCTGCCAACCCCACCTGCGTGACTCCTCACGGCACCGTTCTCCACCAGACCCTGGATTTCGACGAGTTCATCCCCCCACTCCCGCCTCCACCCTATTACCCCCCAGAGTACACCTGCACACCGTCCACTGAGGCCCAGAGGTTGGTCTCCCGCGGCTGCCCCCATCTCGAAACCACTAAGATGGGCAGCAGTGTCCGGGTGGTGGGAGTTGCAGTGGACCTGCAGGCATGGCGGTGAGAACAGAGGAGGGGCAGTGGAAGGAGAGGGTCTTAGACATACAGCGTTCCCTGTGGCACCTTTGCAACGCAACCCGAAAGAAGCCGGAGGCAGACAGGTGTTGCTGCCTTAAGTTCTCATGAGGTGCAAAGCTGCGGTCACGTTGCAGTCATTTGTGTAACATGTACAGTTTAATGAAAGATGTAATCAGCTGTATGATTATTTGAATTTTAATGGACAGGTCAGTAGAGTTTATTGAAAATGTTGATGTCGTTCCAGAAAAAAAAAAAAAACAAAAGTGCAAATCGCCCAGTGACTGAAGCTTTGATTTCACAATGATGGGAAGTATTAGAAGAGGGGAAGCCCTGGCCGCCCCTGCTCTGGCGGCTTTGAGAGCTGTCAGCACTTCTGCCTCCTCCTTCGGGCAATGACGATGTGATGATTCTGTCTTTTCAGGGGCCTCCACCTGGACTTTGCTCCGTCTCCATTCGGCACTTTGTATGACGTGGCCATCAATAGCCCCGGCCTGCTCTATCCTGCTGAGCTCCCCCCTCCGTACGAGGCGGTGGTGGGCCAGCCCCCTGCCAGCCAGGTGAGGCCTGGGCCCCCAGACAAAGCCAGTTCCCGTGGGAATGCTAGGGACACCGTCCCGGCCTGCCCTCGGAAGGCACCTCACACCGCGCCAGGTCCGAGCTGGCTGTGAGGTGAACACTCATGAGTGCCCTGTGCCGAGGCCCCCGGATGCATTCATCTCTCTTGAAGCCTTTCAGCAAACCTGTGGGATGTTGGTCTTATCAGCCCTGTGCTGTAGATGAGGCCACAGGCTCAGAGAGCGGCACCTGCAGAGACGCCAGCCCGGGCCTGGGGAACCCAGTGTTGGTGCTTTTCCCCTTAGATCCCCAGTTCCATTTCTGCAGCCACGAGTCACAGCCCAGGTGCGTCTGAGCTTTGTGCTGGTAGGTGGTCTGGGATCCAGGTAAAAGGACCTGGGACAGCTCCTGACCCAAGGGGAGAGCCCCCAGGAGCAGAGCTGGGTCCATGGACCGAGTACCCAGGGCGCCCCGGCCTGTCTTGATCACACACTGCCATCACCGCCCTCTGGGGTGGGGAGAAAGCAGCCCTGGATCCCTGGTCCTGTCTGAGGCCAAGAAGCTTCAGGCCAGGGAAGTGCCTCAGTTGCCAGGTCCTTTCAGCCTTCTCTGAGCTGGGCATGCCAGGCACTCCTGCAGCCTCATGGTGCCTGACACGTGACAGGCAGTATGTTCGTGGAGCCTCAGTTTCCTCATCTGTAAAATGAGGATCATAACAGTACCAGGGTTATGGGACGAAATGGGATGTTGTCCGTAATGGAGCCAACAGGACTTGGAACATGGGAAGTTCTGAATTCAGCAAGTCAGTCACCCTTTTGGGGTATTGTTTCCTCCTCATCATCGTTGTTGTCATGACTCAGTGTGGAATGCTGCTAGCCAGGACAGAGAGATGGGGACATCTGGAAAAGTCACGTGGCCCATAGTGCAAGGGATCTTCCAAGGACCCACCCTCCAAGGAACATGGGGTTATGTAAATAGACCAAATCGACAGCTCACTGGTGTCCCTGAAATACAGGGAGAGAAAGCAAACGACTGGAAAACATATTTTAGGATATCATCCATGAACATTGCCCCAATCCTGCTAGAGAGGCCGACAGTCCAGTTTAGGAAATGCAGAGAACTCCCGTGACAGGTGGCCAAGGAGGTCCTGGAGGCCTCGGGGACTGGGGCATGGCTGGGGAACACAGCAGTGAGTTGGAGCAGAGGGCGTGGGCAGGGGAGACTTGCAGATTCACCAGGGAGGGGCGGGGGTAGGGGCTGAAGCCAATTCTGAGCCCAAGCAACAAGCAGAGGAGAGCAGATGACAGCATGACCAGAAGCATCCAGGCCCACCCAGAACTGCACCTGCTTTGGGCTTCTCAGCAGCCGTGGAGCCCCGGATGGTTATCTCTACCCAGATCACTGGCCAGGCACTGGTACCGGGCATCAGATCAGGCCTGGCCAGCTGCTCGCTGTCTGCTGACTCCTGTAAAGACACCCTAGCACAGGGTTCAGACCTTTTGATGTCACCCCCAATGCTCTCCCTGTCACTTTGAGATCCCGAGAGCCCACATGCACGCAAGCCAGGTGGCAATGCTGGTCCCTGTCCCAACCAGTGACCAAGGCAGCGCTGACCCTGAGGAGCTTCTGTGGGTGGAGGAGCAGTTTCCATGTTGGCTGAATAAGCTCACAAGCCCTTCCGACAATCACACCCACAAGGACTGGTCACCGTTGCAGGCAGGGTGGTCTTAGGACAGGAAGAGATGTGACTTCTCTGTGCCCTGTGGAGTCATATATGGACAGCGCATTTAGACGCTGTAAGGTGCCCCGCACCTGGGGAGTCATATATACCACAGGGACCTCCTTCAGGGTGGCTTGTGGTGGGCCAGATCAGCTTCCGGCTGGCCCGTGAGCCCCCAGCACATCCTCACACAAGCAGACAGTCCCCAAGCAGCCACCCTGAAACACCTGGAGCAGCCAGGCAGGCTGCAGACAGTGGCCCCCTGAGCCCCGGCCAGGACCCCCTTTTTACTGTGGGTGCTAGAAGCAGATGTGTGGGAGCTGCCTGTGGAGAGGAATCCTTTAGTCAGGAGGTGGGCATGGCCCTGAAATCCCATTCCTGAACTGGCAGTAATGGAGATGTTCTTAGGTGTTTTTATAAAGCTGAGCTGGGACCTCTGCCTTCCCAATGTTGTTTAGTTTTCCATTTATGATAAAAATAATTCAAATCAATGTTATCAGTGGAGACAGTTGGCTGTGATAATAGTTGTCATCAGCACTGCAAGGGGAGCCCAGTACACTGTGGGGCACCTGTCATGATGTCAGGCCCAATTTGGGGGTCCATGGAAGGTCTGGGAGGTCAGGCTGGGTGGGCATCAGGCATGCGAGGTGCAGGGAGTGGGGCTGGAAGGGCTCCTGAGAGAGGGAACAGCCTGTGCAAAGGCTCAGAGGGAAGAAGGACAGGCACAGCGTATCCCCCAAACAGAAGGTCGTCCGTAAAGAGTCTCGGATGAGTGTGCATGGGTGTTGACCTGTCTGGGTGTGGTGGGTTGAATTCTGAGTGAGTGTCCACCAGATGACAGGAGCTGTAGTTCATAGTGATCAGAGTTAGCTGCCGCTGTCACTGGGGCCTGGGAAATGTGAGAGAGGGAGCCCTACAGAATGACACCATTGCAGGTGGCAGGAGAAAGGCACCCCCACACACGACAGGCTACAGGGCACTAGGCAGGGCTCCCAGGAGCCTGGATTTGCCAAAACCAGCAGTTCTGGAAGAAAGCAATGGGTCAGGTGCTGTCCAGAAGCTAACATCCAGGGCCACGTGGCGCACCATGGAGGGGCTGCTGGTGACCTTGGCAGAGCAGCTTTGATGGGATGGAGGGCAGGGCTGGACCACACCAGGTAAAGGAGTGGACGGCACGTGCGCAGGGGAGCGCAGGTGTGGCTGTGGTTTTCAGACACCAGTGGGTGTCCCTGTGGGGAACTTGATAATCAAATCCTAATGACTGGGCCCACCCCCAGGGCTCCTGAGTCAGTAATTGGGGTATTGAAGTTGGGGGTATAAAAGCCTCAGCCCTGCTGCTGCTCCCACTTTGAGAACAGGAGTAGATCACTCTCGCAGGATGTTTGGTAAAGAGGAGAGAAGATGGGATGGTAGGTAGAGGGGAGTGTGGATCTAGGACCTTGAGGAGGTTACCAGGCAGATGTGGAAGGACCTAGATACTGGGGATGGCAGGCCCAGGACAGGGCCCTCCGTGAGGGAAGCCCCTGGGAAGGCAGAGGGGAGGCTGACCGAGGGTGCAATGGGAAGCTCCATGCTGTAGCCAGCAGGGGCACCGGGCAGGGCGGCAGATGTACCCGGAAACCCCTGAAGGCGGCAGGGGTGTGTGGTTCCCCATGGCTGCCTTGTGGCGCGGGGGCAGCTCTGTCCCCTTCACCGCCTCTGCTCAGTGACCCTGCCTGCTGCCATCACAATTCCGGCTCTGCACTGGGACTGGCTCTGAGCCTGCTTCCCGGTTCTCCCTGCCCCTTGGACCCCTCTGCCTCCTGACGACAGGAACCCCTGTCCGTGGAGCCCAGGCCCTGGCTTCCCAAGGGCCCTGCCTGCTGGAAGTAGCTTCTGGACCTGGGTGTGCCATTCAATGTCTGACCTCACAGCGGCCCCCGGAAGGAATGGGTTCCTGTTGTGTTCATAGTTTTACTGTTTTCTCTGAAGAATAGAATATATTGGAAGGGATCTGGCTGGTTCTGAAACCAATACGACACCCTTCTCCAGAACTCTGGGGAATTCTCTCAGTTGAGATCTCTTTCTCAGAACTGCGGTGAGAACAGCTGAAAGGCCAGAGGCTGATCTCGAATTAGCATGTGTTGGCTCGGAGACCCCCAGCTCCCAGTGCTGGCAGGGGCACAGCACGACCGCCTGCAGGGCCTGTCCCTGGGCGCCCGCCTGGCAGCAGGGCAGCATCTGGTGATGAAGGGGCCGCTAGAGCCCTCGGGCCCACTGTCTTTGACCCCATGGCCTGGGAGCACTTTTCAATTCACGGCCGTGTCTGGGAGTCTGGAAGTCAAAGAAACCCATTACCGTCCACAGAGGGAAGGCCGTGCCGCCAGCTGCACCACCAGCTGTCCCCTCCCCAGGCAGCAAGGCCCCTCTGACTAGACAGCAAGGAGCACCCCTTCACAGCACGACCCCGCAGCCCGGGCGAGGCAGGGTCAGTAGTGCTCCTCCTTGTTAGGACAAATGGCGTAGAAAGTGCCCTCGGCCTCAGTTTGGATAAAGAGAGGAGGCTGCAGAAGGCGGGCTCTGTCGGGGAGGAGCTGACTCTGGGGCGGGGCAGGGGGTGTGCTGGGGAAGAGGTTTAACCCAAGAGGGGGCGGCCTCCACGAGGGTGGGCTCCGTGAGCACTCGCATGGGTGACGGGCCGTGCACACTTCCCTTCCGGCTTAGGTCAGGTCAGATGCCATTCTCTTTCCTGTGGTTTGAGGCTGTACTCTTCAGCCAGTGTTCAAGGAGTGAGTTTCTTTTGATAGCAGGAAAGTGATTGAGAAATTACCAGTTTGATCTTCTTGTCTGGGTGGCAAGCGTATGGTTCAGGGGCCACTGACGACGGTGGCCCTCCAGAGGATGTAGGACAGAATCCCCCTGTCGTGGCACTCTCGCACTCTCACATGGAGACCGGACAGACACGAACTCCTTTGAGGCTTCTGCAGAGGAATCGGGCCTGGTGATCTGGGTGGGCTGGGGTGCGTGTAGAGGGGGAGGTGATATGGGGGGGCTTGTCGGGCTGGGGTGTGTGGAGGAGGGGGAGGTGATGTGGGGGGCCTAGGGTGTGTGGAGGAGGGGGAGGTGATGTGGGGGGCCTGGGGTGTGTGTGGAGGGGGAGGCGATGTGGGGGGCCTGGGGTGTGTGTGGAGGGGGAGGCGATGTGGGGAGCTGGGGTGTGTGGAGGAGGGGGAGGTGATGTGGGGGGTTGGGGTGTGTGTGAAGGAGGGGGAGGTGATTTGGGGGACTGGAGTGTGTGGAGGGGAGGTGATGTGGGGGGCCTGGGGTGTGTGGAGGAGGGGGAGGTAATGTGGGGGGCCTGGGGTGTGTGTGGAGGGGGAGGCGATGTGGGGGGCTGGGGTGTGTGTGGAGGGGGAGGCGATGTGGGGGGCTGGGGTGTGTGGAGGAGGGGGAGGTGATGTGGGGGGCCTGGGGTGTGTGTGGAGGGGGAGGCGATGTGGGGGGCCTGGGGTGTGTGTGGAGGGGGAGGCGATGTGGGGGGCTGGGGTGTGTGTGGAGGGGGAGGCGATGTGGGGGGCCTGGGGTGTGTGTGGAGGGGGAGGCGATGTGGGGGGCTGGGGTGTGTGTGGAGGGGGAGGTGATGTGGGGGGCTGGGGTGTGTGGAGGAGGGGGAGGTGATGTGGGGGGCCTAGGGTGTGTGGAGGAGGGGGAGGTGATGTGGGGGGCTGGGGTGTGTGGAGGAGGGGGAGGTGATGTGGGGGGCTGGGGTGTGTGTGGAGGGGAGGTGATGTGAGGGGCTGGGGTGTGTCGAGGGGAGGTGATTTGGGGGGATGGAGTGTGTGAAGGGGGAGGCAATTTGGGCGGCTGGTGTGTGTGGAGGAGGGGGAGGCGATGTGGGGGGCTGGTGTGTGTGGAGGGGGAGGTGATGGGGGCTGGGGTGTGTGTGGAGGGGGAGGTGATGGGGGCTGGGGTGTGTGTGGAGGGGGAGGTGATGGGGGCTGGGGTGTGTGAAGGAGGGGGAGGTGGTGCAGGTGAAGGTCACAGCACCAGCTAAGGCGCATGGCAGGACAGCCTGGAGCCTGGCTGTGGGAGCTTCAGCACCCCAGGGCTGAAATCATTTGGGCAGATATTTTATGGCTTTGGATGTCAAACTGTAGAAGTGCCCTTGAGGAGTTTGGCGTCTTGGGTGCGACCCAGTGATGCTTTAGGAGTTTAATTTGGTGGCAGCATGCCAGGTGGAAGGGAACCTGAGTGCGAGACAAGGAGTTGTGAGAAGGGAGAGGGACCAGCAGAGTCCAGGAGCAGCACCAGGTCCTGACACTTACGATCCACATAAAATCTGTTAGCAAAGTGTCTTCAAAGTTTGCCTTGAGCCACCAGCCTAAAATTTTAACTCACATTTTCCATAATCGCTGGAATTGCCCCAAACGAAGAGCTCTTCATAAATCTGTTTCTAATGGTTGGCCTCACCCAGGAGTGGGAAACTACAGAATGGGGCAGAATTTCCATGCAAGTGTCTTAGCTTCATACAATTTGAATTATTTGTTGAAAAGCCAACTTATTTTCCAGTTACGATGACTGTTCAGAATAGCACATCTGCAAACCAGTAAGACCCAGGTGAAGTGATTCCCACAGCGTCTCCTGTCAACAGCCCTCTCCCCGCTGTCCTTCTGTAAGGAGCTGTGTTTATGAGCTTCCTCACTGAACTCAAATTTCAACTTAAATTCTATGCCACAAATATATTTCTTCCCCACCCTTTTCTACTGCTGTTATAGTTCATCAAAAATGCTGTATGAAAGGAAGTGCTATTTTCCCCATGGCTTAGCGTGGCAAGGTGGCTTCTGACATCAGGGAAGGGCCACATTTAAATTAAACTCTTGACAGTCTGCTTGCGAGAGGTGATAGATAGGCTCCCAGGAGCTGCCTCCTCTGGAAACCAAATCTGACCGGGAGCCAGAAGGAAGTGAATGATGCTTCTGCACAACATGAAGTGAATCCAGTTTCCTCCTGACCTTGTCCCACTGTATATTTTCTTTCTCTTGTTTTATTTATATTTCTTTATTACCAGAAGATTTTCTTTTAGACAGCGGAGTTCTAAGTTAACCACCCGTCTACGATCCAAAAGAAAAGCCAGTCCGAGAGAGGGTTAGATACGGGAGGGGAGACACAGGATGAAACAAACCGTTAGGACATTGTTCGCTCTTTGTGATTCAGTGGAAGGTTCTGGACAGAGATTTCCAGGACTGGTTATTGGCACATAATGACTTCAGTGAAAAAGCAGGTGGGTGCTGATGGTGGGGTGAATTCTCCCTCACCGACTCCCTCCCAGCAGAATGAGAGGGCTAAGGAAGAAAAATAGTATGGACCGTATTATGCGAAAGCATCTTAGTGAGATCAAAGGACGCACTTGGGCAGCTCTCCGTCTTCTCTTTGTCTCGGAACCACCTCTCGAGCCCCACGCTGTGGGGGCAGCTCACACCCTTTGTGTGGGTGGGAAGGCTGCAGCCCCAGCCCCCGCCCTGGTGTCAGCCTGGTTGAAGAGGAGAGATGAAGGAGACCAGCTATCTGATTGAAGTGGCGGGAGATAAGGGAGGCAGAAATGTAATTACCTGAGCTGGAATCAGACCAAGTCGCAGGAGCCCCCCTCACCTTCCCAGTCTCCTCTGGAGCTCATTATTTGCAAGTGTATCCCCAAAGCAATTCTGAAATAACACAGGGATTCAAAAAATTGTTTTCTGAGGTAGCATGGGGTGCATGGGGGTGCTCATGCAACATGTGTGTAGCTGGCATCACATCCAAACATCGCATCCGGGAGGCCCTGATGCCCTCTGAGGTGGAAACCATGGCCCACGCAGAATGGGCAAAATGAAGATGGGGCAGAGAGCAGAGGAGGTATAGCCTTCCCCTTATTCTGAGGCCTCTCCAGGCGGAATCGGAGTATATCCAAGAAGAAAGCTGAAAAAAGCAGGGCGTGGTAGCTCATGCCTATAATCCCAGCTACTCAGAAGGCTGAGGCCTGAGGATCGCTTAACCCCAGGAGTTCGAGTCTGCAGTGAGCTATGATTGCACCACTGGACTCCAGCCTGGGCCATGGAGCGAGACCTTGTCTCTAAAATGTATAAATAAAGAAAAGAAAAAGAAATCGAAAGCCACAAAAGCTCGATGACTGTGCAACTCGTAGGCTCAGGTGGCTCTGTGGCCCTGCCAGGCTCTCTGATTGCAAAAGTTCAGAAAAATAGGCTTTCGGCCAGGGGCGGTGGCTCACACCTTGTAATCCCAGCACTTTGGGAGGCCAAAGCAGGCGGATCGCCTGAGGTCAGGAGTTTGAGACCAGCCTGGCCAAGATGGCAAAACCCCATCTCTACTAAAAATACAAAAAACTAGCTGGGCACGGTGGTGGACACCTGTAATCCCAGCTACTCAGGAGGCTGAAGCAGGAGAATCGCTTGAATCCGGGCAGCGGATGTTTCAGTGAGCTGAGATCGTGCCATTGCACTCCAGCCTGGGTGACAGAGCAAGACTCCGTCTCAAAAAAAGAAAAAAGAAAACTAGACTTTGGCCTTGGCAAGGACAACTTGAACCCTCACACCCCACCTCATAAATGTAGGGGAGAAGAGTGGAGGTGTGGATGAACGTCTCTCAGCGCTTCCCACCAGGAGACAAGTTTAAGCGCCTACACTACTGGAGGCTGCTGTGCTGCGTTCCCACGGACCAGCCGCCTTGACGCTTTCTGTTTCTTACTGTAGGTTACAAGTATAGGTCAGCAGGTGGCCGAGTCCAGCTCCGGGGACCCAAACACCAGTGCTGGCTTCAGCACTCCAGGTAAGCTTACCTCTTTCAGCTCCTGAAGTGGGGTGTTCCTGTTTTCAAGGGTGTCTCTTTTTCGTCCTCGTCCTATTCTCTTCTCTTCTCTTCTCTTTTTCCTCCTCCTCCCTCCATTTCTTACTCTTTAAGAGGGTGGAGTTTGCAGCAGTCTTTCCCATTAAATACCCTGTATATCCCCACATTTCTTCCTGTGTCTGCATCCACTACAGTCAGCATATGCAGGAGATCTCCTGCGCTCTCCGGGGAGACCTTGTCCTCCTCTGCCCCACTTTCTCACTTGAGGGATATGGATTTGAAGAAGAGCACGACTCCATCTAGGGTCCCCTTTCCAGAGCCAAAGTTGTACCTACCGGGCAAATGTCCACACGGCACCTCCCTCTGAAGAAGGTGGCTGGGCTGGGCGGCTGGCAGGAGGGTGCAGGCTGGAAGTCATGTCCTTGAGGGCATTGAAGGACACGTGTGCAAGGGTCAAATCCCCAGACACAGAGGGTGGGTGTCGCGTGCAGAGCCGGGGCGGGGGAGGTGGTCTAAGGCTCCAGGAAAGCAGAAGGGCCCTTAGCAGCAGAGGGAGAAAGGGCACGGAGGCCAAGTGAGCCAGAGAGCCACCATCTTGAGGCCCCTGCGAGGGGTCACATGGGCTGGCTTATTTGGAGAACAAAGTTAGATAACTCATGTGATCCCACAGAGGGCCAGGATGATCGCCCCAGGGCGCTCTGTCCCCTGCTGAACACTCACTCAGCATCTAAGAGAAACAGGAAGGAGCCATCTTTCTGAGGCCACCGGGGGTTGTAGAGCGCAGCATCTTTGCAGTCGTGGGATTTGGAAGCAATCTTTTCCTTCCTTTGGTCACTCCAAGCCATCAGAGGCTGTTCAAGAAGGTATTCAGTGACTTTCCCACGGCCAACCCAGGGTACAGTGTATCTCAGTCACTGTCACAGGGCGGCCACACCTGCAGCATTCCAGGGTTTGGGCTGAAGGGGGCTGGTGCTACCTGAGCCCCTTCCTGTTTCCCATCTCAGGGCAGGTGGAAATAGACAGGGGTGCTCCTCACCCAGAATTCAGCAGGGCTGGATCTTCCTCCCTCCTGGGACCTCGGCGGTGAACTCTACAGCTGACCCAGGGACCAGCAGAGCTTCCAGCACCGAGGCTTCTGCTGGGGTACAGGGGTCAGGACTCTCCTGAGTAGAGGACCACCTTGGTGGCTGTGTGACCCTCAACCCTTCCCTGTCTAAGCCCATTTCTGCAGCTGTAGGGTGGGGGTAACCTGGGGCTGCCTCACAGACGGACAGGAAGGATGAAGTGGGAGGTGGCCTGAAAAGCCTGTTGCCCATGGGCAGGCTCACAGACGCAGGGAAAAACAGAAAGGGATGGCAGGAACAGACCCAAAGCCCCCACGCCTGGAGGAGTCCAGGCTTCTGTGATCTATGAAGTGTCCCCCATGCAGGCAACTCCACTGTGGCGCCAGGAGGGGGCTCTGAGGGCACCTGGTGATGGGAGGGGAGAGTGCAGGAGCAGCTTATCACACTGTCACATGCATGCACACCCCGTGGAGATGGTATTAAAACAGACTCCGATCCAGCCCCCGTAGAGTGGTTCCCGGCAAGAGCCCAGCCCTGACCAGCATCCCGGTCCAGACCAGCAGTTCTTACAGTTTGGAGGGCATCAGAATTCCCTGGAGGGCTCGCTTCAACCCCGGTGGCTGGGCCCAGCGCCAGAGTCTCTGCTTCCATGGGTCTGGGGTCCAGCTGAGAGTCTGCATTCCCCGCTTGTTCCCAGGGCAAGGCTGCTGCTGCTGCTGGCGTGGCGTCCACACCCTGAGAGCCAAGGCCAGTGTCTGGTGGGCGGAGTTTATCCCACCTGCCTGCACCACCCTGTCTGGCTGCACTCCAGGCCCGGGGCTGCACCCCTGCAAGGGCGGGCCTGAGATCTGGCCTGCCGCGACCTGGTGGGGATGCCTTGATGTCCCTTGGGGCTGCTGTGTACCCCTGCACTGGCCCTGTTCACCCAGACCAAAGCGTCTTGTGACCAAAGTGTCTGATTTCTGACTTTTAGTCTCTTGTGTAGTGTGAAGGGTCTAAGCCCCCGAACCATGCCATTCCTGGAATGATTTCTGGGAGCTCATCTGGTGCCCCCAACTTTCAACAGCATAAAGCAGCATTTGTCAATCTTATCCAGTGTTTCCGCACCCCCAGGGTTTCAGAGTTCATCTAGGTCTGGAGTTTGAGGGGCAGGCCTGTCCCACGACAGCGTCCCCTGCGGCCGCCCACTCTAATGCCATGTCCCTTCTCTTGCAGTACCAGCTGACAGCACAAGCCTCCTGGTGTCCGAGGGCACTGCTACGCCAGGTTCCAGCCCATCCCCCGATGGCCCTGTGGGCGCCCCAGCACCCTCCGAACCTGCCCTTCCCCCTGGCCGCGTGTCTCCAGAGGATCCTGGCATGGGCTCACAGGTGCAGCCAGGTCCCGGGCATGTGTCCCGCTCCACCAGCGACCCCACCTTGTGCACATCTAGCATGGCAGGTAGGTTGGCCAGGCTCACCCATGTCCCCAGAGTGTGGCCAGCTTTCCTTGGATGCTGCAGGTCTCAGTGACCCCTGAGAGTGGAGGCCCGGCCCTGCAGATCCTGTCTGGGGCCACACTGGGAATGTGGTCTTGATGACCCCTGAGCCAGGGGTGGGTGGGGAGCAGCCTGTGGGCCCCTCTGCACCCCACCAGGCTTGTCACTCTGGCAGGGGAGGAAGGATTCAAGGGGCCCGGGGCCCAGTCCAGGACATTAGCTATAAGTGCTGCACACGTGCTCCAGGGCCCAGAAAAGGCCTAGAGTCTGGCACAGGACAGATGACCCCCAACGATAGCTCTGGGCATGGGGGTGTCTTCAGCTGGAGCCGCCCCACGCAGACACAGGTGCGTTTTCAGCAGCATTTCCCAGGCAGCTTGGCTCTCCACACAGCCCAGAGCTTTCAAAAATCGCCCCATGCGACTGTGTCTGCGGGCAGTGCCCTGGAGCCTAGGACCTGGCACCAGGTCCCTGTGGCCAGCAGCGCAGGAATTTGCATTTCACAGTAGCTCCCCGGGAGTCTTGGGCACCCCCGGCGCTGGAGAACTCACACCCAGTCCTCATCACTGTCTTTTGAGAGGAGGCACAGTTTCTGCCAATAAAGATTGGTGGGCCTTTGACCTCCATGCCATTGCTGTGGGGACTTTTCATGAAGTGGAAGTGCAGGAACCCTGAAGAGGGCGCAGTGGGTCCTGGCTCAGTCTCCCCTCGATGGTCTTGCCCAGCTGATCTCTACTGGAGCCCGGAACCGAGTCCCTGAAAGGAACCAGGGCCCGCAGTGGCCAGTTGCCTGGAGGTACCCTCCTGGTGGAAATACCAGGTTTGGCACATGTGGACTCCCTGGCTGCGGTCATCTCTGTATTCCTCCTTCCTGCATCCCATTGCCAGCTCACAGGGAGAGAGTCCCGTCAAACCTTCTGAAACACCCCCCTCTGCTGGTTTCTTGAGCTCCGGAACCTCTCTCCACCATGCTCACATTCACTCACTGAGGTTTGGAGGAGGATGCCCTGTACTTGGAGGGGCTCATGGGTCCACTCTGTGGCCCCCTGATGGCTTTGTTGGGCCTGTCCCTCTCAGTGAAATTCACACCTCGGCACCCACACACCCGCCTGACGCCTCTGTCCCCTCTTGGCTAGGCTGATGTGCACGCCGCAGGCACGTGCCTTCCAGGGTGCCTGGAGCCCTTCAGGTGAGGGTGGGAATTCCCATGAAGGGTGCTGGGCTTTCTTTGAGCCACTGGCCCATTGCACTGTGTCAGGGTGGGACCTGGGACACCACTTGACCCACGGCAGGCCTGGCCAGCTGCAGGGCGGTTCCTGTCTGATCTGCCGCTGGGTGGGTGTCAGCTCAGCAGGCTTCTCCTGCTTGCTCGCCATCTAAAATGTCTTAGTCACAGGCGGGTTATGATAGCTTTCTCAGGAATTCCTTTTTCCTTTCATGTGTTCACTGAATTCTCCTTCTGGTTAAGGCGATGCCTCTTCACACAGGCCGTCGTGTAGCCAGGACCTGGAAGCGGGACTGTCTGAGGCTGTGCCTGGGAGCGGTGAGACGCTTCTTTTCTAAAGCGCTTTGACTGCGCCTGCTGGGAGGTGGGGCGGGTGTTGGTGGGTCCTTGGCTACATTGTTTCCAAATGCAGCTCCTCACCCCACCCCCGGGAATGGGGGCTGCCCACTGTCTGGCTTTGAGGGCCTTTCTCTTCCTTTGTCTCTCGGTGCACTTATATCCAGGGCTAGCACTAATTTAACACACCTGTGACTGCTCAGCCCACTTTATGAGATTTCATCTGGGGTAGATGGGCCCCACCTGGGAGTTTCTTAATTTCTCATGTTTAATTGCTAGGCTTTCCAGTTGCCACCAAACAAGACACCAGAACAGACGACCCAGAATGTTCCAACTTTGTGTGGCGTGAAGCTCAGGCTGGGCAAGCCGGGCCTTCGCTGGTCCTTGTTGGCGTCCCTCGCCACTGACAGCCCGGAGCTGGCCGTCTTACAGGGACCCTCAGCCCAGTGTCCAGCCTGTGGGTCATGCAGAGAGGCTGTCAGCTCTGTGGGGAGCTGGAGCCAGGTCCCCAGCCTCTGGCCTGGCAGGCAGTGGAGCAGGGCACTGAGTGGTGGCTGCCTGCACCTGGCATGATGGGGGGGGCGGTCTCATGTTCCCTCTGCCACCCCCAGTTCTGGTCTTAAGGCAGACCCTGTCTCTAGATGCCATGATTCTGCCCCAGCAAGAGATCAGACCCAAAGGGGCAAAGGTCGTGGAGGCGAGAAGACTGGGAAGGACCAGCCCCTGTGCCCTTGGGATTCTAGCAGAGGGCAGAAGTGGGTCGCTGCCTGCTGTGGTGGCCCTTCCCCCCAGGCCTTCGCTCCTGGAGGCTGCAGCCCCTGGAGGTTGACACTAGTTCAGTTTGGGGTTGAGAAGGGGAGGAGGGATGGGGACAGCAGGGCATGCCCAGAGCGCCAGCCCCAGGAACACAGAAACCCCAGCAGGAGGCTCCTCCCGAGCAGGCTTTTCTTTGCTTTTGAGTTAACTTCTTATTTCAGTGAGTTTTGAACTGCACTTTTGCCCTTGATTTTTAGCTTCCATGTCTCGCTCTGCCACGGCTGCCTGTCGGGCCCAGCTTTCACCAGCGGGGGACCCAGATACCTGGAAAACTGACCAACGGCCAACACCAGAGCCCTTCCCAGCGACCTCCAAAGAGCGGCCACGCTCTTTAGTGGACAGCAAGGCCTATGCGGACGCCAGGGTTTTGGTGGCCAAGTTTTTGGAACACTCACACTGTGCCCTCCCCACCGAGGCACAGCACATGGTGGGTGCCATGCGCTTGGCTGTCACCAACGAGGAGCGCCTCGAGGAGGAGGCCGTCTTCGGCGCTGATGTTCTGGACCAGGTATGAAGGAGCCACATTTCTGACCGTGGACACCAACGCCTGGCGCCACAGATGTTCTTGGCAGAAGCCATCATGCCTGACAAAGAGGCCTTCAGGCCCAGCTTGGCGGAGGATAAATGTGGGGGGGACACCCAGGATGATCTGGGGGCGGTGTGGGCAGGGAACTGTTACCCCCTCTCTCGAGGGGAGCCGAGCAGTGTCTCTTTGGGGATTGCATTTCCTGCCTAGCCCAGTAATTCGGAAAGATGACTTTCACGTCCACAGTGAACTCTCTGGTTTTATCTGGCGTGCAGCACCTTGAACTGAGCAGTGTTGCACAAATGTGAATACAGCAACAGGCGACACTTACGTCACCTAAAGACTCAAAGTATCTCCAAAATCAGGGCCTTCCAAAGCAGGAGTCTCCCATCCCCCATTTAACTTAGTGTTCAGTGGACAGAGGGTGACATCGAGTCATGAAACATTTTCTCATGTGGCTCGATGGCTCTATCATTAGGCGTTCATCACGCTCTGGCCTATTTCCTGTGAAAGGAAATAGGTAGTGTTAGCACAGATGGCAGCCTGGGCCCAACTTTCTGTCCACAGGGCTATTGTGCAAACAAATGTGCAGTGCGGGCCTCTGCCATAGCCCGGCCCCCCCCAGGGAACAGGCCGGTGTTGCGGGGGTTGGAGGAACCCACCATCTCCTGGGCCTTGAGCTCGGCCTCCCTCCGTGGGGTGCCTTCCCCCCCTCCTCTTGGGCCCCCTTTCTCCAGGCTCCCATCCTGTCCCTGGAGCAGTTGTGTGATCCGTAACAACAAGTGCCGATTCCCAGCTCCTTTGTGTCTGAGCTCACTTGATTGAGCTCAGCGGGTCACAGTTCTGCAGGAGAGAGGCCGGTTTCTCTGAGAAGTAGCCCCTCCTGATAAAGCAGGTCCCTTTGACCCAGAGCTGACCTTTCCCCGGGCATGCGGCAGCAGACACACCTGCGCAGGAGGATCATAAACCACTTACAAACCCACGCGAGAAGGGAAGCAGACACCCAACGTGCTGCTTATGGAGAAGCAGACACGCCCAGCTTGGGGACAGCCTGGGGACCTTGGACTTTCTTAGCCCCCATCCCCTTGTTTTCTGGTGGCATCAGTGGCAGCTGCTCCCAACAATGGCCGTGGAACAGCGCCATCCACGAGAACTTTGTGCAGTGATGGAAATGCCTGTTCAGGGCCACTAGCAGCCACAGCCCCTGAGCTGCGTTGGGTGGGCCCTGCGGTGAACAAAACAGCCTAGAGGCCAAGGTCTCCCCAGAGAGCCCATGAGCCTGGCATGGGGGCACAGGGGGACCAGAGGGTGTCTTCCACTCCTGGGTGCCAGGGCAGGGGGCTCACGCTGCTGTTCCCTCGGCTTTGTGGGGCTTGTCCTTGAGCTCCCCCAATTCCCTAATGCCACTGTGGCCAGTGTGCTGGGGAGCTTCTGTGTGGCTGGAAGCTGGGAAGGGGGTGAGGTTCCAATCCAGGTGCCCAGAGCCTTCCTCCAGTCCTTTATCCCTGCCCTGGGGGCTGCGGTGTGGGACTCCTTCAGCTGTGGTCGGCTGAAAAGGCTTCGATTGCTTTAGAGAGCTGAAAACACATAAGCCAGGCCTTTTGATGACAACCTGCACTTTTGCAGGAGAGACGTACTAGAGATGAATTTTTGAGCACTTTATTCAGACTATAAAACAGGAAATCTCTAATTTTCCTCAAGTGGGGGCTTTTGAATTCCCTCAAGGCAAGTCCCTTTGCAGGTGAAATTAATTGGTGGATTTTCAGAATGGCCGCCCTGGAGCCGAGCTTCAGCCACGCCTGACGCCCTGGCCTCTGAATCTCCACTGTCTCTGAGGTGCGCTGGGGCCACACCGCAGGGGTTTCACCTGCTTGGGGGGGTCCACACTAGGGCTTGGGGGTTCACACAGCATTGTCCCTGGGCTGAGCCCTTGGGTGGGCTAGAGCTGCAGTCCTCAGACATGGCTGCAATTCCAGCGAGGCCAAGACCACCAGCCACCCAGTGGACTCGGTCTCTGGGGTGTTCTCCTCATGCAGCCGGGGCAGAGGCCTACTGGACCCCCTCAGCCTGCTGCTCAGCATCCTTCCCTTCTCTGCAGCAGGGCCCGGTCCCAATGGCCAATGGGGCTGCTGCCCCAGCAGTGCCTCCCTGCGGGCCCCTCACCTGCACCCCACCTTCACCCAGCTCTGGGTTTGCGCTGGTGGCAGCTCTGTTTTGTGGATACGGAAACTGTACCCAACTTGATGCCGCTGGGCTGGAACCTTCTGCCCCTTCGAAATGAGGCAGTCAGGGACGGGGTGGGGTGCCCCCATCAGCCCCGCTGCTCAGGGCCACTCATGGACTCTAGGAGGGTCCAGGTTCTGGGCTTCCTGGGAAGGTCCCCAGAAGAGAGAGGTGCTGGTAGACTAGGGAATGTGCTGGCAACTTGACCCAGCAGCTGTGGTCCCCTTGGCCCCGGCTCCACGGTATCCGGGTACCAGCAGCAAGAGCCCAGGCCCCGGGCTGCACGTCAGCTCACAGCCCAGGAGAAAGCTGGCTGCTTCCCCTCCCTATGCGTCTTTCCCCCGCTCCAATCATGCTCCCTCTGGGATCTGAAATGGGCCAACTGTGGCTGCTTTGGGGGTGACACGCTCCTTCTCCAACTCAGCTGGGCCCCGGGCATCCCCTGCCCTCCCCTGAGACCCAAAGGGGGTTGGCACCTGCTGTGACACCACCGTTGACCCCAGCCTGGGGGCCACAAGGTTGCTGAGTGGGGAGAACATGGACCCCAACTCTATGGCAAGCAAGATCGCAGAAGGGGGAGCATCATCCGCAAGGACTTCAGGTCTCCCTTGGCTGGAGATGAGGATCCACATTAAATGTTTGTAACACACCAGGCCACAGAAAGCTCGCTACACACAGATGCTTCTCCCCACCCATGCTGACTCTCAGAGGCTGCTAAGGCAGAATTTATAGGAAATTGTTTTCAAGCCACCAGAGACCTGTCTGTACAACTGGAAAGGCTGTATTTATTTAATGTACCTCAAGGTGTTTTAATAATGATCCGTGTTTTAATAAAAAGAAGTATTTCTGGCCTCTGTGTCTCTGAGGTCTAACTGGGACAGAGGCAGGCTGAGAGGCTGTGTACCCCAGTGGCCAGGGGCAGGGTCCTGAGAGGACCTTGCAGTAGCCAGCCGGGGAGCCTGAGATACCCATGCCACTCAGCTGTGCTTCCAGAAGCCTTCCGGAGAGGGTCAACTCCGGGGCAGAGTGGGGAGGGCCAGGGCCTGGACACACCCACGCCCGTCCACGCTGGCCATGGCAGCCCCTCCATGGACATGGCCTCCAAGGGCTGCTGGGAGGAATGCAGGCCATGGCTCAAATGTTTTCTTAAATACAGGTTTTTTAAAGATGTGTATGATTTGGTGGGAGTCCTGCCTGCATGTCCTCAGCTAGCCAGGGCTCTCTCCCTGGGACCTGCTTCCCTGCCTTGTCCTGGGCACAGCAGGAATGTCCCCCTTGGCCTCCTGAGTGGAATCCCGTTCCCTCCAGCTTTGACTCAGGCGACATTTCTCTTCATTCCCCAAGGATGTGGCCATCCCTGGCATTCTTGTTTGTTGGCCACGTCGAGAATTGTATTTGCTTTTCATTCTTAAGCATATTCATTCAGAGCGAGTGCATATACATTTCGGCATATACGCAGCTCTCTGTGACAGTCTCCTATGGAACAGCTTTCTTTGCCTCTACCATGTATACTTTCTGGGAAGAGGGAGGCACAAAGCTGGTGTGCGCCTTGAAAGGCTGTCTCTTTTATATGCCCCTGATGGCCAAGGTCATGCTGGAGCAAGCCCTTGGCCCACACCCTCTGGGCGGCTAGGTGAGAGTAAGTCTTCTCCTTACTCTGCAGTTCCCCAAGAATCCTGGGCCGTGAAGGTGGTCAGTGCCCACAGCAAGGAGCTCACGCTGCTGTGGGCAGGCCAGAGAGGAGGGCTCCTGCCCATCCAAGACCCACAGCCTAACCCAGCTGGACCCCAGGCCACCGCCTCTGAACAAAGCCCATGCTTGCTACCTGGCTTTCCCACACCAGGTGACACCAGAACGGTGGCCATGAAGAAAGGTAAGTAAGTGCTGGCAGAGCTGCCAGAATTGTCACTCTAGACAGGCTGCAAAGGACCCACAGGTGCAGACAGGGTGCTGGGATGGGCGGTCCGGCTTTTACACACGCACACGCATGCACACCTTTCCCAGGGGCCATTTACGTTGAAATCTGAAGAAGCCCAAGGCTCCCTGGCTCCCTCATTCCATTAGTGAGTGCTCTGCGGACGTGTCTCCCTGCTGGGGCAAGTGGGTCAAGAACCTGGCGCTGACCCCGTGACCTGGTAGCATTGCTGGCACCTCCAGTTGCAGCGTGGCGTTGCCCAGCTGACACCTGGTGCCCAGAGCACCCACCCACCGAACTCATTAGTGACAGCTTCCAAGGTTCAGGATCCAGGAGGAGCACAGAGCAGCTGTGGCTGCCACCGCATAGTGAATTTGCAGAGCCGCATCCAAGCTATGAATGAAAGGACAGGCGGGCACCTGCCGCTGAGGTAACAGACCAGTCACACACACGGCTTTTCATCACGACTTCAGGTTTATTAGTGATATGCGCGAAGTCTTCCTACGGGTAGCTGCATGCAACACACGGCACTCCTCGAATACAGTCATCCTAAAGCTTTAGTTACTGCGTGGTAAGGCTTCTTAAGTCACAGTGTATTCTTCAAGGCCTGGGCCAAAAAAAGAGACTTCGAGACAAGATGACGTCAGATTACATGGATCGCTAATGAACCGAGCTGGACTAGATCCGACTTGATCTACACACATGCCACTACTGCTCAGGGCCACTGCGCCACGCTGGCCAAGGGGTCTGCACTCACGGCTGGCTGCTTTAGGTGCGGCCAAGGTCGCGTTTTCTAGAGTGGGTTTCGTTTCCTCGGGGTCGCATGTGCGTGGATGTGTGTAGATCGATTTTAAAGAGGGGGCAGACACCTGTGCCCTCCTTGTCTCTGTGGGAGCCCTGGCCGGGTATGCAGCCGGGTGGGAGGGTGCCCAGAAGAGACGACGGGAGAGGCAGGTGTGGTCATTAGTCACATTGGAAAACCCTAGAGTCTGGAAAAAAGCCTGCCAAAATAAAAGTCCAAACAGTAATAATAGCATCTAAATAAATATGGAGTTTTCATGTTGTGGCCATCATCCTTTATTTACAATCAATCAATCAATCAATCACATGTCCCCAAACTTTCATTACAAGTCGTGTCCTGGGAGCCAGGCTGCCCGTGTCCCTGCAGTCAGTGGCAGAGGCAGCTGTTTGGGACCATTGTGGGGGCCCCACAGGACCCCAGACGTCCCAGCCAAGGGGGCGGGAGGCAGGGGTGACGGCTGCCCTGCCCCGGGAGCCGCGTCCCTCGGAGGCGCCAGTTCGCTCCGCACAGCTTCAGGGAGGAAAGACACACACTCCACACCACGCACAGCTACCGAGACACACCCTGGCTTGTGCAGGGAGAAGACAGTCCAGAACGTGGCAAAATACTTGGAACGCTTTACAAACAAACATTTGTTCTGTGACTCTCCTTTGATAAAGACATACCCCTTTTTGGCAAAATGAAAAAAATCAAGTGGGTGGTGAGGGCACACCCTTTGGGGAGCCAGCGTCCGTGGCTGGGCTGTGGCGTCGGGGTCAAGTCTGCGGCCCGGCTCCCAGCTCCTCTGGGCCCGGGCGGCCCTGCCCGGTGTCCTGGCTGCGTGGCCAGGCTGGGGTGGCCTAGATGTACAGCGGGGTCTCCTGACCCGTGAGGAGCCTGAACATGGCGGCGGGCATGGTCTTCATGTGGATCTGCGGACAGAAACAGGAGGCTGAGCCGCTGCCCTCCCACCTCCCCTCCCACAATCAGGTGAAAGCAAAGGACAGAGGCAAACCCCCCAGAGTTCTGCTTCAAATGCCCATCTCCTAGAGTGAAGGAGGAAGGCCAGCCTGCCCAGGCCTGGGGACACTTATGATGCCTTCCAGATGCAGCAGACTGAGACTCCAGGTCCCCACCCCTGGCTCCAGAGGAGTCAATACAGTTGAGTGCTAGTTTTGCTTCCAGTCCAGCTGACACCCGAGGGGTGAGAAATTGGACTTCTAGTGGTGACAACAGTTTGCCCATCCACTGGGGCTGGCTGGGGGTGGCCAGGCCTCGGCAGAAACTGCGAGGGATGCACTCTGCTTCAGTGAGGAGGAGCTCAATGGGGGAAGACACACGCACCCCTTCTTTTTTTTTTTTTTTTGAGACGGAGTCTTGCTCTGTCGCCCAGGCTGGAGTGCAGTGGTGCAATCTCGGCTCACTGCAAGCTCTGCCCCCCGGGTTCATGTCATTCTCCTGCCTCAGCCTCCTCAGTAGCTGGGATTACAGGTGCCCGCCACCACACCCGGCGAATTTTTTTGTATTTTTTAGCAGACACGGGGTTTCACCGTGTTAGCCAGGATGGTCTCAATCTCCCGACCTCGTGATACGCCCGCCTCGGCCTCCCAAAGTGCTGGGATTACAGGCTTGAGCCACCACGCCCGGCCTACACCCCTTCTTACAAAACACACACGGGCCAGGAAAGTGTGCTGGGGGCTGGGAACAGGCTCGCTGGGGCCCAGGGCACCTCAAGTTCTTAGCCTTTGGGGATCGGTGAGCAAATGACCCTTTGGGGCCTGGCCTCGAGCCCTGACTCCAAAGGAGCTGGGTATACAAGCAAGGCCTCAGACCGCCCCAGGGAGACCAACCGTGTGGGTGGCGCGCCTTGTAATCCTTCTTTGCGGACACTGGGAAGGAGCAGACTCTAAACGTCTGCTTCAAGAACGGAAAGGGAGCTCTACTGCCCACTTCTCCTCTGCTGAGCACGACGCTCTCCCCTGTCCTGCCCGGGACTGTGCTAGGCTGCGGCCTCCGGATGGGGGGCCCTCGCACTGCCAGGGTCAGCTGCCGCAGGCATGCTGGCCTCCCCACGGGGTGCAGCCGCCGTGCATCTGCCCCTCCTCAGGCAAGCAGGTCTCGGGCCCTGGGCTGAGCAGCCCAGAAAGGCACATCGCGCAGCTCTGCTTCTGAGCGTTGCCCTCCCTCCCCCGCCGGGATCTGTGTGGCCGATGTAGGTTTCCGCTGCTCCTGCTCCCGGCAGGGGCTTCCTCCATCAGCCATTCCCCGGCGTTCCTCAGCCAGAAACCCACCCCGAGGCCCCTCGCAACTGCAAGCCTTGTTTATCAGCGACTCATGTTCCGCGTGGGCTCAGAGCTGCTGGAAACAGGCACCATAACCTCGGCAGGGCTGAAAGGATTCCAACGCCCCGGCCGCCTCCTGCCTCTTCCCCGTTCTCCCGCCCGCTCCTCCACGGGTGGATTTCCTCACAGGTGTGGGGCTGCTGGCCGTGGGGGCGGCCGCTTCAAAGCATCTACTTGGGAACACTGGCTTTTCCTTTCTTTGAAGCCATCAAAGGGAGGCTGGTGTCCGCCTGGCCCCTCCTCCTCCTGAGCCAGACCCCTGCCCCCACCAGTCCAGGGAAAACAGGCCTCCCAGCTCCCAGCCGACCCTGCAGTGCACAAAATACCAGTGTCCCGATGTGGCTCCGGGAGACCTCATCCGAAGAACAGGAACTAGAGACCCCTCCACCCACCCGCCCACCCACAGGCTGCAAGGATGGTCGCCACGCACTCAGCCTCACAGAGCCACCAGGGGGAGCACCACAGACGGCCCGGCCTGCTGCTGCTGTCCCCAGACCCAAATTCCCTGCCCGGTCCCCAGCGGGCCCCTCTGTAGGCCGGGCTCCTCAGCTCTCAGCCTCCCGCCTCGTGCGGCCACCACGCTTCCCAGAGAGCCTGCAGCCCCTTTGTGCTGAACACCCCTTCACACACCCCTACACACACACAGACACACCCACTCACACTCTCCTCACACCCCATGCCTCACACCCACTCACAGACCCACAGCCACAGCCGTGCACACATACACACTCATGCTTGACACCCCATGCTCACACACCCACAGCCACACACCCCTGCACACACCCACACTCGCACTCCTACACACCCCATGCTCTCACACACACACGTACATCCGCATACACTCACCCACACACACACTCCTCCACACGCACACTCTCAGGTACATTCACACAGCCACACACCCACACCCATCCACTCATGCACCCCTATACACCCACATGTGCACGCGCACTCATTTCCCACACCTACCCACACTTACCCACACTCATACATCACATCCCACACACACCCATGCTCTCACACATCCACATGCACACACCCACACTCGCTCACACTACACACACACACACACGCACACCCGCTGCGCACTGGCCAGGCCTCCCCCGGTGTATGTGCCACCTCCCCAGCACCATCCCCCCTCCCAATGATCCTGCCGCCTTGTGAGCTCTGGAGGAAAACCTGCACCTCCCCCACACCATCCTCACACTGCCGTGGAAGCGATGCCAGAAAGAACTGGACTGCGGGGGGTTCAGCCAGTGAAGTGGGACAGGGCAAGCAGCCTGGCTGTGGGAGGGGATGGCCAGCAGGGGCAGAGAGGCAAGCCTGCCAGGGTGGCCAGAGCTGTGTGCCCTGCAGAGCTTCTGAACTGGACATACAGGTCCAGTCCCAAAAGTAGTGTCCAGGGAGCACCCCCAGCAGCCTGTGCCCTCCCGGTTGCTCAGTTAGAGCCAGACCGGGATGGCTCCGCATCACCTGCCGCTCCATTCACCCTTGTCACAGCAGCCCCGATGGGAGACACAGCCTGGCTGACCTTCAGATGCCCTGTGTCCTCTGGAGCGGGGGAGGCTCATGGAGGGCAGGCGGGAGCACGTGGGAACCGGCATGCAGAGGCACACTCAAAGTCCCTCCTTACCTCTCCGACCGAGTTGGACAGAGCTTGGACTATCTTCTCGTGGGCTGTGGCCACCACGCTCTGCCCGTTGATCTCGATGATGCGGTGGCCCACACGGACGCCCCCTCGCTCAGCAATGCCCCCTCTCATGAGGCTGCAGATCTAAGCAGACATGGCCAGGTCAGCACACGTGTTCCCGCCACACCCGACAGGCGCTCCACCACGTCCCCAAAGATGGGACATGCAGAGGGAAAAGCGCCACATGATGAATACGTGCACGTGCAATTCGCTGACTCACAGACAGAGATCCTTATGATATGCAGTATGTTTCTTTAAAACAAGAGAGTTAATGCCATGGTGTGTGGGGAACCACCAAGTTTTCTGACTCCCACGGTGGAACCTGTCCCCCAGCTGCACCTCCCCCAGGGCCGCTCCCTTTGTGGTCAGGCTAGAGACTGGTGACACAGCCCAAGGCCACTGCCACCTGGCCTCCTACGGCACAGCCTGGTTACCATCCTGGAAGACAGGCACTTAGCTGATGGGCGGGCGGGAAAGGAGAGGCAGCCTGTCCCCTGGCCACCAGAAAGGTGGGGCATCTGTTCTGTCAAGGGAAGGCTCTGTTTGCCGGATGCCCAAATGGTCTACATCGACAGGGAAGAGTCACTTTATTCCTACATCCCCCCCCCGCCAAGTGACGTAAGGGCATTTTGTGCCAAACATACTGGTTCTGGTTTTGTTGGAGACAGGGTCTCATTCTGTCACCCAGGCTGGAGTGCAGCGGTGGGGGCTTCCATTCCAGCCTAAAAGTGACGCCAAACAGATGGACAGGAGGGCCTGGGAGCGCCTGTGACCACGAGACTGGACAAAATGGAAAACAGGCGCCGTGCACACCCGTGTTCACAGCAGCAGTGTTCACAACAGCCGAGGGTGACAGCACGGACTAGCGGAGAAACAGAATGTGCTCTAGGCCTGCAGGGAAACAGTACTCAGCCCTGGAGAGGAGGGAGAGTCTGAAGTGTGCTACAACACGGACAGACCTCGGGGACACTATGCTGCATGAAACAGGCCAGGCACACGAACAAACACTGTGTGATGCCACTGATATGAGGTACCTGGGGTAGTCAGAATCACAGAGACAAAGTAGAAGTGGGGGGCCGCCAGGGGCTGGGAAGGAGAAATGGGCGGTGGTGCTTAGTGGGGACAAAGTTCCTGTTGGGGAGGAGGAAGACGTGCAGGAGAGCGCAGTGGCCATGGCTGCCTGACATGCAGATGGACTGACTGCCACAGAACTCTGCACTTCAAAATGGCTATGATGCTCGATTTTAAGTTACAGATATATTTTACCACAGTTATTTTTTAAATGAAAACAAAAACCGGAAAAATGGATGTCCAAGGAGAATTAGGACTAGAAGAGAAGGGGGTGGAGAGAGGCAGATTCCATACCGCAAGGCAGCTCCTTCGCCACCCCAGGGCCCTCTTATCCTGGAGAAAGGAGACTGTGCTGAGCCCTGGGAGGAGGCGAGTGGCCTGGGATGGGAGAAGCACAGACTCACCTGTCCCAAACACACATGCGTGTACACACACATGCAGACACAGACAACTGTGAGGGGGCCTCCCCGTCTCCTACACACCAGCACCCAGATTTCTGCAGCTGGCCCATATCTCATCTGACTGCTCGCTCTGGGTGCTAAGCATTGCCACCTGCCACAGGGAATGTTTCTGTGGTCATCAGGGAGAACCGCTGCAGGTCGGGACAGGAGCTGATAGACTCCTAGCCAGGCATCCTCCAGCGCCTGCATATGCTCCCCAGGTGGCCAGGCACATGGAGGCTGAGGGGAACCCCAGTCCCTGCCCACCAGCTCCCGGGATACAAGGTGCCGAGTGGCTGCCCCAGGCCAGCTGGAGCTAGGACTTCAGGCGAAGGGCCTGGCAAGGACGGGAGGACACAGGTGAGAGCTTCACTGGGCATGGTGGGGATGGGGGTGCCCAGAGAGGTGACACCAAGGGAAGCGCCCCACTGCTGCAGGGCCGGGGACAGCAGGAGCCCGGGGTTCCAGGCTCCTGAAAGTAGAGGCCAGGGCCCTTGGGACTGCGGGTCCTATCCTGAGCACGCTGTGAGGGACGAGGGGCTTGGACCAGAGTAGCCAGCACCCTCGGGTCTCCTGAATGTTATCCCAGGCTCATTGCTCCCTGGAGGTCCCGGCTGGGCAGTGGAGCCCCAGTGCACCTCAGCCAGGCAGATGCCTGGACATGGCCCTGGGGTGGATGAGCCCTGGCCTGCAGGGGCACAAGTGGCAGCCACTGTGACAGCCTCTGTGTCTAGGTGCACAGAGGGCCAAATGGGGACAGCCAGACCCCTACCCTCAACCCCCACCATGACCACGGGCACTCATGGAGCAGGTGCAGAGGGTGTGGTCCGCACCTGGGGGCCTGAAGGGCCCGGTGTTTACCGCCAGGCAGCCGAGCCACTCAGAGATGGTGACTGATCCATATGGCCGCCTGCATGCCATTTTCTGGATCACTGGGGAGATGGATCATAACCATGCCTATTCATTTGCTTCATCTAACCCTCCCTGGCACTCTCAGGGTGAGCTGTCCTGTATCCTGGAGAAAGCCCCTGACAGCCAGCATTTGCCCCTCTCCTCGGCTGCCAGCATCTCCCCTGCATCCTGAGCACTGAGGCCTCAAGGAAGTGGGACCCCATTTCACAGACAGGGAGGCAGAGCCAGAGGGTGGAACAACAGCGCATCCACAAGCAGGGCTGGGACCTCCAGACCCTCCTCGTCCCCAGTCGTGACCCAGACCACCCCCCAAGTTTCACAGACGCTTGGCCCCCTCCATCACTCCGGAACTCAGACCCTAGACCCAGGGCAGAGACACCGAGCCGTGGGTGGCACCCTCTCTTTCGTATTGCCACCCCGGAGATGTTGTCTTCAGAATTGCACATGACTCCTTCCTCACTGCAGGCCCCGCAAGTCTGCTGCTGCCCTCAACCCTGCACCCCCTGATCTTCTGAGAAACCCCCTTCCGCACCACCACCCTCAGCTTCCTGGCCACTCGGACCCACCTTGCCCCATCTTTGGGAGCTACTCCAGACCCCTCTGCACCTGCCCAAGAAGGCAGCTGGAGCGAGCCCTGGTCCCCGTCTGCTGCCCTCCGCCTTGACTTCACACCTGCCCATTGCACTCTCCAGCTCTCTGGGAAGAAAGGCACAGAACCCTGCACCTGGGCTTGGCTGGGCTGCTCCAGGCTGTCCCCTCCTTTCCCATTCATGTTAGCCCCCACAAAACACAAACCGGAGTCCTTCCCTTCCTCATCTCTTCTCCCCCTCTCCCCACCAGTGCTCCACATGGCTGTGTGACCTGGGGCAAGTCACTAAACCTCTGTGTGCCCCAGCTTCTCCAGTTCCTGTGCTCCTCATGGGGTTATAGTTTGGGGAAGACCAGCAGACTGAGGGGGCATCAAACTCATCCCGGGCAGGGCTATATTCACAGGCCCTACGAGTAGGTAGCCCCCAGGCCACCCCATGGTGGGGAAAGCCAGCCTCTCCTGCAGGGCTCACAGCGACAGGGCTGTCAGTGAGCAGCACTGGCCACCAACCCAGGCCCACCTGCCTCCTAGGCTGGGCAAGGGGGTGCAGGAACAGGACAAGCAGCTCCCCAGTGCCACTCAGGAGGCAAAGGCAGTGTGGTCACCAGGTTTAGCCAGGCAGGGGCAGCCCAGGGGACACCATACAGCACCCCAGGCTCTGCACAGCACGGCTCCTCATGAGGGCTGCAGGGCTGTCAGTCCCCAGCTTCCTCCACTGTCCCCAGTGCTGGGGTGGGAGGCACACAGGCAGGGCCTGGTGATGGTCGGGGGTGCAGTAGCCCAGAAGGATGTCCCAGCCCTCCTCCCTGGGGCCCAGCCATGCCCATCCACAAAGTGCGCACAGCAGCTGCAGACAGGGCTCCAGCTGATTTTCTGCAGAGCCCCCAAATTAGCTGGGGCAACTGCTTGTGCCCAGGTCACATGTGTGCAGAGCAGTCAGGCAGAGCCGGACCAGGCCAGACCACCAGCTGGCGAGCTCCTGCGGCAGGCGCACTGTCCTGAAGTCCCAAGTGGGGTGCAGACAACTCGTCCTGGCACCTGTGCCAGGTCCAGGGGCCACGGGGCCTCCTCCTTGGCAGAGACGAGGACCAGCGGGCCCACCTTGGATAGCTTGGGGTACTTTATGGATTTTCTCAGCTGATCTTCACAAGCACCTTTTGAGGGGAATCCAGTGAGCGTTCAGTGACTTGTTGAGGGTCACACAGCAGGGAAGGTATGGCTGACGCTGGCGATGCCCCTGTCCCTCTTCGTTCTGGGCACCAGCTGGCCCCCACTTCCCAGCCTCCCCATGGGTCCGTGGCTGAGCTATCTGGCCAGTGGGCTGTGGGCAGAAATGACAAGGGCCACTTCTGCCCTGGCCCTGAAAACCTTCACAAGGTCTTCTGAGCTGCCTCTCTTCCTGCAGTGCCAGCGAGACACAGAGCACCCAGTGGGGGCTGCCAAAGCCCAGCTGAGGGCAGAGCCTGGGCCCCTGAGTGGCTTTGTGGAGTGAAGCTCACCCCCACCGCCCCCACTGCAAATTAAACTGCAGCATGAATAAGCAATAAGCTCTCAGTATATGGAGATTTGCAGACTCTTTTTTATAGCAGCAAATTTGCTCTGACACAGCAGGGTCAGAGATGGACCCTAAACCCAAGCCCTGGGACTCCACCCTGACGGTGGGTGTAACCCTCCATGCTGCTTCACCAGAAAACAATGGAGAAGATTTGGTAGTCCTTCTAGAATGTTCTCCCACTGTCTTTCCTGACTGTGGGTGGGCACACACCCTCCCCATCACCTCCACAAAACTCCCACTCCAGCCCGCAGTGTCTCTCCTCCTGGGCTCCTTCATACTCAGGGCTGGTTTAAACAATTTGGGTATTGCCAGCCCTTTTCTTCTTTACTCCACTTAGTGGCCACATCTCTGCCCTCTGGGTCTTTTGCAGGAGGAAAAACAAAGGAAAAAAGAATTCAGGCCAGTCAAATGCAGGTCAGTGAGAGGGTGGAAACTCTGGGCTAAAGAACTCTGGCCTGGGGAACTGGTACAGGTTTTTGGCCAGAACCACACTCACTCAAGCCCAGCATCACCTCCTCCAGGCAGCACTCCTGCCTTCCCATTGCCTGGTACAAAGCCTAACACAGAGCAGGTACTTCACAAATGTCTGCTGAATGGCTGAGTGAACAAGCGAATGATGAGTACATGAATGAATGAACGAGTGAACGTCTGTTTGTTGAGCACAGTAAGTGATGCCACAATTGGTTGTGTCCAAGCTACAGTGGCTGGTGAAGTCTGCTGCCCTCCCTCCAAAGCAGGGGACAACCACCATGGGGACAAGGGAGCCTGGGAAAGGCTGGAGGGGCCCAATCCACGGCCATGCCCTGGCCCTCCCCTTCTAGCCAGGACCTCCCAGAGAGCCATGGAAAGTTCCTGCCCCAGGTGGCCTGGCTGTGGGCAGCTGCAACCACAGGCCAGGTCCTACCAGGCTGCCAGACATAGCCTGCCCCATTGGACGGGAGCTGCTCCCCCTCCCTGGGCCCTGCAGTGGTGGTGGTGGCCCAGAGCAGGAGGGGGAACTCACAATTCCATTCTGCACGCTGAAGCCCAGCTGGTACTTGAGGTCTGGCCGCTTGATAAGGACCGTGGTGACCGGGGGACAGCTGACAATGTTGAGCTTCACCTGTGTCTGGTTCTTCAGGCCCTGCAGAGCACGGGGACAGGAGTCACAGGCTGGGCCTTAGACATCAAGCCTGACCCAGGATGAGCGAGGCTGGCAGGGTGGTGGAGGCCGGGGACAGTGAGAACACACAATGGGAGAGGCAGGCAGTCCCCTCTCAGCCTCGGTAGCCCCTCTGTGCAGCGGGGACAAGCCTCGCCCTGGCCCTTACCAGAGCTACCAGGTTTCCAGGGCAGCACTGCGCCCTCTGTCCCACCATGCGCAGGGTGCCTCTGCCCTGGGGAAGATTAGCCACTGCAGGAGCGAGCCCAGGTTCTGAGTGCCACTGGGCAGAACCAACGCACCTGGCACCAGGTCACCCTCAGGGTGTCAAGGGGGCCATCATCATGCCGAATTCGGGACAGCTTCCTACGGAAGGATGTGGAGACACCTTCCTCAAAACCCAATGCCCTCCAAGGACGGACCTCCTGCAGGGCAGGGAGTGACCGCACAGCAAATCTCTGTGAGTGAGGACGCAATTGTCAGCGGGTGCGCCAGGCCGCCGGGGTCCGGTGGGGGTGAGGAGGCACAGGGAGGAACCCAAGCCTCCACCTGGGAGCTGCAGCCCTGGGAGGGGGGGCCTCAACTGCTGAGCCCTCTGGTGCCACTGGTGGAGGCCTCTCCCATGTCTCTCTGTGTGGCTGCCCATCGGGCAGAAGCTCTGCCAGGCCAGCTCCGAGAGCCAGTCTATGGGATGCTCTGGCCTGGGGAATGCCCTTCATCTCTCATGCCGAACAAAGAGGAGGAAGGCGCTTCCTCCAGCACCAAGACCACAGCAGGGTGGGGAGGAACATGCCACAGAGGGCTGGGGGCCAGGCCACAGCTGGGTCACAGGAGCCGCCAGCAGCAGGCAGAACCCACTCCTTCGCAGGCGGCCAGTGTGAAGGCCCCCACCCTAGCTGCCGGTGACCCTTCTGCCTGACCCCTCACAGCGACAGGCAGCACCTCCCAAAGCTGCAAGCTCACGAGTCTGACGGTCAGGGTGGCCTCCTTACTTAAGGGAACCTGCGTCCCAGAACCCAACCCATGCAGGGTGCCCCACCTCCCCAGCCCACCAGCACTGAGGGGGTTTCCCAGAAGCCGGACTTTCAGTGCTAACCTGGCAAAGTCCCAGGCAAAGCAGGATAAGCTGGTCACCCTATACTCACTGGTTCTTGGGCCCTTGCCCAGGGCCACATGGCTCGGTACAGGGCTCAGACAACCCCTCCCTTCCCACCCCAGGCCAGCCCGGGTCCACCTCTGATTCAGACATGGGGAATGGTCTTGAGTTCAAATTCTGATACCATCATCGACCAGTCACCGGGTGGGTATCCCTGGGCCTCAGTTTCCCCATGGGTGAAGTGGGGATTGCAGTGAAGTGGGGATTGCAGCAAAGTGGGGATGAAGTGAGGCAGGGTTGAGGTGACCCCTGGGCGGAGGATCCCAGGGTGCCTACCTTGATGATGCCTTGGCAGGTGGCGAGGGGCAGCCCCACCAGGCTGGTGCCATTGATGGACATGATCTGGTCCCCGATGCTCAGCTTCCCCGAGCGGGCAGCCGGGCCGCCATTCATCATGTTGGCCAGGATCACCGTGGGCAGGATGGAGCCCCAGCCCGACTCCACCACCACCACGCCCAGGATCTCGCCCTTGTGCTTCTCCAGCTGCAGCTGCAAAGGGATCAGCAGTGTGAGAGGGGCTGGCGGCAAGGACCGAGGCCTCTGCCAAGGACCCACAGGAGGATGAGGCTGACCCTGTCCTGGCACATCCCGCCCTGCCCTGGGATCCAAGGCTGGCTCATCTCAGCCAGGAGAGGTCTTGGGCTGGGAGCCCTGCCCACCCACCCCCAGCCTCACCCCAGTCTGGCTCCCACACCTTCCTGGGGTCCACCCAGCAATCCTGGGAACCTGGAAGCACAGACCCCCTATCCCCACCCGTGCCTGGCATTGACCCCAACCCCACCCGTGCCCAACACTGATCTTCCCACCCCAAGCAGGGCTCCAGTGTCCTGGTTCCTGCTCCTTCCACACCCACAGAGGCCAGAGGAATGTTCTCAGGCTCCCATACCCATATCCTGCCCCCGGCCTTCACTCTTGTTGGAAAAGTCCTTCTACTTTTATTTCCTCTCAAAGGTCACTGTCTCAGAAACTGCCTGGAATGTCTTCAGCAAGAAACCAGGATCATGCATTCACCCATTCAACAAGCAGCAGAGACCATCCACTCATCCACAGCAGACACAATCATTCAGCCATTTAACAAACAGTCCAGGTATGGGCCATCCCCAGGGAATTTGCTCCTCTGCCCATAAGAACTTTCCAAAGTCCCCTGGGGGAAGCCACTGGGACCAGCTAAGGCCTCTGCTACTGGTGGCTTCCAGCCTCCTCTGCCAGAGCCCCCAAGCTCCCTTTAGAGATGCCACATGCTTTTCAGAAATATCTCCTGGGTGCTGAGTGCTGGTTGATGATAATAGCAGCATTAAAAGGCGCATTTTCGAGGTCATTAAAGCTGACTGTAATCAGCTTCTTTGTTACAAACACCTCATTTCACACCCAAGTGCTCAGCTGGAAGGCAGGAGCGAGGTGCACATTCCGGGCCCCACTGGAGTCTGATAGGAAGGCAAGGGTGTGCGTGAGGACCCCGGGAAGGCTCGCTCTGCAGGAGCTCAGGGAGCAGAAGCTGGCAAATGTGGCCTCCCTGAGGCTGGTGGGTGTGGCTTACCTCCTTGCAGTTCTCCGAGTTTGAGAAGTGGATGAGGTCGTCGTTGTACATCTCCTGGGTGTTGATGATGTCGCTGTATTCCTTCTGGCTCAAGTCTTCGGGGTTGATGCCATTGGCTCGCAGGAACTCCTGGTAGGCCACGCTGAAGGCCTGGCCGATAGACTGGGCGATGAGCTGGGCCTGTGCAGAGGGCAGGCCAGCTGGAGACAGGCACGTGGCACAGGCTCCCCGCAGCCTCCTCAGCAGGGGGCTGCGGCAGGGCTGGGTGCAGGATGCACCCATAAGCCTTCAAGGGAGCCCTTGCTCGGGCTTAGAAGAACAAGAAAGAAACTGGGGGCCCTCCCTCATCTGATGAAGGCTGTCTCCCACCAGCACTCCACCGTGAGCGAACCCCAGTGTTGCCCTGAACCCCAAAGGGTCTACTCCTGACTGTCCCTGCCTAAGCTGTGGCACGGCCCAGATGCTCCAGGTCAAAGCTGTTTCAAAGAAAGTCTGGGACAACAATGAATTATTTACTACATGTCATATTTTTGTTGCTTTTTTTTTCTTTCGAGATGAGGTCTGGCTCTGTTGCCCAGACTGGAGTGGGAATGTAGGTGAGCACAACCACATCCAGCTAATTAAAAAAAGTTTTCTTGTAGAGATAGGGGTCTTGCCATATTGCCCAGGCTGGTCTCAAACTCCTGGACATAAGTGATCCTCCTGCCTTGGCCTCCCAAACTGTTGGCATTGCAGGTGTGAGCCACTGCACCTGACCCCATCTGTATTTCCTTTCCACTCATCTGATGCCGAAAATGGACTTTCAGTGTGTTTTCCGGGAGCATCGTGCTGCTAGTTGTCTACCCCGCATGTATTTATCGGTAGCAACAGAACCCAGTGCCCACTGGAGGCAGAGGGTGTGCCTGGCTGCTCTTCTAGGGATGTGTGGCTGTGCCAGGCCAGGCCTGCAAGACATGAGACCTGGGACTCCACACAGGCCCCATGAAGCACGTCACTTCTTTCTACTTCCGCTGAGCTGCTTCAGTGGACATCACCGACTCTGACATGGCAAAGGCCTGGACACTGAAACAGCACTCAGGGCCTGGCCGGCCGCCTGCTGGTGCGCAGACAGGAGACAGTGGGAGGTGAGGGCTGTACTGAGCTCCCGGAGCTCGCCAAGCAGGCTGGCAGCTGTGCAGCCCTGGGAGCGCGGCGGGGCTCTTGGCGGCCTTGGTGACGCCTCAGCCCACAGCGGGGCCTCCCGCCAGGCTCTGGGCTGTGTGAGCCCTCCTTATGCGCTGTCCTGCTCCTCACGTGCCTCCCCAACTGCCCTCAAGGGGGTCCTGCACGGGCGCCCCCAGCAAACTCCTACTCAACAGGATCCCAAAACAGGTGAAAACAAGGGCTTTGGCCTCAATTCCCTTCCCACTCTCCACGTGGCAGGATGTAAGAGCAGCAGATCAATGTATGCATTGGGAAAGACAAGCTGGGCCGGATTAGAAGCGCGCAGCAGGCGGCCTGCCCTCCAGCAGGCGTGGAACTGCCCTCCCTGACGGGCCCTAAGCCGTTTCCAGGACTTGCCGGTTCCCACGCCCAGCATCTCTGCCGCGCGCACAGACCCAGCTGGAGGCGCGACGCCCGGGGACCGCCAGATGGCGCCGCCGGGCTGGCCTGCGGAGTTGGCGAGCTGATGGAGCTCGGCAGGAGGGCCGGGGGCAGCGCCCGCGCAGGAGAGGGTCGGGCCTTTGGGAAGAGCGGAGGGCGGCCCCCAGGCCTCTGCTTCTGTCTCCGCCTGACGAGGCCACCTGGCTGGGAAGGACGGCCTGAGAGCCCTGGAGCCCCGGAGGCCCGGCTCCACCACCCACGGCCCTCGGACTCCACTTGGGCTCCCTCGGGCCACCGCCATTCTTCCTCCCCTTGGACGACATCCTCCGCCCCCGCGGAAGCTCCAAGCCCGGGGAGCCGGCTCCGCGGGGCTGCGCCTCCTTCCGGTGTCATCTGGGCCGCTGGTGTGCCGCCAGCCGCCGCCTCCCCGTCACTCCACGCCGGGTACCGGCTGCCTCCTGGGAGGTGTGGGGTTCAGGGGGCTCTCTCTGCGGCTGGCGCTTCAGAGAAGGGGTCGCCCTGCCGGCCCCAACTCGCAGCCAAGCCTGTGGGCGTTCACTGCTGTGAGTCCAGGAGCCCAGCCCAGGCCCCACCTCAGGGCTCAAGCGGCCTCCTGCAAGTGGGCTGTGGGCAGAGCCTGCAGGCGCTGGAGAGGTGGGGAAGAGGAGGCTGCTGTTGCTGGCAGGACCACCCTGCGGCCTCATCTACCCAATACGGCATACCCTGGCTTTAACCCTCCGCATCGGCTGCACCTGGGGGTTCTCAGTGCCCCTTGGAAACTCTCACCAGCTGACTGCCGTCCTTCGCCACCGGGCCTGCTCCTGGCCTCATTCCGCCAGTACCTGTGGCCCATCCCCAAGCCAGGTCTCTCACACATCCTCGGCCCTCAGTCACACAGAAATACCCATCCAGGTTTCGAAGGGTCTCCGTGTAGCGGTGGAAGGAATGTGTGAGTGCGCTGTTGAAATGCTCTCTCCCTCCTGTAAATCTGCCATTGCGCCGAAGCACTTCAAGTGGACCCAAGTGGACCCAAGTTCTTAGGAAGAAGATGACTGCGCCAGCCAAAGGTTTGAACCCTGTCTTCAGTTTCCATGCTGTATGTCAGGATCATGACAATATGGGGACCCTTCCCTATTGCCCAGGTCCCTGAGACAGCCTCAAGTCCTTATGTGAAAAAGAACGCCCTGGCCAACTGCCCCTGAAGGATAGATTTTTTTTTTTTTTGAGACGGAGTTTCACTCTTGTCACCCAGGCTGGAGTGCAATGGCACGATCTCAGCTCACTGCAATCTCCGCCTCCCAGGTTCAAGCAATTCTCCTGCCTCAGCCTCCCACGTAGCTGGGATTACAGGCACGCACCACCAAGCTTGGCTAATTTTTTTGTATCTTTAGTAGAGACTAGGGTTTCGCAATGTTGGCCAGGCTGGTTTTGAACTCCTGACCTCAGGTGATCCACGCACCTCAGCCTCCCAAAAGTGTTGGGATTACAGGCATGAGCTACCGTGCCCAGCCATAGATCATATTTTAAAATTTCACTCTGGCAACAGCCACAAAACTGGCTCACCAGCAGCGCCCCCTGCTGGTCTGTGAGTAAGATCAGCCTCCAGGAAGGACAGTTCCTCTCTGAGCTCCCCTCTTGGCCCTGCTGCTCCTTCCTCAGCCCCTCTGTCCCCCTCCAGGCTAAAAACAACACTCTTCTCCAGCCAAGGAGGGAGCCAAAGGGCTTGTGATCTTTTCCTGAGTCTTTGGTATCTTATACTTCAGAATCACTTTTTACTTCCTCTGAAGACCACACGCAAAGGCAGAACTAAGCCTCATGTGCAGATGTGCTTTCTTTATACAGCATGCCAGGGCCATGCGAAAATTTGCATTTTAATAACAAAAGTTATGCAAAGATTAACTTCATTTTTAGTAGAGAAAATGTTTTGTAAAGGGATTTCTTCAAATAGCTCCCTCATATATTTAACCACAACTCAATTTATAAACAGCTCCTGAAGAACCTATTTCAAGAAGTAGAATAAAACTGTATTCACTATCTTTGCAAACCCAAAGAGTATGCAAAAGATCACTGATCCACTGGAAACATCAGTAACAGCATGGAGGCTTTCCACCTGAGGGTGGTTTCCACAGCGCCTGGATCCTGGAGCCGCCCTGGGCTGTGAACTTTGGGAGGGGAGTGCCCTGGCAAGGGCTTACTTACATCCTCCGACTCGAACACATGGCAGATCATCTTATACTGCTTCTTGCCTTCCTGGGCCCCGGGCGTGGTCTCGATGCAGTCCTGAGAGGCTGACCGGGGCATGCGGCGTCTGGCCATCAGCACTACAATGTTCCCAATGTCGGCGATGTAGGAGATGGTACGCAAGGCGTGGTCCATCATGGTTTCCTGTCGGGAGGGAGACAGTGCCACGTCAGGGAACACTACTGGGACAATCCATTGAAAAGTACTCCAGGGCTGGGCATGGTGGCTCAAGCCTGTAATCCTAGCACTTTGGGAGGCCGAGGCAGGCAGATCACCTGAGGTCAGGAGTTCAAGACCAGCCTGGCAAACATGGTGAAACCCCATCTCTACTAAAAATATAAAATAAATAGTTGGGCGTGGTGGCAGGTGCCTGTAATCCCAGATACTCAGGAGGCTGAGGCAGGAGAATTGCTTGAACTGTGAAGGCAGAGGTTGCATCGAGCCGAGATTGCGCCACTGCACTCCAGCCTGGGCAACAAGAGCAAAACTCCGTCTCAAAAAAAAAGAAAGGAAAAAAAAAAAAAGGCACTCCAATTATTCGGGTTTCGCAACCCTGATTCTCCTGACATTTGGGGCCGGATCATTCTTTATTGTGGAGGGCTGTCATGTGCACTGCAAGGTGTTAGGAGCATTCCAAGCCTCTCCCCAGGAGATGCCAGTAGCACCTCCCTCTTCCCAAGTGTGAGAATGAAAATTATTTCCAGCCATTGCTAAATGTCCCCTGAGGGACAAAAATCACACTGGTTGAGAACCACGGCCCTAATTAACAGAGCGTTTTAGGGTAATGATTTACAGTCAAAGTCACTCTGCCCTCATCTCAGTCCCAGCTTCCAAAATGGACTGTGCAGAACCCAGGGAGGCGTGATGTCAGGTGAGCTCTCGGGCTGTCTCTGCTGGAGCAGGGGCTTGCCATATAGTGAAACCCATACATTCCCGGATGAGAGGCCACCAGTGGCTCTGGAGAAGGGTCCCTTCTGAACGAGGTGCTCTCCTATGGGCCCAAGAGTGGCCTGGCCTGGCCTTCCTGCTGTGCAGAAGAGGAAAGCATCAAGGCCAATGTTTGTCATTCAATGAGCTCTTCCCAGGGAGCCCAAACAGCCTGGGCCTGGGTCAAAAGACACCAAGGTAGCCCACCTGACTTCAATTCCCTCGGCCTCTGGCAGGCCCATGACTCTTGATGGTTTTTTGTCCTTGGACAGGAATCTCCAGCCAGCATCTTGCCCACAACCCCTACCTAACAAGACTGCACACAAAGCTCAAAAAAACTAATCAACTGGTCTTTTATGCTTTTGTCCTCTGTTCACAAAAGAAACTCGAGTGTTTCTGCAACCTCTGGACCTCATTTCTTCCTCACAGAATCCACTTTGCAGTGCATGCTGCTTCACCTTTGTCTCAGCTGCTGACTTTTTTTCTGGCCAAAGCCATGAGGCTGTTTCATAACCACAAGAGTCACCTTCCAGGGAGGGACACTGAAAGGAAACAGTTGGAGTGGCTCTTCAGCATCTCCTGATTTCTGTCACTGTCATAAATGCCTGAATCAATCCCCAGGTGTCAGAAACATGTTCCTTCCCCAGCTCCTATCAATGGCAGATCCCTCCTCCTCCTCACAGAGGCTGCCTACCAACATGGCCGCATCTGCTCTCCTGCTCTGAATGGCTACTTTGGCCTTCCCAGTCTCTCACCTGTTCCCTCCTCTCCAGCTCCTCTGCCCCAACAGCTTTAATTTGCATGCCCTGTCCAGAATCCAAAGATCCAGAAGGGAAAGGAAAGGAAGGGAGAAGGGGCCAGTGGAGTAAACCCTGAACTGGGCCAGCCTAGGAGATTTCTCATCTCTCCTTCACAGGATCCAGCGGAAGAGTTACTCTTTCAGCTGGGGCTGTGGGTATTAGGAGGTTCAGAGATGTTCAGGAACTTGTTTAAGGCTATACAGCTCATGAGGATGGGGCTCAGCTTCAATCCCCAAGCCCATCCTCCCACCCCAGGTGTGGCACCCTCCATGTACACTGGCAAGAAGAGGTACTGGGGCAGGCCTAGCAGCTGTACCCAGAAAGGCCCGCCTGCAAGGCTGGCCCTCTCTGGCATCTGGGAACGTGGATCTCAGGAGGGTACCCAGCACCCGAACTGACAACCATGGTTCCTTTTGCCTAAACCGTTTGTGCAAACAACGTGGTCTAGGCTGGACACCTCTTTTGCCTCTGGGAGTCTGGAATTTTGGTAGCTGCCAGGCAGAGGGTGCCTATGACCAACTCCCAGTAAACACCTTGGGCTGAGTGTCTATGAGCTTCCCTGGTAGACACAACTTCTCTGTTGTCACAGCCCCTTGCCAGGGAGTTCAGTGTGTCCTGTGTGACTGCGGGGAGGGCTCTGGAAGCCTGCATCCGCTTTGCTGATTCTGCTCTGGAGCCATCTGCTGAAATAAATCTCAGCTGTGAGCTCACTGAGTCCTGTCAGTCCTCCAAACCACCCAGCCTGTGATGGTCTTGGGGACACCCAGCACAGGTGGGTGATGAGGCATGGGGCTCGGAGGGTTGGTGGGGGGATCTAGTCCAGATGGTTTGCCCACAAAAGATCAGAAAATGAAGTCAAAGTCTGTGAAGCGTCGCAAGCCCAGTGCCTGAGCCCTGGCACCTGTCTCCCTGAGTTTTCACCAAGTGCCAGGCTCCAGGAGGGGGCTGGTTCCAGGGTAGGGGGGTGCAGGACACAAAGATCAGTGGGACAAGGTGCAAGCCTGGACACAGGACAGACATGGGATGAGGAAGGGCGCCCCTGTGCCCGTATCAGGGTATGTGAGGGCCTGGAGGATGGTCAGGGCACGGCACTGGGTTGGGAGTGGTGGGCTGCAGTGTGAGCCACATAGTGGGGGCTGCTGCCTCCTCTGTCCCCAGAGGTCAGGCTACCCGGGAGTGGGGAAGCAGGGGAGGGCCCAGGTAGCCCAGCAGGTCTTCCCACCTACCTCCCGCCCGCAGAGCCCTGGGGTGACGCCAGCACGACTGCTACCTGCTGTGCGCTCCTTGCTCCTCCCGCAGCCCGGGCTATGGGCCTTGGGTTGATGGGCGCAGAGAGCACAGGAGAGAAGCTGCTGAGAACGAGGGCCTATACCATGGGACAAGAAGGAGTCGAACTTAGGAGTTTACCTGATTTTGAACAACTGTCTTAAACGCTTACCTGCGTGTCTGCATTTAAAACCTTGATCCTCTGGGTGGAAATGAAGAGGTCCACTTCCGTCAGCGTCTGGGCATCCCCCTCAGAATTCTAAGAAGGACAGTGGATATTGTTAAAGTCCAAAAACCAACTCGGAATAGAGGACATGCAAATAGCATTATGACAAAATGCTCAACATCCCTAATCACCAGATAAATCCAAATTAAAACCACAACAATATATCATTTCATATCTGTCAGAATGGCTCTCGTCAAAAAGATAAAAGATAAGAAGCACTGGCGTGGGGTGGAGAAAAGGGAACCCTGGTACACTGTGGGAGGGTGTGAATCAGTGCAGCCACTGTGGAGAATAGAATGGCGGTTCCTCCAAAAATTCAAACTACAACCACCATGTGATCCAGCAATCCCACTGCTGGGCATATTTCCAAAGGAAGTGAAATCAGCGTGTCTAGGAGACACCTGCACTCCCATGCTCACGGCAGCACTATCCACAACAGCCAAGACATGGGATCAACCCGAAGTCCATTCACGATGAATGGATAAAGAAATGTGGCGCGCAGACACACTGGAGGCCTACTCAGCCTTCACAAAGAAAAAGCCGTGTCATTTCCAACACATGGATGACCCTAGAGGACATGCTGTGAAGTGAAATCAGCCAGGCACAGAAAGATAAATACTGCACCATCTCACTCAGGTGGAAGCTACAAATGTCGATCTCACAGAAGTAGAGAGCTGAATGGTGGTTATCAGGGGCTGGGGCAAAGGAGTGAAGGGGGAAGTATTGGTCCACGGACACAAAGCTCCTGCTAGACAGGAGAAATGAGTTCAAGAGATCTATTGTGCATCATGGTGACTACCGTTAATAATATTTCATATTCTTAAAAATTGCTAAGATAGTGAATGAAGTGTTCTCATTACAAAAATTAAAACTAGGTGATGTAATGCACGTTAATTAGCTAGATATAGTCATTTCACAATGTGTATATGCTCCAAAATATTATGTTGTACATAACAAATACATACAATTTTATCCGTCAATGTAAAAAGTAATAACTCGAAGGAAGGCTCGGCAATTTTAACAATTACCCAGAGTCCACGTAGAAGGAAATGCTACTGGCCATCAGAAATCTACCTGCACGCCACCGGCCGCATCATCTAGCTAAGTGTGAGTTCTCGAGGCAGTCTGTAAGAGGCACCTGGGAGGGAGGAGGGCCAGCCCCCGGGAGCTTGACCGAGATGGGGCGGGACGCCTGGGTCTGTCGCCACAGCCCCTCCTGCCAGTGGCAAGCAAGGCCCTCTGGCTGACCCCTGTGGAATTTATAGACTCAGGTTACGTTTCCTGGATTTGGGATTCTAAGTATCCTTAAGAAATGGGGAAGACATTGTCAGAGAAGCTGAATGAAAATGTCAGCCTTTCCTTCTGATTTAAACAGTCACCACCATGTCCATCCCACAGCGTCCTTGGGGGACTGAGCCCTGGGGCTGGCCTAAGTGCTGTCCTCACAGCGACAGAGAGAAGCCAAGAGAGGTGCCACACAAATGGCCTAATTCGTCACCTGTAGCCACTGTAGTATGTCTGGCATATGGTTGTGAGACGAGTTTCATGGGCTCTTCTGAGCTGAGTGAACTCTTCAGAGTCTGCCCCAAACTAGGATAGCCTTTAATTGGTTTTTACATTTGTAAGAATCCTAATTACCACTGCACGGTGGCAATGAATTTCAAGTTCTATTGGTTTGCCCACCGAGGTGAATAATTCTCCATGGTCACTGGGGAGCCCAGGGTGGTCTATTTTCCATTTCGAAACAGCAAAAACTATGATTTAATTATTCACTAGAAAATCTGAAATAAGAAATCTCCCTGCTGACAATTCCTCAAGAATTTTGAGTTTTAGAGAGGCCCGGTATTGTAATAATAAATGTGTATTTTAGCTCAATTTTCAAGGGAAAGGGTCTTTTGGGCTTTCTTTGCTTTTAACTCATTAGAAAGAGAAAGGAGTTGAAAGCAGTGCAGCTGACAATCCGCAGCCGCGGAGGAACTTTTTCTGTTTTTTAAAATTGGGTTATATTCAGCATCAGCATGCATTTAAAGGTTATATTCATGGGTTGTGGCTCAAAATCCTCTTGCTAAAAAGTAGGTCAAGCCAGAAGTGAGAAAAGTTGCAGGTGGACCTTGGCATTAGTGACAATTGTGGAGGAAACCTGAGGCTGGGATCCCTGGATGGGAGAAGAGGGGCAGCCTGAAGCCACCCAGCCTCCAGTGGAAAACCCATCAGTAACAGGGCAGGGAGAGGACACCCATCATCCTCCTTGGCAGAAGAAGGGAGGGTGTCGACAGTACGGATCCTACAGACACCAGAGAACAGGCCACAGGGTGGGCCTCGGCATGTCTGTGGATGGGGGGCATGACCTGCAGTCATCCCCATGGCTGTGGCCGGGCCAGGAAAGGGACCTTCAGCAATGACACTGAGCATCCCACTTTCCAAAAAGGAAGAACAAACCGTAATTAAATGTAATCAGGCGGCCACCTGACTGGCCGCAGAGGCCTTTTTGAGCTGGGTCTGCCTGTACCAACCCCTCTAAAGGCGGCAGCGACTCTGTAGGATTGCTGGACCTGCAGGTCCCAGAAGCCAGCTGCAGTCCGTAGGGACTCCCTGCTCCAGCTGGACTAGGAGGCTGCAAGCGAGGGCCCCTCTCTTTTGAGAAAAGCACACCCCAACTGCAAGTCTGCAATGTGTGGCACATTCTGCCTTGCCTGGAGGAAATCAGCCCGGGAAGAGGAGCATGAGCATGATCCTTCCTCTCCTGCTCCTGAGCAGAATCAAAGGAGACGCTGCTGGGCAAAAGGCAGACATCCTAGGTGGACCAAAGTCTCACTCCAGAAGAGGGAGTCCCCACATGGGTCTTCTGGCCAAAGCGCCAGAAAATGGCATTACTTCAAAGCAGGGAGGGGGAACTAAATCTCCTGCTGTTTAAACAGAAGAAAACAGTGGGCAATAAGCCAGTGCCAAGGACCCCGGGGTTTGCCCCAGGCCTTGTGACACCAACTATTTTGATATTTTCTGTATGAGGAGGATTGGAAAAGCTCTAGCATTTACTAAATGACCAGGTGACAAACAAATGACTCGATGTCAATCCTTTTTTTTTCTTTTGAGATGGAGTTTCGCTCGTGTTGCCCAGGCTGGAGTGCAATGGCACGATCTCGGCTCACTGCGACCTCTTGCCTCCCGAGTTCAAGTGATTCTCCTGCCTCAGCCTCCCGAGTATCTGGAATTACAGGCATGTACCACCATGCCTGGCTAATTTTTTGTATTTTTAGTAGAGACGGGGTTTCTCCATGTTGGTCAGGCTAATCTCGAACTCCCAACCTCAGGTGATCCGCCCGCCTCGGCCTCCCAAAGTGCTGGGATTACAGGCGTGAGCCACGGCGCCCGGCCTCAGTGTCAACCCATTTTTAAAAGTCTGCCAGTGTTTCAACACTTATTTTCTTTTTTTGTTTCTTTTTTTTTTCTTTAAGAGATAGGGTCTCACTCTGTCGCCCAGGCTGGAGTGCAGTGGTGCAAACACAGATCACTGCAGCCTCAAACTCCCAGGCTCAAGTGCTCCTCCCACTTCAGCCTCCCAGGCAGCTGGGACTTCAGGCATGTGCCATCATGCCCAGCTAATTAAAAAAAAAAAAAGTTGTGGAGACAGGGTTCTCATTGTGTTGCCCAGGCCAATCTCAAACTCCTAGGCTCAAATGATCCTCCTGCCTCTGTCTCCCAAAGTGCTGGGATTACATGTGTGAGCCACAGCACCCAGCCCAAAAACTCATTTCCAATAAAGAAAGCACCACACGGGCAAACTGAGCTACTCACCCTCCTGACTTAGTAAATTAAGCTTAAGGAATCTTTAACTATCAGAACAATTCAGTAATACTGCACAGGAGGCCCAGGCCCTACACCCACCACGTTGTCATATCAACTAAATGTCATATCAATTTAAAATGTCCACGTAAAACAGGAACATCACAGCATTATCCATACAGTACACAGGAGATGCTAAGAAAGAGGAATTAATAAATCCTTCCATAAATGGGTGGTTAAAAAAATGAAGTGTCTGTAGTTTCATTTACAAACATCTAAGATTCACCTACCAAGGGAAGAGGAAAAGCTGCTTTGCAACATTATTTAGATCCCCAGGGGAACCCCTCAGCCCCCACTGCCCAGGACAAGCCACGGAAACACAAGCAAACAACACTGTCCCAGGGCCTCAAGGCCCTACACACCGCTTTTTTCTTGATCTTAGCAGCCTTTTGCATCCTCTGACAGCATGGAAGAGAAAAGAAAAACAAGTTGGCACAGAGAGAAGGAAGGTGCGTGAGGTTATGTCACTTTGGTGGTTGATGCCCCCACTCTCAGGTCTGGTGCCTAGCAAAGCCCAGCAGGGACGGGTGGACAGCCATTGCCCACTTCAAGCACACACACTGACCAAGAGAAGCCCACACAGGTGTCCCTGGAGCGCTAGAAATGACTGCCAACCACCCCATCTATGGAGGACAGGAAAGATGCCATCAGCCGGCAGGAAGGGGAGCTGAGCTCCAGGCAGCGGAGCAAGGCAAGGGTCTGGGATGGGAGGGCCGGGCCTCTGCTGAGAGGCACTGGCCAGCAGGGCTCAGCACTGCCCTGGGTTACCTGGCTTTCTCCTGCCCACCCCGGATGGCCTCATGGTGCTTCTCTGCTTCTGTTAGAGGAGGTTGTGTATGGTGAGGGCTGGGGAGGAGGTTGCCGCCATTTCTCACCCCTGGGCTGGCGGGCCTCTGCAGATCCTGTCTTGCTCAGAGAGCTGAGACCTCAGATGGCTGCATCCCCTCCCCGCCGACCCCATTTAATTTTGCTGACGTGGCCTCATCTTCCCCTTGCCCGGCCTCACCCGATGTTCAAAACCAGACAATCCAATGAGCACTTAGAGCTACAAGCAGGTCAAAGTTTTTCTTGAGGTCCTGAATTTAAATAAAACGTGATTTATTTTTCACCCTTTCTTGAAGCACTCTGAATGGCACTAAAAATACACATACTGTTGAACTGGGATTTGGGATTGTTTGATGACTAGAATGCTTTGGAACGATGATCTTTAAAGGTCGTATTTCTGGGATTCCGTGGGCCTCTTGTTAAGGAGCTGGTTGCCTCTGCCCAGCCAGCTTTCTCCCAGCCAAGGCGCAAGCCTCCCTCAGCCTCGTTGGCACCTGGGCCGCTCCTGCCCCCTGTGCTGAGGGCTGTGCAGTCCGAGCTGGAAGAGGGCCTACGCCCCGCCATATTCCCTCCTGCTAGTGCCCCCCAAAGTGTGCGGGCATCCGCGAGGGGCCCTCGAAGCACCTCTACCTTGACCCGGCTGACGGCCTCCTGCGCTTGCATCATTCTGATGTTTTTGGAAGGGTTCCGTTCTGATAGCAGCTGGGTGGACCCCAGGTAATTGGCAGCAAAGATGATCCCGTCGATGAGGTCTTCTGGTTCGCAGGGCCCTGGAACTGAAGGAGGGCACAGAGTCAGAGTCTTCCTAGAGGAGAAGTCCCCTGAACAAAGAACTTGCATGCCTGGCCACAGCACAAGGAACACGGCAGCCAGGATGCGGGGCAAACTAGAAGGGCCCAACCATCGCCATCTGCAGCCAGCCACGGGCGGCCGGTCTGCTTCCCTCACTACCCCGTGCTGCAAGTAACTGCGCGAAATCAACACTTGGGCCAGAAAACTCTGCACAAACAGTGTCAGGAGGACAATGCCAGCATTCCAGTTGACTGTCACTCAAGATGACAATCACAGGCTGCAAATCCAGAAGGCGTCACATCCCAAACACGACAGCACTTTCCATGCCTTCCCCACAGCCCCGGAACTCATGCTGGTGACCTGAAACTGTGCCCTGGGCTTCTCCTTGGCCTGTCCTTGTGCATCTGTCCTGAGGGGCTCCTGCCTGTCTGTAGCCTCTCAGGACACCCGTGTAGCTCCTCACACCCATCACACCGCAGGCCCAGGCTTGGCAACATCATGCTTGTTCCATCTGCTGCCCCTAGACCATCGTGACCCAACAAACTTCCTGCCAGCCACAATGGAAGGTTCTATCTCTGCAGTGTCCAATACAGGATCCGCTACCCACATGTGGCTTTGAGCACTGGCACTGAGGCTCCTGCAGCTGAGGGACTGGACCCATTTCTTGTATGTAATTTTAATTAATTGAAATATAAAGAGCCACATGTTAGAGTCATATCCAACCAACCCCCAAGTCCTGTCCATGTTGCCCACAAACCAATCTTGAGTGGCTCCTATGCCAGACAATAAGGCTCCAGCTAGGGGTGGGCAAACCTTTCCTGTAAAGGGGGAGATGGTACGTGTTTTAGGCTTTGTGGTCTCTGTTGCAACTATTCACCGTTGTACCTGAGGCGTAAAGGCAGCCGTAGACAATATGTAAAACAGGAGGTGTGGCTGTGTGCCAAGGAAACTTTATATGCAAAATCAGGGGGCCAGGAGGATTTGCGATTGGGGCTGCAGTCAGCCGACCTCTGAGCTATCCTAGACCGTGGCTTGGCTGTCCTCTCAGACCCATGTTGGCCATGTCACCTGCTTTATCCCTCCCGACTGCCCACCTCCTGGCCAGAGCCCCTTCCATTGGGGATTTTGGCCCTGGCTTCCTGGCTCCCCTCCTGCTCCAGCTGGCCCCTCCCTGAGTCCCTCCAGCATCACGGGCCCAGCCATCCTGCACTTCCCCAGCCCTCGCGCCAGCAACCTCCTGACCTCTTCCCTCCCTCAGCCAGCTGATCCCTGGTCTCACCTCTAACCCATTCTGTTGCTAAAATCATCAACTGGCCCAGCTTGGGCGCTGCCATCCACCACTTCAGTAACATCCGCCCAGTATCCTCAGTTCCCTGACCCCAGTCCTGTGTATCTGCCCACAGGAGTTCAGCAAATCTCCAACCTGTTTTCTCTGGACCTGAGGCTGGAAAAAGCTGCCCAAGAGGGCAAATGAGTGCCATGATAAATGTATTATAAATTCTTGACCCCAAATGCCCCCCAAACAACCTCACAACTCTCATCTATCTCTCTGGGAAACTCAGACTCTTCCTCCATGCAAGAGTTATTCCAGACCCCTCCACTGCCTCAAACTCCTGGCTGCCCCTCCCTCACCTGCTCAGACAGACCAAGTGGGGAGCTTCGCGTTGGTGCTCAGCCCACTTGGCCCTCCTTCCTGCTTTCCTGGGCAGTAGTGGGTCTGCGTGCCCCTGGGGTCAGAGGATCACCTGTGCTCCCAGCCGTCTCTCCCCACAGGGACCCCCATCCCTCCCCTGTGCATCTAACTGAGTCCTATCAATGGGGTCCTCCCACGGCTTTTAAATATCCTCCATTCACCCCTTGCCCTGGAGCCGATAAACCTTCTCCCAGCTGGGCAGGGCTGCAGGCACCAATGTGGGGGACTGCGGGATTCAGGGGTGGCACCAGGGGAGGAACCCCTGTCCACCTGTCTCTCAGAGGGTACACCGGGATTCTCCTGTCACCAGGAGAATCAGAGGCAGCCCCACAGAGGGAACAGGACCCATCTATCCCAATGCAGTACCCCCACCATACCCTGGCGCTTCTTCAGAGTGAAGTGTGCACATCTGCCTAGCTGGGGGGCTTGGAGAGCGTGTATGACAGCCCTGGCTGCCACAGGCTCGCCAGACATGCCCTGTGCTGCCTTTTATGGCATCGGGCTGTGGGGCTGGGAAGGCTCCCAGCGCCTGAGGTAGGCCTGTTTCTACTACCTCACACCACCTTGCCGTCCCCAGTGAGCATGGCTCAACAGGCACCCCCCAGTGAAGCCCCAGTCACCCAGTGGGGCCCAATGCAGTGGCTCTCATTGACCACTAGATGGCGTCACTTTGTTCTGCAGGAAAGCTCTGGTTCTTCCAGGCGCCCCAGGTACCCCAGCCTCACAGCCCCAGCAGGTGACCAGGGCCTTGGGCGAGTGTCCTTATGTCCCCTCTGTGGCAGGGGCTGCCTGGCACCCTGTCAGCCCCAGGTCCTGGGGAGGCTGGGAGGCCAGCCCTCCCTTTGGAATCTGACTCCTACCTTTCTAGGCACTGCCCCTTGGCTTCTCCCTCGCCAGCCCCCAGGGTGGCCCTGGTCAGTGCACCAGACCCTTCTGAGGTTCACATTTCCATGTTGACCCATGTCCTTGAGTAGATTTGGGAAAGACTGGCCTCGTCTCCCCCTGAAGTGAGCGTCAGTAGCTCTGGGGCCCATCTGGGCACAGACTGCTGTGTGTGAAGGATGCCCCATCCCAGGCAGGGGGTCACCACTGGCACCCACGGATGTCTGCTTCCGGGATGAGGCCAGTGAAGCACTCAAGGGCCTTGCTGCAACTCCAGCCACCACCCACCTCTGCCTGGGGGCCTTCCATGCCTGCCTTGCTCTTTTGTTCAGCGAGAAACAATCGAGTCCAAGGTGGCCCCAGCATCCTGCCTCCCACTCACACGCACCACGGGAGGAGAACCCAGACCCAGAGAAGAGTCCAGTGGGGGCGGCATGGTGTGGGGAGTATATCAGATTCATGGGCACAGCTCTCAACTTCCGCAGGAAACGCAGAACCCAAATCTAACAGCTTCGTTAGAAAATGAAAGCAGCTAGCCCTACATGTTTGGGTAGAAATTGCTGTTATTTTGCTCAAGTCTTGCACTGACCCTAAGCTGAGACCACCAGAGGGAGACAAAATGACAAGATAATCAAGATACAGGTTTAAAGATCTTGTCTCCCCAGAGAGTGATTTATCCTTTTCACACCGTATATCTTACTCACATAGGCATATGCACAGTGTATCTGCACAGTCTGGAGAAGAATAAGGCGCTCCAGGTTCTCCCCTGCCAGAGGAAGCCTCTGTTTGAAACACCGCTTAGGAAAACCCTAGGCCCTCTGGAGAGGGAAGGGGAGGGGAGTCCCACAGCTTCAAGCCTGAGGGTCTCCACTCCTGCCACCTTTGGAGAAAATTATCCTGAACATGGGTGGTGGACAGAGGCTTCTAAGGTGCCAGTGTGGCCCCAGGGGGTCTCATTAGCTCCAAGACCTGTCCCTGTATATCCTGGGGGTCTGGGAGGAGGTGGCTGGGTGGAGCTGGAGCACAGGTGTATGTGGGAGTGTGGGGGTGCATCCACAAGGCCCGCTGCTCTCTGCAAAGGCACGGAGTCTTGGAGTGCAGCCCTCATGCCCAACACACCAGACCTCTGTGCAACAATGGTACAGTTCCACCCAGTCCTCAACCACGCCATGAAGCAATCTCAGGGTCCCAATTTTACAAATAAGGACCATCTAAGTGGGTCACGTGGCTTTGCCCAAGTTCACTGTCATGAGTTCAGGTGCTCAGCATTTCTGAACCCACTGTATAAAGACCGGTGTTAAGACAGAAACATGGAGCTCACAGGCTACACAGTGAGGCTGACATCAGTCCCACAGCCACAGAACAAATGCATCAGGATGGGCCATGGTGAATGCTCAAAAGGGAGGCTATGGCCCTGGGAAGGAAGGGACAGGGAGGCTGCTCTGGTGAGGAATTTGGGGGTGGCTGCTGTTTAAGCTGAGGTCTGGAGGAGGAGAAGGAATCAACAAGCCATAAGGCAAAAGGAGGAGAAAGCCTCCCAGGCTGAGGCGGGAGCAGGTGCAAAGGCCCTAGGGTGCAGAGACAATGACACCTTAGAAGATCTATAGGATGTCTGGACTGCCGAGGCCTAGGGCATGGGCCAGCAGCTGAGACAAGTCGAGGGTGGGGAGGAAGCGCTGGCCAGATGTGAGGACCCTGGGGCCACGGGTGACAGGCCATAAGGACTGTCACTCCAGGGTATCCATCAGGGAAGTGGCCCAACCACTCCTTCATTAGAAATGAACTCTGGCAGAGGGGCAGGCAGCAGAGAGGAAGAAGGGAGAGCAGCTGAGAGGCTACTGTAGCCATCCCAGCACATGAGTGGTGATGATGGTACGGACAGGGTGACAACGGAAATGGAGAGACAGCAACAGATGGGGATTTAGGGGTCCATCAACAGGACGGAAAGGTGGACTGGAGTCTGAGAGAAGATGAGGACGCTAGACAATGGTTGCAGAGCTCGATGGACAGACCTGCCCCTCACTGAGAAAGGGTGCCTGGAAGAGGACTGAGCTTGGGTTGGGGATTCCAGGCAAGTTTAGTGGCAGGAGCCTGGATGCTCAGTAGGCGGCTGGACTCGGGAGTCCCGGTTAGAAAAACAGATTTGGGAATGAACCATCTGCAGGTGCCAAGTGAAGCTGCAGGCATGGATGAGTCTGCAAGGAAGGTCATGGGCAAGGGGGCAGGATGAAGCCCCAGGACTCTGCTCTGCTAAGTACCAAGAAAAGAAGGGGCTTAGAAAGGGAGGCCTGCCCATCTACACCCATGCTAGCAGGAGGCCAACTACAAGGAGACCTCGTGTATTGGGCACAGTGTCAAGGAAGTCAGTCGTGACCTCAAAGAGCTGTTTCAGAGGAACCGGGGCAGGAGCCAGAGAGGGGGCTGAGAGGTGCAGGGGAGGTGCAGACAATGAGGCTGCCACTCCCAGATTCCGGCTGTGAAAGAAAAGGGGCAGGTAGAGCGGGGTGGTGTGGATAGATGCAGGGTGGGACAGACGTGGTCAAAAGCCAGTGGAGGGGCGAGCAAAAGGGACAGGAGACAAACGACATCAGATCGTGTGAGGTTCCAAAGTGCAGACGGGACCTGGCCTCAACTGGGAGGAGGGGCTGCAGCTCTAATGGGGCAGGACAGGACTGGGAGGAGGCGAGCCACCAGATCAGCAGGAGAGCCTGCCCCCTGAAGTGCCCCCTAGGTCTGGAGTGGGGAAAGGAGGCAGGAGTGGGTGAGTATCAGAGTCGTGTAACTGGCGTCTCAAGTGAGACCTTCTGCTGCAGAGCTAAGGCGTGGCCTCCAGGCCCGACTCTCCAGTACTGCCAGGGCCTGTGCCTTGAGATGCCCCCACTGAAGGTGACCCTATAATATGGCTGATACGAAAGAGAAGACGCCATCTGAAAATCACACCTATGGGACATTCACCAGGGAGTGGCCACACCTGGGCCTGCAGCACAGGCTTTGTCACTGATAAAAGGGATTTGGGGGTTCCACAGTGTTGAACTTTAGACACCCAATGAGCAAGATTAAGTCACTGGATGCTGGGAGGAAGAGAAGCCACAACAGAGAGTCAGGGAAGGAAGGTCAAAGCCAAGCTCAAGAAAACGCACAGAGTTGCCCAAGACAGATCCTAACCCTTGCAGTGGGGAGAATGACTTCCCAGAAAAAGCATAATAAATAATTTTTTTTAAAAAAAAATGGCAAAAATGGGAAAAAGCATATGCATAGGCGGTTCACTGCAGCAGCACTATTTGTAATAGCAAAAACCTGGAAACCACCCAAACACTCCTGAACAGGAGACATCTATCCACACAGTGGAGTTCTGCAGAACATCCTCTCCATGCTCCTGTGAACAGCACAGAGCTGTGGCATCACCGCCAGGGTTTAGTGTGAAGTGAAGAAGGCAAGATGGAGATATGGGAGTCTAATCCACTACCATTTACCTAAGAAAGGGGAAGACATGCTTACAATAAAAATATGTAAAATGCTCAAAATGGTTACCTATAGTGGAAGGGAAGAAATTGGGAGGTGGGGGGATAAATAGGGGAAGAAACTGACCTCTTTGCATACATCCTGTGTTGTTTATTTGAATTTCATACCATGTAATTATTTTATATAATTATAAAACAAAATTAAATGGAAAAAGCAAAGTCCAAATAACTAAGAGAAAAATGAAACCAATGAATCTAAAAGTGTATCCAGTTGTGATCTATTCCAAAATATTTTAAAACACAGTTGTCTGACTGTACATCCCTTGTGGGATGTATTCTAAACACAAAAGTAAATGCAAATAAATCATAATCTGTATCTACAATCATGTGTCCTTGGCAGTGTTTGGTATTGTTATTCTGAGACTGCTGTAAGCTTAATGGAATAAAACCAATGCAAAATTATGCTGGTGTCCTTGAGAACAGGAATTTGGGGCACAGGAAAAAGAAACTACAAATGTTAGAACCTATAAACCTGACAAAGTATCATTAGGAATCATGACGTTATTTGATCTTAAAAAATATGTTGTGTATTAGTTATTGTTGGCTGCATAACAAATTACTCGGGAATTTAGTGGCTCAAAACAACAACCGTGGATTATCTGAGAGTTTCTGTGGATCGGGAATCTGGGTGTGGCTTAGCTGGGTGACTTTGGCTCAGGACCTCTCGTCTGTCACAGGCAGCAAGGTACTCAGTGATGCTGCAGCCATCTGAATGCCTGAAGAGGGGAGCATCCACTTCCAAGTTCTCTCACCAGGCCGCTGGCCAGAAACATCAGTCCTGTGCCACGTGGGCCTCTGGATGGGGCAACTGCCAACCACACCAGGCTAGCTTGGTTCCTTCAGAGGGAACAAGTAAGAGAGAACAAGAAAGGACAAGCTGAGACAGAAGCCACATCTCTTTGTAACCTGATCTTGGAAGCCATATCCCATCTCTTCTACCATATTCTATTCAATAGAAGCAGCTCAGTAAGTCCATCCCCCACACAGGGGGAGGGAAGGACTCACAGCCATGAATACCAAGAGGCAGGGGTCCTTGGGGGCCATTTAGGAGGCGCCTTCCACATAGACATATACACTCTCACCAAATCTACAACAACGAGCAACCACACTACCCAGATTACAGTCTCTAAATGTTATTTCACAGGGCTCCATGGAGAAAGAACCAACTGGTTCCAGACCTGGGGCAAGAAATATTTAAGATGATCCTGGAATATACCAGAAAGAAAGGAAACAATCAAAGACTACTGGGTTCACATTGACGGGACTCAGAAAACAACCTAAAGAAGCTCTTATTGGCCATAGAAAACTTGAGCACCAATAATCATGGTAACACACACAAAACACATCAACTGTGCTAACAACAACATACACAACCTCACCGGTTATCTTTTAAAGGCTGTCGGGGAAACTCATTAATTTTTTTTTTTTTTTTTTTTTTGAGATGGAGTCTTACTCTGTCGCCCAGGCTGGAGTGCAGTGGTGCAATCTCGGCTCACTGCAAGCTCCGCCTCCCGGGTTCACGCCATTCTCCTGTCTCAGCCTCCTGAGTAGCTGGGACTATAGGCGCCCGCCACCACGCCTGGCTAATTTTTTGTATTTTTAGTAGAGACGGGGTTTCACTGTGTTAGCCAGGATGGTCTTGATCTCCTGACCTTGTGATCCACCCGTCTTAGCCTCCCAAAGTGCTGGGATTACAGGCATGAGCCACTGCGCCCAGCCAACTCATTAATTTTTAAATTTTTCAAAAAAGAGAAGAAATCAAGCATTTAATCTGCTTTTCTTATATGAACAATATTCAGGGTAACCAAATACTTGAGGGAAAGTTTCTCTACATAGAAGAATTCCAGCTAACTAATGAAGAAGAAATGATGAAATTAGAACACCACCATTTGGCAACTTCTAATCAATTACTAGATCTAGACAATGATCATTAATGGTTGCTAATATCACCAAAAAAGAGATGACCAGATATTATGTGCCTCAATAGAACAACACAAAAATATGTACGAAAGTTTTTGCCCAATCAAACTGAATCTGATCAAGCCTCTATGTCTAAAAACAACCACTATTTTACAGGACACAGAGAATAGAGGAACACATTAAACAACACCATGAAGATGCAATCAGCAAAATCCACACTGCAGGAAAATCTACAGGATAAATGACAGATTCTTCCACAATAACACCAACAAAAATTTGTAAGACAGAAAAAAGAGACGGATGGACAACCTAAAAGAGACATAAAAGAATTATGAAATGCATTGACCAATCTCAATAGACGGGTTTTGTTTGGATCCCCATTCAAACAGCGCCCTGTAAACTGGGAAAATGCAAACAAAAACAAATATTTAATGGCATAAACAAATATTAACTTTAGTTGTGATAACAGCATTGAAATTATTTTTAAAAACAGAACTCCTATATTTTAGAGATACAATATGAAATATTTAAAGAGGCTATGATGTAAGATCTGAGATTTGCTTTAGAATAATCTGGGAAAGGGTCAGGGTGTAGATTAAATACCACTAGCCATGAATGGGTAAATACTGAAGCTATTTTTTCATATGCTTGAAGTTTTTATGACAAAATTAAAAGCATAGATCTTTCAAAAAGGTGTTATTTTTAGGAAGCCATATTCTACTATTATGTAAAATTGTTCCTTCTGTTCTACCCAATCTGATTAAGCAAGAAGAAGTAATAGAAAACAAGAAAGGAAGCAGCAAAAATCATTCTTGTTTGCAGATGGTATGATTGCATGCCAGGAAAAACTCAAGAAAACAACTAAAAATCTATTTTTAAAAAATAAGAGAATTCACTAAGGCAATGGTTTCAAATTTAATATATAAAAATCGATAGCTTTCTTTGTACCTACAAACAGCAACATGTTGAAAAATAATGAAAGTCAGCATTTACAAAAACAATAAAAGGGATAAAACAACAAGAAACAGACAAACAAGATATGTGTTGAATTTTTATGAAAAAACTTTACCGATGAAGATAAATGAGCTTGAACAAGTGGACAGATAAATCCTTTGTTGGCTAGAAAGACTATGTTGTAAAGCTGACATTTTTTCCCCTAAATGGACAGACTTTAAGCATGCCTAATAAAAATACCAGTAAGAGTTTGTAGTGGGCCGGGCGCGGTGGCTCATGCCTGTAATCCCAGCACTTTGGGAGGCTGAGGTGGATGGGTTACCTGAGGTCAGGAGTTCAAGACCAGCTTGACCAACATGGCAAAACCCCATCTCTACTAAAAATACAAAAATTAGCCGGCCATGGTGGTGCACCCCTGTAATTCCAGCTACTCGGGAGGATGAGACAGGAGAATCGCTTGAACCCAGAAGGCGAAGGTTGCAGTGAGCCAAGATTGCGCCATTGCACTCCAGCCTGGGCGACAGAGTGAGACTCTGTCTCAAAACAAAACAAAACAAACAAAAGAGTTTGCAGTGAATAACCAGACAAGCTAGTTTTAAAGTTACTATGGAAAAATAAAAGTGCAAAAATACCTAGGAAAAAAATCTGAAATGGAATGATGGTGGCAAGGTCTGAAAGTAGCCCTACCAGGTAATAAAATGCACCATAAATCCCCAGTAAATAAAGCAGCCTGGATCTGGAACCTGAATGGACCGTCCCTGTAACAGATCCAGAAACAGACCGAGACCCACATGACGATTTGGGTACGGTAAAGGCAGCATTTCAAACTTGCAAGGGAAAGATTCCTTGGATAGTTCTGGCATAACTGGCTAGCTATTGGGACAAAATGCCTAAAATGTAACTTTTCCTGTATAAATACACCAAGATAAATTCCAGATAAATCAATTATTTAAATAATTTAAAATAATACCAAAGTCCTGGAAGACAGCTTTTTATTTAACTAATTAATCAATTAATTTTTTTTTTTGAGACGGTGTCTCACTCTGTTGCCCAGGCTGGAGCACTGTGGCACGATCTCGGCTCACTGCAACCTCTAACTCCCAGATTCAAGCAATTCTCCTGCCCCAGCCTCTCTAGTAGCTGGGATTACAGGCACGTGCTGCTGCGCTCAGTTTATTTTTTGTACTGTTAGTAGAGACGGAGTTTCACCATGTTGCCCAACCTGGTCTTGAACTCCTGACCTCAGGTGACCTGCCCACCTTGGCCTCCCAAAGTGCTGGGATTACAGGCATGAGCCACTGTGCCTGGCCAACAACTTTATTTTCAAAAATAATCTTAGGAGTGTGATGGTCACACTAACCTCAAAAACTCAGTAAGCTCAAAGGAAAAAGACTGATATATTTGACTAAATGACATGTTTAGCAAAGTAAAAAGCATACCAAAAAAAGAAGAAGAAGAAAAGAATGGTAAGCTGGGGTAAACTTTTACAGTACAAACCAAAGGGTTCATTTCCTTTATATGTAAAGAATAATACAAATCAATAAGAAACACCCAAATTCCCAATTGCCAGGGGCTGAGGGGTGGGGGAAATGGGGAGATATTGGTCAAATGGTACAAACCTTTAGTTATGAGATGAGTAAATGTCTGTAGTTAATAATCCTGTATTGTATACTAGTAATCTGCTAAGACAATCGATCTGAAGTGTTCTCACCACACACACAAAAAGGTAGCTATGTGAAGTGATGGCTATGTTAATGCGCTTGGCTGTGGTAGTCATTTCACCATGTAAACTTATATCAATACATTACATTGTATGACTTAATATACAAAACTTTTATTTGTCAGTTATACGCCAATAAAGCTGGGGGTGAAAATCTAACAGAGGAATGAGCACAGGAAACAAACTGGCAGTGCACTGAAAAGAAAAACCACCTATGAACATACGAAATAGTGTTTGGCTTCACTTATTATGAAAGACACGTGAAATCAACAAGACACCTCTTTGCACCCATCGGCCTGGAGCTTATATCAAACAGCCGGTCATGCAGTGTTGGTAACAGTGTGGGAACCTCATACGTAACCAACTCTCATACATGACCAACAGCAGCGTACGCTGTCCCCCCTTGGGAAGGCATTCTGCCCGTGTCTATCAGAGTTGCTGTGCTCCTGGCCTGTACCCCTGCCATAGCCAGGAACCGCCTCCATAAAAGAACCCACACCCAAACACAAAGGCGTAGCCACAAGGCTGTTCACTGCTGCACTGACTGGAAATCTCCCAACAATCAGTCCAAGGGGGCTGGTTAATACCCCATCCCACATCCACTCAACCGATCCTGTGCTGCCGCTTAAATAATCAGGTGGACCTATTGCTGTTTCCAAGATCTAGCAAGAAAGGAAAAAGCTAAGTACAGAGCCATGTGGCCAGTGCAATGTCTATTTAAGGAAAAGGGCCTATGGATGAGCTGAGAAATTCCTGGAGAAATTCACAAGAAATGTAAGTGGCTTCCACTATACAGAAGGACTAGGGATCTGGGATGTATAGGCAGAACAAGAGGTACTGTGGGGATTTCTCATTTTTAACTCTTGCAGCTCTTGGTCTGATACAAGCACTATTCTGAGAAATCTTTAACAACTTCTACTTAGTGAATAAAAGTTCAGATTTTAAAACGACGAATCCCTATTCCTGCTGACTGCATGTAGTACAGGAGAAACATGATCTTGTTTGTAGAAAAAGGAAAGTCATCTGGGTTTCCATAACTCCTCTTTGGAATGCGCCACATCCCCTCTGGTCCCACAGGGTGACCTTCCTCCCGTCCATCCCCCACCCAAATACACCAAAGAGGAGGAGGTGGGAGATGTCTTCACTTTAAGAGTCTTATCTGAACAGGTTCACCCCAACTGCCTATTTTAAGAGCAAACTAAGTCTCAGATCCCATGTGCCCACTGTATGAAACCAACAAAGCAGCTTTACCACTGTGAGGACCCCTGAGAGAAGGAAGGGGTGATAGGTGAGCTCAGCTCCAGGTCTGGGGCATGTAATCTCCATGCCTTCCACATGATCCACACGGAGCTGGGCAAGTTGATGAGCTATAGACAGGCTGTAAAGGACCCCAGGACCCTAAGGCCTGGCAGCATTTTGGCATAAGCCTCAAGCTGCTGGTGGGGTGGTGGGTTTCAAAACATCCTGTATGAGCTTTGGATGAGGAGAACAAAGTACAAAAAGCAGAGTAAGATTTACCAGTCTTTGTTATTTTGTACTGAAGCTGCCACTGTTAGGCCCCATTGCTTGGGACTAACATCAGCCTTTTGGTTTTAATGAGCACGTGTTTACCTGTATAGAAAAGCTGGTCATTCACATATACTCATCCAGAGGCAGTGACCCTCTAAGCAGCTTGGGCTCAAGCTGCTGCCAGACACCACGTCCTGTAGGAGGGGACATCTTGAGGGTGGCTGCTTTCGGATTCCTCCCCGCAGGACAGGCAGTGCATCCTCTGTGCAATCCGCACTTTCATAAGGAGGTTTTCTCTGCAGCGTTAACCTTCCCAGTCTGAGAGGGTCGCTAGACCCCGAGAACTTTCCACAGACAGTGATTGTGGCAGGCCCTTCCTCACAATGCCTCTGCTGAGAGAAGGCTGTGATCCTGCGCCTGACAAGGCCAGGAGCTCTGGCATCTGGAACGCTCCCCTCCACTGAACTCTCTGGCACCTGCATGGTAGGTCTTCTCTAAGTGAAGGTTCTTCCTCACCCACTGCGTGAGGGTCGCCAGGCAGTGCAGTGTGGTGATGAGCTCAGATTCCAGACTGGTTCGAATCCTAACTCTGCCACTTGCTACCTGGTGACCTTCGGCCCGGGATTCACTCTCCCTGAGCTGTGGATATAGTGATTGTTAAGTTGATATACTTAAAACACTTAGATCTGGGCCTGGCTCAAAGAAAGCACCTGACAGGTCTTACCTATTCCTGGTATATGAAGGCATGCTGGGTAGGGAGGAATGACCTCGGCTACGAGTTTATGTGTCAAGCACCAAGACATGGGTCCAAGTCCAGGCTCTGTCCCCCGCACAGCCATGGGACTGCACACAAGTGACTTTAGCCTCACTGTGCATCAGTTTTCTAACCTATCAGACGGGGGAAAGTACTTACTCCTCACGTGGTGGTTGACCAGGCGACATGAAATAGAGAGATGCTGCATGGCACAGGGAGTGGACACCAGGCCCCAACGAGGGTTCAGACGGTATCATGTGCATTGTTACTATTATTTTTTTCATTATTATCAACAATTATCTGATATGAAATAAGGCATAAGCTGAGACCAAATACTCATGAATACTCCAGGAACATTTCCCTTCAGGGCAACTTCTCAGACACAAATAGGGTGGAGGAGCTGCTCCTCCCTTACACAGGGGCTTCCCAGGAACTCACATACTCAGCCTCAGCACTGGACACGCCAGGAGGCTGGAAGGGCCCGCAGTGGGATGGGAAGTGGCGGCAGGCACCCAGGGCTGATTCCAGACCTGCCCTGCCTTCATAAAAAGCCCAGGGTTTGATTGTCTGGCCAACACTAACATCTGAGAGGCTGGTCATGTGACACAGCTCTGGCCACAAAGAAATAAGCAGTGTGTCGAAGAGGCTTCTGGGTCTTCTAAGTAAGGTTCAACTAGATATTCAGAAGCATGCAGTGTCCTAAGGCTCAGCTAGACATGGGGCCGTCTACTCCAAGGGAACAAGACAGACGCCAGTTTGCCTCCTGGACTCTCTGATGGGAGTCCACACTGCACCCACACAGCTAGTCTCATGGGCCCCTGGATGGGTCAGCTGCAATGGTACAGAACTCCCTGGATGGGTCAGCTGCAAGGGTACAAAACTCCCACCAAGAAGGGCATGTGGAACCCATCTGGTCTAAGAGCCTCATGCTCCCAGCAGCCAGTATCTCTCACAATCACCCCATGGGTGGGGCATAGCTTCCAGGGTCACCTTCAAGAGACATGCCAGTCACGAAAGTCACCACTGTGAGAAGCTCAAAGCCCTGGATGCCCTGCCCCGCAAGCATTAGAATTTTCCCATCTAGATACAGTTTATCAAAAAGAGCATCTCACCATAAGCAATGTTGCCTGGAGACACAGCTGACACGCTGCCTTTCAGGTTACCCAGGGAGCACACTATGAAAGGTAACAGAGGGTCCGATTCTCATGCAGAGAAGTCATCACCTCTTAATCCACAGAAAACCTTTGCTTTCCTAATGTCAAGGGGAGGACGTCCAGCTGGTGTGGACTTCAGCCCTTCTCCTTTTTTCTTCCTGCCTAGAACGAGAAGCAATGGCTGGGGCTGCCCACACACTGTGTGACGATGAGGTGACAAGCCTGAAGAGGAGGCCAAGAGACACAACAGCGCCAATCCTGACATCACAGAGCCATCGAACCGGCGGCCTCTTGCCTCTGGACTTTTTTTTTTTGTTTTTTGTTTTGTTTTTTTTTTTTTTGAGATGGAGTCTTGCTCTGCCGCCCAGGCTGGAGTACAGTGGCATGATCTTGACTCACTGCAAGCTCCGCCTCCCGGGTTCAAGTGATTCTCCTGCCTCAGCCTCCCAAGTAGCTGGGACTACAGGCACACGCCACCATGCCTGGCTAATTTTTGTATTTTTAGTAGAGACAGGGTTTCACCATATTGGTCAAGCTGGTCTTGAACTCCTGACCTTGTGATCCACCCACCTTGGCCTCCCAAAGTGCTGGGATTACAGGCATGAGCCACCGTGCCTGGCCACCTCTAGACTTTTTAATATTTTTTTTATATTTTTTTTGATACGGAGTTTCGCTCTGTTGCCAGGCTGGCGTATACTGGTGTGATCTTGGCTCATTGCAATCTCCGCCTCCTGGGTTCAAGCGATTCCCCTGCCTCAGCCTCCCAAATAGCATGACTATAGGTGCTCAGCATCACGCCTGGCTAATTTTTTGTATTTTAGTACAGACGGGGTTTCACCATGTTGGCCAGGATGGTCTTGATCTGCTGACCTCATGATCCACCCGCCTCGGCCTCCCAAAGTGCTGGGATTACAGGCGTGAGCCACCACGTCCAACCCTGGACTTCTTTATGTAAGACACACACCTATTTGTGTAACGTTAGGTGGGGATTTTGATACTTGTACCCAAAGGCATTCAAACTGATAACGGTGTTTAATTTGGAGAAACTTTTCCCATATCCATTATATTCTAGGGTTTGGCATCACCATTATGATGATCTCTTCCTGTTGCTGAGTAAGATTTTGGTCCATGAAGGCCTCGCTGCATATAAATGCTGTAATAGTAAAGGATGTTGTTTTGCTTCAGTTTTCTATGTTTTCATAACAATCAAAGGGCTTCTCTCCTACAGAAGAAACTATAAATTCAGGTTTTCCACATTGGTTCTAGCTGGTCACAGCAGTTTTAGCCTGTCTGAATTGTTTTAAGCCACCGGCCTTGTTTGGATTTGCTTTGGAACAGTCTGAGTGGTGCAGGGAACCAAGTCTTCTGGGATGCCAGGAGCTAGAGTCCGAGGTACCCCAGGCACTGACACTGCTTCCCGATCCCTCACGATCCCACTCCCTGCAGATATGAGATTGGTTCAAGGGTCGGGGAATTTAATGTCTAAATCACCTCCTAGTGTGAGAGTTCTGTCCAGATGACACTATGATACACTGACAAGTGAGCTTCTTGGATCCAGGAGACCCTGCCTCACTGGAGCAGTGTGACTGGCAACCCCACCCTGGCTTCTGCCTGCCAAGGAAAATGGCACAGTGACGTACTGCATTCGCCCTGCTCACGAGGTGCCAGCTCCTATAAACCAGGAACCCAATCAAACACTACAAGCGGGAATGTGGGGAGTGTGGTCTCTTCCAGGAATCATCATAACCTGCTGTGGCCTGAAGAAAACCAATTTGAACCAGATAAAATGTACCTAAAACCACATGTAAACTGCTGGGCAAAACCCATTTTAGCCTATCTGAATTGGTCAAAATGGAACCAAGTCTATCTCAATTGCATGATATTAATTCTGATGGTTTAAAACAGATTCTCACCCAATCTGAGCAGCATTAAGCCAGTTATAACAGTCAAAATTGATTTGAGCCAGTTAATCCAGTTTCAACCAATTGGAACTGGATTAGCCTGGTTCAAACTAGTTCTCTAAAGGCGAATTTGGGGGCTTCAGTTCCCCAGGCTTTAGTTGTTTGCTAAAAAAAGAAAAGCAGCATGGGAAGGGCTGAAAGTCATTTATTTCTGAAAACTAATTTACCTTGCTCCCATAAATATTTATAAGAATTAATTACCAGCTTATTGAAAGAATTAATGAAATTCACATTGTTTATTATAACACATTAGCAGGGGCAGGAAACATCCTCCTGGCAAAGACAGAAATCCTGCCGAACAAGCTCTTTACTCTGAGGTTGGAGCACTAGAAGCAAACCCAGTGGATCTCCTACAGGGGCCCTGCAAGGTCTCCAGATGCTCAGCTCCGTCAAAGCCAGGCAAGTGTGCTCCCCATCCCCAAGAGTGACACAGAACATATCGACCAGTTTCATTCTTTACTGAATGTTGAAATGCACTATTAACCTCCTCAAAAAGGGTGGAACGGTAAAGAAAAACAAAGGATCTAAAAAAAAAAAAAAAGCCTGAATTTGAATGCATTATATCCACCCTGATCAGAAGTGTTAGCTATAACCAGCTGCTTATAAAGACACATCTCAATCTATTCAGTCATCAGTGTCGTCTGTGATGCAATTAGTGAGGGTATAATTAAAGGAGATCGTCTACTGTTCCTTGCATCAAAGCGGGCAGATCAGCTGGACCTCCCCTCCCCACTAAGTGGGGCTACACAGTGTTCAAACAGACAATGGCCAAGCACCTTGCTGGTAGGTAGGCACGCTTTGTAAACAAGCTTTGCAGGTGAATGCCCAAACTAAAAGCACCATTTATTTTGATGTAAAATGCAACTGCCCCTTGAGAAATAAAATTCAAAGTCACTTACCAGCCACAAAACTTGGAAATGATGCCACCTTCTTTGTCTGTTAGGAAATATGGAAAAATAAAACACATAACAATTGTTAAGTAGGTAGCCCACAAGGTGAAGGCTAAGCAGGGCTGTGATATGAGCCATAATGAGAAAAGCAAACCCCCCATGAGTGATGGTGTTCTGAAGATGTCAGCTCCATACAGGAAACCAGTCTGCTGCAGGCAACATGATGTTGGGGAGTGGCCCAAAAGCCCATCATCTAAAACTTAGGGGCCCTCAGACTAGCATATCTTGACTAGAAGGGAGCCTAGGGACCATCCAACACAATGACGCTCCAACCAGGGGGCATGAGAGCCATCCAGGCCCATCTTTAAAAGCAAGATAAAGGAGACTGGATACCACTCCATCGGTGGCCATCGTTATTTCATCAAAGTTAAATAATCTCATCTAAACTATGTTACCAGAAAGGGGAAATAACTTCCATCATAGCACTGTTAGCTTATAGGAAATTGTTTGTTAAAACCTGTTGTTGATTTAGAACAGTGGTTCTCAACTGGGATGATTTTTGTTCCCAAAGGGACATCATTAGGCAATGTCTGGAGACATTTTTGGTTACCACAAATCAGGGATGGGGATGGGGTAGGTACAAGGATCTAGTGGGTTGAGGCCACGGATGCTGCTCAACTACAATACACAGGACAGTCCCCAAAACAAAGTATTACCTAGGCCTCAATGTTAATGGTGTCATTGTTGAGAAACCCTAGTTTAGAACATGGTTATCAGACAATGAATAGAATGGCTTTTTATAAAATTAAGTAGTACCAATGGTCCCCCACCCCCACACACACACCATCTGCAACACAAGAGCACTCCATGGCATGGTCCTAACATCAGGGAGGCCCTCTCCTCCCTCCTCCCAGGCCAGTGTGCCCTCACCTCCTCACCATATGGTGACACCAACTTGGCCTGACCTGGACTCCCTCTCCCCCAGGCACCGGGTGGGATGAGAACATCATGGACAAAGTGAGCAGACCACAACTCGGTGGGCCACTCCATCATTAGATGAGTGTTCCAGCCCAGAACTCTCATCCTTGAAAAAAATTACCTCTGGAATGTTGTTATTGTCAACAGGTCCATTGAGATCAGAGCGCTGCTGCTTCCTTGGCTGCTCCAGACCATTGCAAACCTGGAAACGGGGAAGTTAAAGATCGTGATTTTATATGTTAGAGAAATGCAAGATGCAAAACCTGAATATGCAATGTGATACAATTTTGTAAAATGCATGTGTATGTCTGTATGTGTATAGGTGTGTGTGCAGACGTCTATTTAATTATACTTAAACTGCTATGCACTTAATATTCTATTTTCATACTTCTAAAAAAGTTATTTTAAATCATTTTGAAATTTGTTATCTTTTGATTGCAGTAAAATGCACATAACATAAAGTTCACCATTTGACCATTTTTAAGTGTACAGTTCAGTGGCACTAAGTACATTCACACTGTCGTACAACCATGGTCACCATCCACCTTCAGAATGTCTTCCTCTTCCCAAAACTAAAACTCTGTACCCATTAAACAAACTCCTCAATATGCCCAACCCCAACCCCAACCTGAGCCCCTGCCAACCACCATTCTACTTTCTGTTTCTGTGAATTGGGCAGCTCTATGCCCCTCATGTAAGTGGAGTGATTAAGCAGTCAGTATGTGCCCTTTTGGAACTGGCTTATTGCACTCAGCAAAATGTCCTGAAGGGTCGTCCACATTGAAGCACATGGCAGAATTTCCTTCCTTTAAGGGCTGAATCACATTCTACTGTGTGTACATGCCACCTCTTGTTTATCCAGTCATCTATTGATGGACACTTGGGTTGCTTCCAATTCTTAGCTATTGTGAATGGTGCTGCTATGAACGTGGGTGTGCAAATATCTCTTGAGTCTTCACTTCCACTTCCTTTACGTACATACCTGGAGGTGAAATCACTGGATCATAGGATAACTCTATTTTTCAGTTTTTAAGGACCTTCCATACTGTTTTCCACAGCAGTAGTACTATTTACGTTCCCACCAAGAGTGCCCAAAAAGTTAAAAGCCATATTTTTAAAAAACCTAAATTCTTGGATGAGAATAAATGCAAATTAGCCAATCTGTTACTACAACATAGAAAATGCCCCAAGTACATGTCATAAGTCTTCTCTTAAAGAAGACACCAAACTACAACTGCTTCTACTTCAATTAATAAAATTTAAGGTTAGGTATATTTTCTCTATTTAGTTCCTTATATCATCCAGAAGACAGAAGCCAGATCCATAGCCCTTAAATCCCTGTCCACCTCCCAGAGGAGGTTCCGGAGCCTGCATGGTAAGTCCAGTTCCAGAACTTTCTGGAAATAAATTATCGAGAAATAACAATATGATGATGGCAAGGAAGACACTGATGATAAAAGTTACATTTACCAGCTGGGCACAGTGGCTCACGCCTGTAATCCCAGTACTTTGGGAGGCCAAGGCAGACAGATCAGTTGAGGTCAGGAGTTTGAGACTAGCCTGGCCAACATGGTGAAACCCTGTCTCTACTAAAAATACAAAAAATTAGCCGGGCATGGTGGTGGATGCCTGTAATCCCAGCTACACGGGAGGCTGAGGCAGGAGAATCACTTGAGCCTGAGAGGCGGAGGTTGCAGTGAGCTGAGATGGCGCCATTGCACTCCAGCCTGGGCAACACAGTGAGATTCAGTCTCAAAAAAAAAGTTACATTTACCTAATTTACCTAGCACCTTAGGGTTTACAAAAGCCTCTTGTGTACACAATGAATATTCTTCCCCCTGCTTGACAGGTGAGAAAACTGAGACCCCAAGTGTTGGGCTGGCTTCTCTCGGAGTCAGGTGATGCCACGAGGCATGGCTGCCAGCCCTATCCCCTGTCCTAGTCTATCAGTGTCTTGCTCTTTGATGGAACTCTGCCTCTCTGGGGTTTTGAGAAAAATTAAAGGATCTGGGCCCACCCTCCCAGCACTGATGGGGGCAGATATGCCGTGCCCCAGGTAGTTGGAATGATTGCTGGCTAAGCCTCCCCTCCAGGATCACAGACACCACCGGATTTCAGAGGCAATGGGAGTGGGGGATGCAGGGGAGCGGGCACCGGGCTTTAAGGATGGCGAGGGAGAAGGGAGAGCACTGCTGCTACATCTCAAGAAAGCTACATGGGGCTGCCCTTCCTAGAGCTGAGGTGGTGCAGGGGTGCAGCTGGGACCCAGCAGTTCTGAAGTCTGGTTGGTCCCTGCCTCCCCCAGTCCTGCTGCCCCTACCCCTGAGCCCCACAGGGGCTCACAGGCCTAGCCAGACCACACCCTGCTGTCCTGGCATGACCAAAGGCCCGGCTCTGGTTTGTCTGGGACTGCTGGCACACTGCCCTGCTTTTCGAAGCCTAGCATCCCAGGAGCAAAACCCATCCTTCCCCCTACAAGAGGGCTGTGACCACCCGAGACTCTGTTGCAGTAGACCCTGCACTGACCAAGTGGAGCAGACAGCGCCCCTTTCTGCAGGGCTGAGACTGGCCCAGGTACCGCTCCTGCAAGGTTTCTTCCCCTCACCCATCCCTGGCACTGATCTTCCTGCTATGGCCAAGGAACACCAAGCAAAAGCTTCCAAAGGATGCAACAAGAGAATCTCGCCTCAGATGCCGCTCACATTCTCCTAAAGTAAACCTTATTTGGGACATCCCCCAGAGAGCTCTGTTGAGGACACTTTGCTATTTCAAGGTGCACATAGCACACGTCGGTATTTTACCCACTTGTCTGAAAGTTCCCCAACACAGTGCCCTTCTGCATGGACTTGGGTTCCTGGAGGCCTTCCCTGCCTTACTAGTTGCTGGACAGGTGCTGGTCATCTCCAAAAAAACCCCAAAGAAATCAACCAGCCCACCAGCAAATGAAATCAGGTTAACAACATCCCTCCTGCAAGCTGGGCGGGATTTAATTTGTCAGGCAGAGGGAGCGCCACAGATGTAGGGCGACAGACTCTCATCAGGCGGCCAGATAAGTCAGGGGTTGGGGGACACAACAGGGGCTGCATCCACCACGGGTTAGGGCTGGGCCAGCCACTGTACCTTCATGCAACTTCAAGCCAGGGCTCAAGGCTTGGCTGGGGACACAGACTGATGGCTGCACCCCCATGCCCTACCCATGGGACTCCCCAGTACGGAGGCCATAGTATGGGGTGTCCACGGGCAACACAAGGTTGTCTCTAGGGGTGACCTTTCCTCCATAACAGCGTTTCCTCTATCTCCCTCCCAAGCGGGTGTCCACTTGTCACCATGACAACCACATCTCACAATAAACAGCCAGGGTTACTTTCCAAAGAGGCAGGAGGGTGGGCTTGTGATGCTTCTCCTTGGGAGAGCCCATCTGGTGCTCTAATTTCCATCTCAGGGGTGGCGGGGTTGGGGGGCTGGCAGCATCTGAAATTCACACAGTGGGAGGCCCACATGGATTTGGGGCTCCAGGCATCCTAGATAAAGATACTATTTAAATCCTGTTATGCCCTCCCCAAAGTACAGCAGCCAGCCACCCCTCAAAACAAGATGCCAGCCAGGGTCGCCTCAACTCCCTACAGCCAACAGAGGACACGGGGTCCCATCTGTCGCTGAGTAACTGTAGTGGGGCCTGAAACCCACATCAGCCATCACTCGGAGAAGGCGGCAGGCACAGCATGAGAATCAGCGTGTGTCCCCGGAGCTCTGAGGACAGAAAATTAATGTGTGGTGTGGCACAGACTCTTCACAGCACACGGGACTCAGGGGCAACTGTTCAGCACAGAGATAAATGCTTGTAATAAAAATACACTAATGCCAATAAATCTTTCTAATAAACACCTTGGCTCCAGGTGGTGAAACTAAAGCTTGGATTTTAAAAAGTGTCAATTCTCATTTTGCCTGCTTGATGAAACTGAAAGTACAGCAATATAATCACATTGCTTTGGATGAAACAACACCAAACTAGTGCACACTCACTCCGCTCAGGCCATCGTCAACATAGTCAGGATGCTTCCAAGCACTCTCTGGAATGACAGCCATGTCAGGAGCTGAGGTTAGGGATAGAGGGCATCAGTGGAAAGCCAGGCTAGCCACAGCCATCCCCAGTGGCCTGTGAAAATTCTCCCAAACGTAACCCTGTGACAGAGAAGTCCTGGGCGGACGAATGACTCCGTTAGATGACAATCTTCTCTGGGAATCCCTTCACGGCTCCTGTTTTCAAAAGAGGCGATCATCCCTACTCATCTGATATTTCAACAGGGACTTCTTCCTCCACCCAGCTCAGAAGGGGCGGCCGAGACCCGCTACAGCACCAGAACTCCAAGCAGGAGCAGTGAGAGCATGACCCCCTGGTCAGATGGAAGGTCTCACTCAGCAGCACAGAGGAAGGTCTCACTCAGCAGCGTGGACGTCTTCTTTCAGACGCCCTTGGATCCGTCCCCTGACATCTGCGTGGCTCAGAAAACATTACGGTATTGTTCTTTTCCTTCCACTCCTCTTTACAATTCAGGTCACTCCTGTGATGTTTATCTTGAGGAGAATGGAAGCTTGGATAGAGTATTTGTTCTTATAATAGTTACTCCCCTGGGGGAGATCATATCTTTTCAAAGCGGATCTGTGGCTTAAAAGTATCACGACAAGACACACTGGGAAAAACAGCCAGTCAGTCTGTACTTACAAATCTCTAGGCAGGCCTGTGAATGGGAGGAGGAAGGGGAGTCCCTCCTGCATCCCGGTATCCAGACATCTCATGGAACATATTTATACTAAAAAATTATTCGCTATCTACCTGAAATACAACTTATTTTTTCAATTGCTTATTATGGTAAAATACACATACAATAAAATATACTATCTTAACCATTTTTGAGTGTACAGTTCAGTGTTATTAAATTCATAATGTTGTACAACCCTCACCACTATAAGTTTTTTCATCTTGAAAAACCAAAATCCTATACCCGTCTAAATTCGAATGTAACTGGGTACCCTATACTGTTATTTGCTGAGTCCATCAGCTCTAGGGGGCAGACAGGCTGATAGCACACTCTGGCCTGGCTTTATTCTCCGTGCTTGGTCTGCTGAAATCTCTCCTCCATCACCGACCACTGGGGCCACCTGCACACGTCCTCCACTTCATTGTTCACTGTCTCTTCACAGAGCCCTGTAAAGGGCAGGCAGTGGATGGCTGTGTCCAGTGCAGCATTTCAGAACAGAATCATATTTATCTAAACTTGTCACTGCATTTTGAGGCTTTGTCAAGTACCATCCAAAGGTGGGCCCACATGGCCAGGCCTGAACAGGTGCCTGTTGTATGTCCCATATGGCACAGGGTAGCTCTTGCTAAGGACAGGACGATGCATGCAACAAAGACCCTGACCTAGGACAGCTCACCTTCCAATGTGGAGACAGAACCCAGTGATCCTGCCAGCCTCAGACCCTCCACAGGATGAGCCAGGGTATAAACAGACACACACATGAACAAAAGCAGGCCCTGGGAGATCAGGCCAGAGGAGCTGAAGCGGTGAGGCCAGAGACCAAACCATCAAGGTGACAGGGCTGCTTAATTTTTTTCCTTTGAAAGTAATCAGAACCCTCATGCATTGCTGGTGAAAATGTAAAATGTTCTGTCACTGTGGAAAACATCTGTGGTTCCTAAAAACGGTAAACACTGAATAACCACATGACCCAGGAATTCCACTCCTAGTGATACACCCAAAAGAGCTGAAAGCAAGTGTCTACACAAAAGCTTGTACACATATGGTCACAGTGGCACTATTCACATTAATCATGCGGTAGAAACAACTCAAATGTCCATCAGTGGATGAGTGGATTAATAAAATGTAAAATAGCCATTCAGTGGAATATCATTCAGCCACAAAAATGAACAAAGTACTGACACACACTACAACAGGGATGAACCCTGAAAACATGATGATGAAATAAGCCAGACACTAAAGGGCACATATTGTCTGATCCTATCTTTATGGAATATCCGGAATAGACAAATCCAAAGTGAGAGAAAACAGATTTTTCACTGTGGGGGCTGGGGGCGGAGGGAAGAATGGGGAGTGACTGCTTAATAAATACAGGGTCTCCTCTGGGGGCAGCGAAAATGTTCTGGAACTAAAGAGCAGAGGTGGTTGCACAACATTGTACTAAATGCCACTGAATTGTACACTTTAAAATGGTAAACTTTATGTTACGTGTGTATTACTACAGTTTAAAAATAATAGGAGAAGCAAGAGTAAAGAGAGCCCTCTAAGGGTCTCAAACATACTGCCCTGTGAGAGCCCCTTCACCTAAGCTCTACGGAGGTCATCCGCCAGCTTGTACTGAGCTAACCCTCCAGTGACTGACACCCAGGCAAAGTGGGAGATGGTCCAGGGGAGGGGGTGGGTCATCCAGGCAGCAGAGGCAGCTGTCCATCAACCACTGACAGCCCCTTCTCCTGGTCACCTGCACCTGCCTCACATACCAGGTGCCATTCTGTGTCCATTTGTGGGGAAGGTGGGAGCTCCGCCCATCCTTCCCCCACAAGAGGGCTGTGATCCACCTGGCACTCTGCTGCAGTAGACCCTGCGCTGACCAAGCTAAGCAGACAGTGCCCCTTTCTGCAGGGCTGAGACCGGCCCAGGGAGAGTCACCCACCAGTGCTGCGGAACTAGGGAGAATTCCATTTGGTTTTGTTCAACTCTCAAATGAGAAAATCTTCATCAACCCTTTCTAATACCATTGCTTAGGGGCCAGCATGGCTGCTTCTGCCACTGGTTCTACACATTTGCTGCAAACATCCGCAATTTTTCCATCCTGCTAACTTAAAAGCAAGAAGCCCTGTGTGCACAGTTTAACGACAGCAACCTACTGGGGCTAAAATTCAATCGCGTGACTTTATCAGAGGCTCAAGCTTGCAGTTCTCCCAGAAGGCTTGACCTGTGACCTCCCCTGTGGCCTCCACACTTGGCCTCGAGCCCTGCACACATTCTGAGAAAACTAGCTTGACATCTGAAAAATGAATGTAACGATGGTGCCCAAGCCAAAAGGAAATTGAATGACCAGTAGTAAGTCGATGTTAGACTTTGGTTTCCAGAGAGCATTTTCTACAGTATTTAACTTCCACTAATTTATGTAGGCCACATCTCTGTTCTCCTAATACGAGGAGTCCACAGTTCCAGTCAATAAGATTAGTCTTAATAAGAAAAAAACTTAGTCTCAATGGAACTGCCTAAGGCTACAGACATTAAAACAAAGCCCTACAACTCATAATTTGAAAAACAAGTTTCACCAGATGATCTATAAAGAAGGTACCAATGATCCAGTTAACTTTACTAAATCTACCTGTCTGCTTTTAGGAATATACACAGTAGAATATCTGGGATATTTAAACTTGTGGAAAAGGCGAGAGGATGGCAGAAATAGCTGTTATTTGATGGTGGATTTAACGATATATGTTTATTTTAATGACACTCACAAGGCATGACCACAATCACTTTACCATAAGCCACAGCCTGTGGGATCTGTTCCTTCCACTCCTGCCAAGGCGGGATCATGACCCATACAAGACCTAGGAGAGAAGGGGAGGCTCCCCTACTCCCACTCAGGATGTGGTTGTGTTATTTACTCATGGCTCATTTTGGTCTTGAATGTCCTCCTGAAACCTCCCAGGGATGTGCCGACCCACCGCCTCACGACCACACACGCCAGGTCCACAGGTCCACAGGCCTGAATGGGTATAATCACAGTTCATCCCCACTGTGGCTACATCTAAATAGTTTTGATTTGGCCCAAAATGTTTTTGCTTCTTTGTGGGTGATATAGTTTGGATATTTGTCCCTGCCCAAATCTCATACTGAAATGCAATCCCCAATGCTGGAAGTGGGGCCTGGTAGGAGGTGTCTGGATCATGGGGTGAATCTTTCATGAATGATGTGGGCCATCCCCTTGGTAGTAAGTGAGGTTTTACTTTGAGTGCACAAGAGAACTGGTTGTTTAAAAGTGTGTGGCGCTTCCCCCTCCAACCCCCACTCTCTCTCTTGCTCCCATTCTCACCATGTGAAGTGCTGGCTCCCACTCTGCCTTCTGTCACCATTGAAGGCTTCCTGAGGCCTCCCCAGAAGCAGATGTTAGTATTATGCTTCCTCTACAGCCTGCAGAACTGTCAGCCAATTAAACCTCTTTTCTTATAAATTACCCAGCCCCAGGTATTTCTTTAAAGCAGTGCAAGAATAGCCTAACACGGTGTGATAATGGCTACATGGGTTCAGACTGGCTCAACTTGGTTTTAGAGGATCCAAATTGGTTCAAACCAGTTATTCACTGAAAAACCTCTTCTTTTCTTTATTTATTTTATTGTGGTAAGTATACATAACATACAATTTACCATCTTAACCATTTTTAAGTGTACAATTCAGTGGCATTAAGTACATTCACACTGTTGAGCGACCATCACCACCGATGACCTCCAGAATGCTTCCATCTTCACAACTGAACCTCTGCACCCATTAAACACCAGCTCCCCACTCCCTGCTCTCTCCAGCCCCTGACCACCGCCACTCTACTTCCTGTTTCTATGACTCTGACTACTGTGGGTGCCTCAGAAGTAGAATCACACAGTACTTGTCCTTTTGTGACTGGCTCATTGCACTTAGCAGGACGTCTTCAAGGTTTGTCCATATTGCAGCCTGTGTCACAATTTTCTTCCTTTTTCAGGGTGAATACCATTGAAATCCTTTTCTTTTGTACTTTCTCGCTATGCTTGTGGCTCAGAAGAGCAAATACAAGGCCGCAATGCAGCAAGAGGAGCCCTGACCCACCACTGCTTTGCCTGTGGAGTGGGTTTTGAGGACTGGGGAATGGCTGGATGACCTCCCTCTCTCGAAGATGAACACAAGTATATCTAAAAGTGGGGCCCAATGAATGAATAATGAACATGCTATCTTTCACATAACTGGGGCCGCAATGAATGAATCAGAGGGGGCAGACAGTCTCCAGAAGCAGAATCAGAGGCCACCTGCAAGCACATGGGCCGAAGGACAGGGGCTAATGAGAAAGAGGGTAAATGACTGATGCCGCCACACACAGCAACAGCCTCCACCCTGACGTCACACCCGAGCAGCTCTTGGGGAGCAGCGTCTCCCTACCTGAAGTCCACCTCGGGCTCCCGAACCTGCACAGTCTGGCTGCACCCACAGCAGACCAGGCAGGCCACCCGTGGGACAGACCCAGAAGTGAGTCAGCACCCAGTGTCTCTTAAAAGGACCAGGACCAGATGGAGGCCTGGACCATGGGTAGCTGTTGACACTGGAGGAGGGGACAATAGCTTCTGTGAGCCTAGCCCAAACTTCCTTCAGCTCCAGCACTTTGGGTCTTGGCTTGGTCTCAGCTGGAGAGAGACCAACTTCTCTTCTGTGAAGGCTGACTGGGGAATTGGGGGCAGACGTGGGTGTGGCAAGTCCTGGAGGCCTCTATCAGCCCAGAGGGCTCCATTCCATTCCACATCTCCTTTCTCCACATGTCTGAGTTGTGCGTAGTTTTCTTGAGCTGCCCATGGTATTATCTGACATAGGATTAGGAGTTATTCTAATAGGTCAGCCCCCTATTACCATAGTCACATGTCTTCATAGTAACTGACTGGCACTGGTTGTGATCTGAATGCTTTGGGGTAAAACTCCCATGTCTGCCATCACCACGCTATCACATCTTGGGCAAGCACACCATGGGTGACATTACGCATCTCAGCGTGTTCAGCCATGCGATCTTTCTTCCTAAACAGATACTTCTATAACTTCTTGCACCGAGCCCTGCACTTCCTAGGGAATGTCACAGACTAACTGATTTTGCCAACTGGGTGTCTCTCAAGCCTCTGGTGCAAGAGAGGCATGATGCCAGGTGTCACGGAGGCCCAAGAACGGGAGGTACGGGGCCTCAAGAAGCAGACGCACGTGGACAGCCTGGGTCCCATACCCAATGCTCTCACTCCCCACAATCTGCCCTAGACACCCCACCGGCAGATGAGTACAATGCAAGTCAATATCTCACATACAAGCGTGCGTGCACACACACACACACACACACACTATGAGCACCTCGGCTTGCTGGCACCTCCTTGGGCCCTCCGTGCAAGTCTCTATAGACACTGTCCATCTACCATTCCCATGCCTCTGCCTTCCCAATCCACCAGAGCTGCTCAGGCTCAGGGGACCCCGCCAACAGGTGGCCACCGCCAACGGGTGCTTTCTTCCCCAGTAAGATATCTCCTAACTGCCCTGCTACATCTGGCCTTCCTAATGTCCCTCCCCTCAGCTCCCCAGTTCTCTCCTGGCTCCCCTCCATGCCCCCAGTGGAACCCTCTGTCTCTCTCTCATCACCATCCCCCAACCCATGTCCCTCGCCTTCCCTTTGTCTTGTTTCAGGCTCAAAGCCACATCACGATTCCAGCCCCTTCCATGCTGAGGACACCCACACACCTCTATGTTCATCCCCACCTTGTCGGCTGACTTCCCAAAGCCCCTCTCAAAGTCACAGAGCCTCTCCGCCTGTCCCTAACTCTGGAGCCTGTCCTGGAAGCCTGCCTGGAACTCGTCTGGAGCCTGGCCACACCTGGATGGGGGCGGGGAGAGTCTCATGTATCCGTCTCCCTCTAGAATGAGTTTCAAATGCAGGATAATGCCACTTTCACCTTTGCAGTCCCAGTGCCAACCACGTGGCAGGTGCCAATTTGCAAGGGCCATGCCAGAGATTTGCAGGGAGGGCCGGCCCCCCACATCAGGAGCAGCCCAGCAGGAGGAGCTGGCTTTGAAGAGTGTGAATTCGGGGTGGAAACTGGAAAAAAGGTGCCCAAGGTTAAGAGAGGCTTGGCTATCATTTGGAGTCGGTGAGAGACAGGTAGTCCCAGGCCCAGCTTGCCTACCTGGAAGAAGAGGTGTGTGGGCTTCTCAGCTAACTTCCTATTAGATATTCGGTGTGAGAAAATCAGGGCAGCCCTTGGGGCTGTGCAGCTGTTGCCCCATCTCCCAAATCAGTGACTCTGGAGTAGAAAGAGGCATGTGAGAACTTCTCCAGCAGGGCACAAGCCACATTCAGGAGGGCCCTGCAGAGGGGACAGCGTGGGGGCACCTTGGGAGGCCCTTACCCGACCTCACCCCCAGCAGCTCCAGTGTGGCCCTGACCAGTCCTGGTCCTCCTCTCATCCTATCTCACAAGCAGGGCTCACCACCTCCTTTGTGTCACTCCCGAGGACAGGTCCACTAGTGTCCTCACCCCTGCCCAGCATGGCCTGTACCCAAACTGGGTGCAGGGACTTGCCCACCCACCTCCCCCAGACCCGATGAGCTTCCCATGGACTGAAAACTCATCATCATCATCATCATCTGCACAAGCACTCCATGCCCCGCACCATCCATACAGACACTGACCCAGATCAACTCCCCTCCCCACCCATACAGACACTGACCAGATCAACTCCCCGCACCACCCATACAGACACTGACCAGATCAACTCCCCTCCCCACCCATACAGACACTGACCAGATCAACTCCCCGCACCACCCATACAGACACTGACCAGATCAACTTCCCTCCCAACCCATACAGACACTGACCCAGATCAACTCCCCTCCCCACCCATACAGACACTGACCAGATCAACTCCCCTCCCCACCCATACAGACACTGACCAGATCAACTCCCCGCACCACCCATACAGACACTGACCAGATCAACTCCCTGCACCACCCATACAGACACTGACCAGATCAACTCCCCGCATCACCCATACAGACACTGACCAGATCAACTCCCCTCCCCACCCATACAGACACTGACCAGATCAACTTCCCTCCCTACCCATACAGACACTGACCCAGATCAACTCCCCTCCCCACCCATACAGACACTGACCAGATCAACTCCCCGCACCACCCATACAGACACTGACCAGATCAACTCCCCTCCCCACCCATACAGACACTGACCGAGATCAACTCCCCGCACCACCCATACAGACACTGACCAGATCAACTCCCCTCCCCACCCATACAGACACTGACCAGATCAACTCCCCTCCCCACCCATACAGACACTGACCCAGATCAACTCCCCTCCCCACCCATACAGACACTGACCAGATCAACTCCCCTCCCCACCCATACAGACACTGACCCAGATCAACTCCCCTCCCCACAGCCCCACGAGATGGGGGGCTGCTGGCACAGGTGGCCCATCCAGAATGTTCCCGGGCCCCAAGCTGCTGCAGCCGGGTGGGATGCCGGCTTCCTGACTGTGGCTCCAGCATTCCTAACCACCGCACTCTGCTTTCTCCCCGAGGACTAGGGTGTGTTTGAGGGGAGAGGCACTTTTTAGATCACTATTAGTGGTAGTGGGAGAGCTTTACATGCTCTGCCCTGACAATGTTTTAGAACAATGTTTTAGAAACCCCGGCTTTACCTAGATTTTAAAAGTACCCGAAGCAATCCCAGATCCTGATAGATAAACTGCTCCCTGAAAATAACAGCCACCCATGGTGACATGTCATCAAAACATCAAAAGGCTTCATACAAATCAAAGAAGGCAGCTGTGCTGACTCAGCAAATGGGCCCTGAGCTTCTGAACATCAAGTTCAGAAGCTCATGCGGAGCCAGCCAGGATTGAAACGTCAATGCACACCCGTAGGATTTTATTTTTCAAGGCAATCCTGGGAATCAGTAGCAGGAGGTGCGGTGTCCACCCTGTCACAGTGCTGGGAGCAGAGCTGCACGGGAAGGGGTTCAGTACAGACGACAGGGGACACAGGAGCACCCCAAGAACCCTCCCGTGCAGCCTCCCCGTATGCAGAGCAGGAGTGCTAGGCCTGACGCCATGGGTGGGCGGGGCAAGGGACACTAGAATCTGAGGCATGGCTGCAGAAAGGAGGGAGCCGACTACTCCACTGAGGCCTGGGGGCTGGAGAGGACCTTCCCCTTCCCAGGCAGACCATGCCCCAATGCCCCCCATAACCCCCTGCCCTCAGCACCACCTACAGGCTCTTTCCCAAGTTCCATCCTACTGTGGGCCAGGTTTAGACAAACCCCAGACCACTCCCTCCTGGGCGCAGTGCAAGCCCCAAAGCCCCTCTGTGCAGGACCACCCCATCTGCACACCTGCTGCCCCACCACACGCTGATGGAGGGGGGGCGCCTGGGTGCCAACAACCCCATGCCACTCTTGTCTCAGTCCTCTTCTGTAAAGCAGATACTGACACTCACTTCATATGCTGCCCAGCGGGGCATGTGTGTGAGGCCGTGGCTCAGAACACACACGGTACCACTGCCTCCCACCTGGGGGACACACCCAGTTACCTGTGCTTTTAGCACCTTCTCTCCCTTGGCACCAGACTCCTATCACACTCTCAGAAGGTTCTTCAAAAAGCAAGCCTCTACTGAATGCCAAGTCACGGCCAAAGCATCTCTACAATGAGCAATGATGCACAATTCTGCATTCGATGTGGCCTCGGGGCCCTCGACCATGCTTCCCTTTAACTTGTATTAAGTTGGCTACCATGTATTGATTTTTCTTCTTTTTTCTATTGGCAGAAGGCTCTTTCTAGAAAGCACCAGCTGGGTCAGGGATAAACAGAAATCATGAAAACCCCAAATAATCAAAACGCATATTTGGTTTGCCATTCCAAGGTGTGGAGCTATTCTACACTTGCTGAGTAAATCAAATACCTCAACTCGGTAGCCATGGAGGTCCTGGACAAGGAATGCCTGCAGCTCCAGAAATCTCCAAGGTCCAAAGGAGTAAGTCTCTACAGGGAGAATTTCAGGCAGGGCTGACCTTTTCAGTGTATCTCCTGATAGACGTCACAAGGTAACAGGTGGGATGGGGCTCCAAAACAATCCGTCCAGCCCTCGCCAAACCCTTTATGTTCCACAGGCCACCCAGAGGCATCCAGAGAACATGCCATCCAGGGCCACCCCACAGACCCACAGAACTAGGATCTTTGGTGCTGGACAAACGCTCTTATGGTGCCCCCCAGGAGTGTGGGTGAGTTGCCCCAGGGAAAGCACTGATGAGCAAACTACTCTCTTCAAGGGAAGGCACCAAGGACGTGCCAGGTCCACAGGCTCATCCCTGGAGCTGTGAGACTGAGCCAGGTACCAGTGCCCAGCTGGGGTCCTCCCTCCACTCACGCTTCACTGCCTGATAGTAGAGGGCCACATGGGTAGGTGTAGTAATACTAATTCCATCAGGTCACACAATACGAGCCTTGCTGGACCCAACTCATGTATTCCTTAATCACTGCATGAAAAAAAAAATCAATACGTTATGTCAACAAAGCTCAAAAAAATTAAGAAAAATGCCACATGAACAATCTTTACTTGACTTGTTTGATCTGTGGCCTGAGCCCTGGTGAACTTAGGACACGTTAGCACTGAGATGGGGACATTTTACAGACCGGAGGCTTCCGTATCTACTGGTCACCTCACTGGCACCGTATCCCACTCACTGAGAACAACAGGGCACGCCAAGCCTTTCAACAGCAAGGAAACAGACAACAGAGGAGAAGAGACCATCACTCTCCAGGAGGAACACTGCACAGTTCCCCCACACTGACTCACCCTCCAGCAGGCAGGCTCAAACGCGGACTGAACAGAACTGGACGCTTTCTCTTCTCAGGTTCTTCAAGGGCTGTGTTATGCACTGTTCAGAGGCACGGGTTTTGGCATAACACAGTCCACAGTCTATTCACAGGTGAGCTACTTAACTGTGCCATCTGCAACACGGGACTAACCCTAGCTCCCTCTCTCTGGGTTGCTCTAGGATTTACTGCGATCATATTCCTAACACCCCTAACATGGTGCTGGCAGTCACCGCCAACACTGCTGCCACCTCCACCGGCACCCACGGACTTTACACAAACCACAAAATAAGAAAGGTTAAATCTGCAGAAGCCAAGGGTCCTGATGATAACACAATGACAACCTTTCCATCATCACCATTTGGGGTTGCTGAATCATCTTGGAACTGAAGCATACAGGGAGAGGCCTTGGGAGTTCATGTGTACGGGTCCTTTACTCCCCAGGGTGTAAAGCTTGGGTCTGTATTCTCCCACAGACCCTGCATGGAGGGAAAAGGGCTTGCTGATACACCATGTTTGGGAAGCACTGGCCAGGCTGGCTGGTGTCTCCGCTATAGCGAACGTGGGACTTTATGCTACTTGTGTGTGAGAAATCAGTAAACCCCCAAGAAGGGAAAAACTTTGCAGCAAAGTTTCCCAAAGTCATTTGCCAACCAAATACAACCAATTCTCATTCACATAGTTATGTTCTGTAAAGCTGCCCTGAGCACTGAGTTGATGAATACTGAATACATTGCTCCTAGGGGCGATACAGGGTTAGGTTCCTATGAGCCTCGGGACACATTTTTGTCAATGAATCAACACAGAACCTTGTTTTATGTGTGTTTCTGTTTATACGCACCTTGTTTAATATAGATTTCTTATAAATAATTAATTATATGCAATATTTCTTTAACATAAAACACTAGCTGAGAAGAGTTTAACATTTCCCTGACCCTAGATCACAAGACAGTAAAGTTCTTGGGTTTTCTACCTGTCCACTATGTGTTTTTTAATCAGTTATTGTCCCATGAATCTGCAAATTTAGCCATTCCTCCACCTTTTCCTTAACTTCATCATACGCTACAGAAGTTTACTTTAGCACCTCCCAGAGTGGCAGCATAGACGAGTCAGCACTGTCGCTCAGCCCTGAAGGAAGCTTCTCTAGCACATGTAAGGCACATGGCAGCCATTCTGTGCTTAGGATCACTAGGCTTCAGCACCACACTTGAGGGCCATTTTATCACCAACACACACACACACACACACATATCAACAAAAATGCAAAGAACATTAAATAGATTGTGAAAAGAACAGCTGTTTACAGTATGAGAGCTGAAACAAGAAGGCAAAGCCTTGTTCAACCTCAGCTGGGAACGTGAGAGTTGGGTGACTCAAATTCTTCCCCTCTCTGTACCTCCACAAATGACTGGGAAAGTGCTACGAGTATTGATTTCAGGGTTACAAATCAATTTTAGCAAGTTAACAAAGTTGCAAATATCAAATCCATGAATAGTAAGGATCAAATGGTACTTTGTTTACACAACACCTCTAAGAGCGTGTTTTGGGAAATCCTGACCTAGGTTTGTCTCTTTGATTTGAAAACTCTACAGTGGAATTCTACAATGCCACATGGCAAAAGATTTTTTTGCCTGTATTTTCCAAATTTTCCTCAGTAAACTTGCAGTGCTTTGAAATAACCTTTTTTTATTTTACTAAAATAATTCAAGTGTAGATCTCTGTTCCCCAACCTGTCTTCCTACAATTTTAGAAACTCTATCACCTTTGTGCCTCTCATATCCCAGCCCCCGGGCAGACCTCTTGGTCTCAGCAGAGTGGCACAGGTGGGAGGGCTCCCTGCAAACTGGAGCCTTTTCAAAATGCATGGCATCCTACAGCTCAGGAGGGCTCCAAAGGCCACACAACCTACTTCTTAGTACAGGCACAACTCATTTTTCTTTTCTTTTTTTTTTGGAGGTGGGAGTCTCACTTTGTTGCCAACGTTGGAGTGCAGTGGTGCTATCTCGGCTCACTGCAGCTTCTGCCTCCCAGGCTCAAGCGATTCTCCTGCCTCAGCCTCCTGAGTAGCTGGGATTACTGGTGCACACTACCATGCCCATCTAATTTTTATATTTTTAGCAGAGACAGGGTTTCACCATGTTGGTCAGGCTGGTCTCGAACTCCTGACCTCAGGTGATTTGCCCACCTTGGCCTCCCAAAGTGCTGGGATTACAAGTGTGAGCCACTGCACCCAGCCGGCAACTCATTTTTCGTATCGACCAGACCAAAGCAATGTCCTCTGTGAATACATCTACCCAGACAGGGAAGAAGGAAACATCCAATTAAATCCCTCTGTACCGAAAGGAGGTGGAGGGGTCACAGATGAGTCATTAACATCTTAAAAATGCTGCAGAGATGGTGAAAATAATATAACCAAAATTCAAAAGAAAATGTACTAAAGATGAGGACATACGCAACAGGAAGTCACACCTACAGTGTAGAGAGTGCTTCTATGAGATGGAAATGCATCCAAACCCCAAAAGATAAAGGGCATGCATCCAACATCCACAGAAGAAGGGAAACAATTAGGCAAGGTCATCGAGGGGAAATGGTCAACGTTGATGTACGGCATGGGGATTTATCCTCAGGTAATAAACCAAAGAAGGAAAACATGGTTTGTACAAAGATGTCTGTGGCAGCCTTACACCTAAGAGAAAATGCCACTCACAATCTGCATGCTCAATGGTAGAGTGTGTACAGAGAAATATGTTATACAGCACATCATCGCCCAAATGGATCATGGAAAGGTCACTACAAATAATCATGAAAATTATATGGTGACATGGAGAAACATTTATCATACATCAGATTTTAAAAACTGTATGACAAAAATACATCTGGGTTATGATGACAGCTACGTACATCATTTATGCTCAATGCTATGGTCTGAAAAGGCACACTGATGAAATAGCTCATCCGTTAGGGTAGTAGGGACCATGGAGAATACATTTTTCATCTTCCCATTTTTTCTAACTCTATTTTACTATTGCCATTCGTGCAATGACTAAATGCTATTCAGTCCTCTTCAAAATATCCAGGACACACTTTTTCAAGCTGTAAAATGAGTAGAAGAGAGGGGAGGGTTGCTACACAATTTCCTCCAAGTGAGTCTCCTACAGCATCACAGCTGGAATGTGGCATCTTGTTGAAATGCAGATTTCAGATTCAGCAATGTGGGGGCGGGGCTCCCCAGTAATGCCAATGCTGCTGGGTTAGGGTTAAAAACAGGAGTCTACAGCATCTAAGTGACCAATATTGCCCATTTCTCCCTTCAGATTTTTTTTTTACTGCAGCCTCAACCATAGGGATCACTACACTATGTGGACAGCACTGGGATCAGAGAGGTGAGCATGGGACACATGGCACCCTGTGCACCTGCTTGAGGCCAGGCCTTTGTTGGCTCCTGGCACGGCCTGGCTGTCCCCCAGGGGAGGAAGGGGATTGTTCTTAGGAAAGCAGGTTGTTATTTCAAGCAAGGCAGCACCAAATCTCCCAGTGCACATCCTTCATAAAAAATCTTGCTTTCAAGATGAATTCTACGGCTCTTTCTGGTCAGGTTTCAAAGAGGTCCTCATCTGGAATGGGGTACTCAAATCTAAGAATGTGGAGACCCTGCCCACGTGCAGCGGGCCTGGTAGAGTCTTCAGAAAGAGTAGTCAGGGCCCCTGGCACCAGGGTACTTGTCAGCCTGGAACTCTGGAACTAGCAGGTGTTCCCCTTGACAGAATTAATTTGTGAACTGATAGGAAAGAAAGAAAGAAAGAGAGAGAGAGAGAGAGAGAGAGAGAGGAGGGAGGGAGGGAGGGAGAGAAGGAAGGGAGGGAGGGAGGGAGGGAGGGAGGGAGGAGGGAGGAAGGGACGAAGCGCGAAAGAAAGAAAGAGAGAGAGAGAGAGAAAGAAAGAAGGGAGGGAGGGAGGGAGGGAGGGAGGAAGGGAGGAAGGGAGGAAAGGAGGAAAGGACAGAAAGGAGGGAGGGAGGGAAAAACAAAACAAAACAAAAGCTATACAATCATTAACCAGTTTAAATGAACTTTTCCAGTGTCTCAGACAAGAGCATGTCCTTCAAGGACACATTCTCCTTAGGGGGAGAAGTGACATACTTTTTCATTCAATGCCTCTTCTGGGAAGAACAGACATCCTCTTGATCCTCCACAATGGCTGGGGACTTCCCCTACCTCCACCTGCCCTTTTAAACAGCTACTATCACCCATCCATCCATTCATTCCCACTCATTTACCTCCCAGCTCTCCAATCGCAAGATCTCTGTGTTTTTACCCAAATTACCATCTGGTTAGCATGAAGCACAAAACCAGAAAATATCAGGTCTTGCTTACTCCCCACCACGCTCTAAAGATAATCTTCTTTGACAAGAACTTGGCTAGCGATGCCATTTGTCACAATAAGACGCAGCATGTCACACGCTCTGCACAGCCCACGTCAATCCCTGAGGTGCCTTCACCACTGTTGTGGGACAAGCCCAGGCCCTGCTAAAGACCAAAGAAACACTTTGCTTTGGCCTAAAGCCCAGACCCAGGGTCCAGAGCCTCCTGGCCTTAGGGGTGAACTCTCCCAACACCCACTAGTACCATGGGAGCTCCTATGCATCCCACAGCCCCCTGTAAACACGGAATTGCTGTGAATGACAGGAACACCCCCAAAGTGAAGTCAACTGACACTTAACGTTCTTTAGAGAGAATACAAGACATTAAAATACAAGTGCTGAAAATCCAGGAGTCAATTAAAATATAAGTGCTGAAAATCCAATGATTTCCATTCCAAACCCAAGCTCTCAGTACACACACACACACACACACACACACACACACACACACACACACACTCAAATTCATGAACTCTTCTCGGAAAAAAATATTTAACAGTTAAGGCTGTAAAAAAATATGACAGAAGTCCACATAATTGGCCAAATAGAAGTTCCTTCACACAAGTCCAATAATCACATCTTCTTTATATACTCACAGTGAGGCTTTTTTTGGAAGGTGGCTTTTCAAATGTGTTTATTAGAATGCACGCTGACTTTGCTATAATTAAAATACAGTTATGCTGACATCCACTGCCCTCATTAGCATGCGTTTCTTCCCCGAGGTTTTGTCAAACCTTCAAAAAATCCTTTTCCAAATAGGTATTCACAGCTGATTGCCCATCAGGCCAAGGCCCCCGGGCTTTCAGAGACCCGTCCATTGTGAAATGCACTCTGGCCCCGACCCCAGCCACCAGGCCACCCAACACTGGCCGCAGCAGTGGGTGAGCACCAGCACCCCCACGTCTTTGCCACTGCCCTGCTGGTCTGAGTACACCCCTGAGGATTGAGGGGCTCTCCCACACATACTGCCCCACCATGAGCAGACCAGGGCAGTGGGCAAGAAATCGAACCTCTCTTCTAGGGTGGGAGGAGGGGTGTCTTCTGCGAGACACGAGTTGCCACTCAGCCCTCAACCGGCTTTAGTCCTGAGTCTGAGCGGTGAGCTTAAGAGTGGCCGGAGCATCCACGCAACATGTCTCCCAACTGGACCAATGAAGAGCTCAGCCACCATTAGAACTGTGAGGCACCCAGCACCCCCCACCGCCTCGCTTCAGCATCTGCAAGGCCTGTACCCTGAGGTCCCTTGCTCTCGGGCCCCTCTGCTCCCTTCCCCAGGACAGCCAGGGTCCTACCTGCTCGTGGGGCCACTTCAGCCTCTCTTCTGGGGTCCTGGTCTTGGGCTTGAAGCCTCTCTGGGGGTCTCCGGGGTGCTTGGCCTCGGGAAGGAGGTTCAGCGACTTGGGCCTCGCCTCGTGCCTGCTGGGGCTGCAGCTGGCCTTGATGGGTGGGCAGGCCTCTACAGAGTCCTCAGGCCCTGGCTCAGGCCCATGCTCGGGGCTGGCCTCACTGGCGCTGGTGATGCTGGTCATGCTCAGACTCATCTTGATCTCTGCCACGATCTGGTCAATGTCCTCCTCCTGGTCCTCCAGGTCCCCATCCCCACGCCTCAGGCGGTAGGGGGAGGCGCCGGTGTTCCCGTTGGCCTCCTCGGGGTAGTAGTCCTGGTAGCCCTCTTTGCTGGCACAGTAGTGACCATCTTCTTCCTGGTCATGGGCCTCAAGGACGGAGGGCTCATCCTCCGGAATGGGCAGTTGGCCGTCTGGGTAGTCCTGGCTGCCTTCAGCCTCGTGGCCGTGGGGGTGCGGGCCCGCCGAGTCCGTCCACTCCTCCACCGCCTCCTGGCACTCATCAGTGTCCACAGGGTGTGCACTGTGGGCCAGGTACTCCTCCCCGTTGCAGTCCATGCCCTCTAGGTAGCTGTCGTCCTCAGGGCAGTAGCGGATGTAGTAGGTGATGCCCTCCTCCTCCTCAGGGAGGCCCTCGTCATAGTCCTCCTCCTCAGAGGTGTTGTTCACGTAGTCAGAGCTGGAGTCCCCATCGGGGCTGTGGTTGTGGCACTCCTGTTCCTCTGGCGCGGGGCTCTCTGGCCGCAGGGCAGCCAGCTCCAGGCCCTCGGGCACATAGCCCTCCAAGGGCAGCTCCATGTCCTCGCTCTCGGGCTCCTGGCTGTGAGGGACAGGACCTGGTCTCACCCTATGGTCCAACATGCCGCTCCCCACGCTCTCAAGCTTCCGGTGGGCCATGGCAGTCGTTCACACAGCCATCATCACCCGGAGGCAGCCACTGTGGGGAGGAACATTGGGAAGGACAGAGTCAAAACCCCACAAAGCCCAGCCATGTGTGGGGCCACTTCACCACAGCACCTCCCACCACGTCCTCCCGCAGCCATGTGAGGGCACATCTGTTCAAACAGTGCGCCATCCCCACCCCCGCTAACTCATCATCAGAACAACACGCATCCACACCAAGGAGAACGAGGGCACACAGAGCTCCGGGAAAAGCAGTCAAGGGAGGCACCGGCAACTCACGAGGACACACGCCTCTCCCCAGGAACCTACCGGCTCATTCCTGACTTCTCACTCAGTTTGGGTAGCCCAGGTGACCAAGACAAATGGTCAGAAGATCAGGTTGTTTGCTCTCACGAAGAAAATGAGCAGCTTTCATTAAGAAGACATAATGAGGACCAATGAGGAGGGACAATAACTCTTCCCAATCTAAATCCATGACCCCTCAAAGACTATCTTGGGTACCTTCCCCTTCAGGCTTATCCCATCCTCTCCCTCCTCTTCCCCCTCAAACTGAACAATGTTCACCGAGGAACTGGATGCGCAGGGACCATCCAGGCTGAGCAATGTGCAGAAAAGCTCTACACAAGTCCCCAGCGTGGCAGGCTGGAGGGCTCAGCAGAGGGGACAGCACTGCTCGGCCATGGGGAGAAGAGGACAAAGGGTGCAGCCGCAGCCTGCAGGTATCGTGGGGTGACAGGGCAGCTGCAGAGACCTGGCAGGCCAAACTGGGAGAGGGCCTGGACCCAGTGCCCAGGACTCTGCACTTTATCCCCCAAACCACACGGCTATGGCCTTAATATGTCCCCCAAAGTTCATGCGTTGGAGACTTAATCCCTAATGCAACAGTGTTGAGAGGTGGGACCTTTGAAAGGTGATTAGGTCATGAGGGCTGTGCTCTCATGAATGGATTAATGTCTTTATCTTGGGAGGAAGTTCTTTATTGTGAGAGTGGGTTTGTTATAAAAGTGAGTTTGGCTCTCTCTTGCTCTCTTTCTCATTCTCCCTCACCTTCTCACCTCTGCCTTGGGATGACATAGCAAGAAGGCCCTTACCAGATGCTGGCACCTTGACCTTGGACTTCCCAGCCTCCAGAACTGTGAGAAACAAATCTCCATTCTTTATAATCAACCAGTCTTAGGTATTCTGTTATAGCAACAGAAAACAGACTAAGACATGTGCACAGTCACTGAGCCATTTTCAACATTTTTTCTTTTAGCCCTGTCTCTCTGGGCCTGGCGTGGGGACAGAGGCTAGAGGCTAGAGGCAGGGAGACCAGTGAAAAGGCTATTCTCTCTTCTGGGGGAAAGCAAGGGGCTAGCATCAGGAAAGTGGCACAGAGGACGTCCAAAAGTTTGCTTAACGTTCTACTTCTTTTTTTTTTTTTTGAGATGGAGTCTCGCTCTGTCGCCCAGGATGGAGTGCAGTGGCACCATCTCAGCTCACTGCAAGTTCCACCTCCTGGGTTCACACCATTCTCCTGCCTCAGCCTCCCGAGTAGCTGGGACTACAGGTGTCCCCCACCATGCCGAGCTAATTTTTCGTATTTTTAGTAGAGACGGGGTTTCACCGTGTTAGCTAGGATGGTCACGATCTCCTGACCTCGTGATCCGCCCACCTCGGCCTCTAAAAGTGCTGGGATTACAGGGGTGAGCCGCCACGCCCAGCAACGTTCTACTTCTTCAGCTAATTGCTTCCCCAAATGTTTGTCATATTCTTTAAACTGTACTCTTACATTACACATGCCTTTTTGCTTGCATGATAGTTCAATTATTTAAAAAAACATATTCCAGTAGTCCAGTTAAGAGCTTGCACACTTGAAAATGCTTAAAATGCTAAATTTTTTATGTCTATTTTACTGCAATTTTTAAAAAGAAAAAAAAGGAGAGCTTAAACTAAAACAGTAGAGAGGACAGTGGAGAAGTGGCTCAGTGAGGACCTTAGGTGGCAGAAGCAAAGGGATCTGGGCTCAGATGGGAGCAGGAAGTGAAGATGAAAGAGGAGCTATCAGTGACCCTCAGCAGTCACTGCCCGGGCTCTCATCTTGCCTTCCTGTACCTCCTCTTCCCCTCTTGTCTCTTTAGTTTAGGCCACAAACTCAAGGCCTTCCATATTGTGTATCCCCCCAGAGCTCCAAACACAGCACCTTGTTTGTAGTGGTGCCCAAAACACATCTTGTTATGAGACTGAGTGTACCAGATGGTCACGGTTACAGCAGTATGAATATTCCCAAAAGAACGAAGAAGGAGATAATTATTTCATCCAGTCCAGACACTCAGAGTGTGGGCACAATTACTGATGGAGCCACATGCTTCCAACGTGTGAATTCACTCCAAGGACACTTGACATCTAAAGAAGCAATGTTTACTCCGCCACCTGCACAGGCTTGTCCATGGCCGTGTTTCAGGAGCATCACTGGTATGCGGAGCAATTCACAGCACTCCCCCTAGAGTGGCCCACAGACAGCAAAGATGTCCCACACCAGGAAAATTGTCACTGAGATGGACCCTGCAGGGCCCGTCACCCCATTCGCAAACCCTGAAACTGGCAGGACAATTCGAAAGAGCTGTTCCCTAGAAGAGAACAAGGGGCCAGCACTCACTAAGACATCTGCAACCCAGATGTGTCAGAGGACACATCAAGAACACTGAGCTGCCTCAAAGACCACATATAACTTGTCACCAGATTTCTTATCTTCACAGAGGACAGCCAGCCACAAGAGAGAGGCTGCAGGAGTGATGTCAGGGACTTAGCAACCACAACTCTCAGACACAATCTCCAGTAACTACATTCCTCAAAACGGTCTCTCAGAAGCATGTGCTGAATGCAGCTGCTAACATGCAACCAGACGTCCATGTCTTGACGTCAGGACGGCAAAGGGCAGATGGTACATCACTGGCACATGAGCACACAGCTCCCATTCCTTGCATAGCGGTGCCATCTCTACAGCATCCCTGTTTCTCGCCAGGCTCTGACATCAAGCTGTGCACGTTGAAGGTATGCACATCCTTGTTAAGAGAACAAACTAAAGTACACAGTACTCTTGCTATCTTAACTTCAAAATCTCTGTCATTCGGGGGGATAAAATCTGTAATATGCACATATAAATATGTATACCAACACTAAATAAAATATTCTCTAGGCCAATATAGGACATAAGGACTAAAATACACATTACAGTAACATGGAACAGTCCAGATCCTATTAAAATGTTATTCAAGTTTTCAAAAATGAAAACACTGAGGACATTGTAGGAGAACTACAATAGAACCAGGAGTTTATTTTCCACTGGTGTTTCCTATTAGCTCTCCAAGCCTTCAGATGATTTCAGAAAAATTTATTCCAGATGTATAACACTACGACAACAATATAATTTGGACTATAATTACTCAATTCATAACTTACCACTGCTTCCTATACTTTTTGCATTTCTTTCTCTTGAACTATTTAGTGGGATTTCATTTTTATTTTGTAAAAATAATTGTTAGAGTCATTTTGTTTACTTAGGAGGTAACTCTTTTGTATCTATAAAATGGCTCTGATCTCACATAGAATGATACCTTTGCTAGGTATAAGATTATTGTATTGCATCCTTTTCACAATAATTTGCTAACACTGTTCCACTATCTTCTAGCTTACAGTCTCGCAGATGTGCATTTTAATACTATTCAGATTCTTTTTACCTTGGTACAAAAATCTATTCCTTCCGTCTGGAAGCTGATACAATTTCCTCTCCACTCTTAGAGTTCAGAAATTCCAGCAAACTATGTCTAGATAAGGGTCTTTTTTAATTTTATGAGGGTCTCATTAATTTTATGTGAGATTCATTTGGTGAGCCCTTTCCGAATCAAGTCCCACATCTTACTTTAGTTACAGGAAGATTCTTGCTATTTCTTTTTTATTTCTCTCCCTAATGGCCTTTTTCTCTTTCTGGAATATCTCTGGAATTTGCCCTCCAAATCACTGAACTTTACACTCATAGCACCCATTTCACATTTTTTTCTGTGTGGTATAAATTAGTTCCTCCATTTGACCTTCCAAAACACTAACTCACTTTTCAGCAAGATATAGCATGTGACCTGTCTTTGCTCTTGCTGGCAACAAAGGGCCCCTGAGACACCAGTGCATGTCTTTCAGCGACTGGTGGATGGCTGGGCAGTGTAAGATACAGTGGGAGAGGATTTTATGGTGAGCTGGAGGCAGTCAGGGTGGTCATCTGGGACTTCACTGTTGAGATGTGAAGAGGTGCCTGTATTTTTTAGGTATGACAGAGATAGGCTGTCCTCAGCCAGATCTGCTTGCTTCCAGGGAAAATGTCCACCCTTCCTAGAGGCACAGGAATAAGGTGCTCCCCTGAAACTCCCTGAGTCTGTGTGCTGCACCTGTCCCTAGCTCCAGAAGTTCCAGACTTTTCATGGGAGGGGTCAAACCTCTTCCCTTGGAGCAAGCAAATCCAGTCACTGTCTAGAATCCTTTATTTTTGACACTGAAATATTTAACCCATCAGAAAGTGTAAACACACAAGGTAGGGAGCAGCTTCATGTTCTCCACGATGGTTACCCCAGTGATTTTCAAGTTTTGTTACCCATTGAAAACCCTGATGCCCAGGTCACACCACATACCAATGAACCTAGAATGTCTCAGATAGGAACTAGGCATCAGTATTCATAAAAGTTTCCCAGGTGATTCCAATATACAGCAAAGTGTGGGCACCACAGCTTTACTCAGGTAACCCAATACCCTTTACTAAATAGACTATTCTGTTTCTCATGTTTTACAGTGACCAACCATCTCAACTTTAACACTCAAAGTCTCATGTCCCAGGAAACCCTCAGTTCCACAGGAACTGGGATGGCTGGTCACCCTGCGTGTCATACACTAAATTCTTTTTTTTTTTTTTTGAGACTGAGTCTTGCTCTGTTGCCAGGCCGGAGTGCAGTGGTGTGATCTCGGCTCACTGAAACCTCCACCTCCCAGGTTCAAGTGATTCTCCTGCCTCAGCCTCCCGAGTAGCTAGGACTACAGGTAGGTGCGCACCACCACGCCCAGCTAATTTTTGTATTTTTTTTTTAGTAGAGATGTGGTTTCACCATGTTGGCCAGGATGGTCTCGATCTCTTGACCTCATGATTCACCTGCCTCAGCCTCCCAAAGTGCTGGGATTACAGGTGTGAGCCACCCCGCCCAGCCATCATACACTAAATTCTTACATAAACTTAGATCTGTCCCTGGACTTTCTAGTCTACATCATTTCTATCTGCCCAGCAACAGTACCATGCCATTTTCATTATTATGAATTTAGAGCATATTTTAATACGACATAAGGCAAGTTCTCTCTCATTATTCTCATTTTGTCATCTTCCCCTGCTATTTTCACATTTATTCTCCCAAAAGAACTTAAGAGTTAGTGGTTCCAAGTATCCCCAATATTCCACTGAAATTTTGGCTGGAGTAACTTTAAGTTATAAATTACTTTAGGGAATTTTTTTTTCTTTTGAGACAAGGTCTCGCTCTGTCGCCCAGGCTAAAGTGCAGTAGCACGATCCCAGCTCACGGCAGTCTCTGCCTCCTGGGTTAAAGTGATTCTTGTGCCTCAGCCTCCTGAGTGGCTGGGATTACAGGCATGTGTCATCACCCTCCGGCTAATTTTTGTATTTTTTGTAGAGATGAAGTTTTGCCATGTTGGCCGGGTTGGTGTCCAACTCCTGCCTCAAGTGATCAGCCACCTCGGTTTCCCAAAGTGCTGGGATTACAAGAGTGAGCCACCGTGCCCCGGCCTCAGAAATTATTCATACTTACAATACTGAGTCTTTTTACCCAATTTCACCCAAAAAAATCTTCCTATTTATTGAAGTCTTAAATGTCTCTCAACGGCTTTGTAATTTTCTTTATAGCTGTAGACATCTCATATTAAGTTTTTTCTTAAATATAATATTTCTGTGGCTGTTGCGAATAGATCTCTTCCTTATATATTTACCTGGTTATTGTTGGCATACAGAAAAAAAATGATATTGATTTTGTAAAAATAGATTTTACTAAGCTATTTTTAAATCCTAATAGTTTTTAGTTGATAATGTTTTTCTAGGTAAATGATGTCACTTTCAGAAGTCACCATTTTGCTTCCCCTTTCCGGCATGTGGTCATCTTGTCTAACTACCCTGCCCTGCACTTCCCTGAGGAGTTAACAATGGCACTAACAGGCACCCTTGACTTATTCCTCATTGCAATGAAAATGCTTTCACTTTACGATGGCTGAACCAGGGGGAGATCAGGGAGGCCCCAAAAACCTAAGCAATCAAAAATAAATAATATTTTAATGCAATGCTTTAGAAATCAAAACTAAGGCAAAATAAATCCATGATGAACAAAATATCAAAATTGTAAATGAAGATAGGATTGGTATTCCTGATTTTTCCTGTTGCCTCAGGCTGCAATATGGCTTGGCTGTGGACTGGTAATGATCCCGTTTTTCACCATGACTACAATGCTAGCGCTGGCTAATGGCAGCTCTTTTCCTGAGTTTGACACCACAGACATTCTGATCCAGCTCTCTTTCCCATGAGTGCAAAGGGTAAGGGACCCACAGCAGCTACCCAGAAGGCAGCCACGTCTTCAAAGACTCCACAGAATTACACGGAACCTACTGGGGCACTTTTGGTATAAGACAAAGAGCCCGCCTGTTAAAGATGAAGACTGAAGGTCCTTGTTTCAATTCAGACCTCTGTTTACTGTGAGGCCTGGGGCAAGATATTTAATGGAGAGATGGCCTTCCCCTCCTTAGGAAACTGAAAATGACAGTATGTGCCTGCAGGGCTTGAAGCGAGTTAAAGAAGAGAGCAACCAGTGCAGGCCTGAACTCCATAAACACTACATAAAGGGAGTTAAGGAAAATGTCAATGAAATGGTCCAGGAGAGATGCCTGATGAGGTGAATGTCTTAGATGGGAACGGGGAACTCTGCTGACACAGGTGGCTGGGAGTGGCTGTGGCCAGATGACACTGTCCCTGGCTATGTATGCAAATTGCATCCCTGCAGTGGGATATGGGTGCATCTTGGAGGGACTGAGGAAAGCAGGGAGAGGTCCTTGTGAAAAGCCAAGAGTCACTCCTCCAATGCAGTGATTCGCTCACTTTGGTGGGCACAAGGCCCACCTGGAGAGTGTGCAGGTTCATGGCCCAAGATTCCAAGGTTGTGGGCCAAAGGCCAGGTCTAGAGCTGCAGGTGGTTCTCATGTTGGAGGTCCAAAGACTGCACTTGAAAACTCTGCCCTAAGTAGATGCTTGCAGGTCTCTGATGACGGCCCAGGGAATGGATCTGACCTCCTTGTCAACAAATACAAGGCCCTCACCAAGAAGCCTAGGCCCACCACATTCCAAGCCTTCTTCCCCTACTCCAGGGGGTGGAGAGCAAGGACAACTGTCCCCAGCTTCTTCAAACAAGGGCAAAGGTGGGTGGCCTGGCAGGACGGGGCTATTCAGAGCACAGCAGATAATTCCCAAGACACAAAAGTGGGGTGTGGCCAAGGGGAGGTGAGAAGGAAAGGTGGGCAAAAACGTAGGTAGAAACAAGTGGTTCTTTCAAAGAAAGTGTTCTCCTACTGGATTTCTGGTATCTCATTGAGTTCACTAAAAGCATATTCCTGCAAGGAACTAACACATTGCCTTTTGCACAGAAGCAGTTTGCAGCCTTATGATAAAGAATTCCATTTAACACACCTCAATGTGTAAGCAACTTTTTCAGGAAGCCCTTTAGTGCCTGAAGGAAGGTCCCACATAGCTGCCAAATCCCACCTTTCCGGGCTGCCAGACTCTCAAAACGTCTGGTCAAAGAATCTCCAATTACTTTAACTGCATACTCCTTCTAGGGATACAACTGTTATATGGGGACAGCTGCCCTGTAGGAGGGCAGGAGAGAGCCGGAGATATGACTAATCATCTAGCACATCATTTGTGAAACTGATGTGGGCAGACTTCTGTACTCAGAGGGTGACTGTTTCTGAGGGCACATTACTTCCCAGCAACAAGGACTACAATCTGTTTTGCTCTGTGTTCTTAATAGGAAATATAGAGAGGAATGGATGCCCACTCACAGTTGTTCCACCCATAGAAAGCCAGTGTTTGTTTGGTGGTTTCTTTCTTTCCAGTCTTTTATCTGTGCATCTCTTTTGCATAGCCGAGACCTTACTGTAAACACAAATCCATGTTGTTCTCTTTTAACATGCGGTAAGCAACACAAGCTCTCCATAGGTATCATTTTAATGGCTACATCCTATTTCCCAGCTGAATAGATATCATCTGACCACTACAGACTGAATGTTTGCATCGCCCCCAAAATTCACATGTAGAAATCCTGACCCCCAGTGTGATGGCATTAGGAGGTGGGGTCTTTGGGGAGTGATGAGGTCATGAGGGTGGAGCTCATGAGTGGGACTGTGCCCTTATGAAAGAGACCCCAGGCCGGGCGTGGTGGCTCATGCCTGTAATCCCAACACTTTGGGAGGCCGAGGCTGGCAGATCACATGGTCTTGAGTTTGAGACCAGCCTGGCCAACATTGTGAAATCCCATCTCTACTAAAAATACAAAAAAAAAAAAAAAAAATTAGCCAGGCATGGTGGCGTGCACCTGTAATCCCAGCTACTTGGGAGGCTGAGGCAAAGAGAATCACTCGAACCTGGGAGGCGGAGGTTGCAGTGAGCCGAGATCACGCCATTGCACTCCAGCCCAGGTGACAGTGCGAGACGAGAGAGAGAGAGAGAGAGAGAGAGAGAGAGAGAGAGAAGGAGGGAGGGAGGGAGAGAGGAAGGAAGGAAGGAAAAAAGAAAGAAGAAAAAGACCCCAGAGAGCTGCCTTGCCCCTTTCACCATGTGTGGACACAGAAAGAAGATGGCCACCTATGAACCAGAAAGCAGACAGACCTCAGCAGACACTGAATCTGCCCATACCTTGATCACAGACTTCCCAGCCTCCAGAGCTGTGAGAAATAAATGTCTGCTGTTGGAGCCACCAAGTCTATGGTGTTTTTTGATATAGCAGCCTGAGCTGACTAAGACACTAACTATTCCCCTGCTGAACCCACATTATGTCCTGGTTTTGCATAATAAGTAATGCTGTTTATTCTGTTTCCCTCAGAATATACTATAGGCCTTTTCTCCCCTCCCAGAGCCTTTATCCAGGACCCTTTGACGCTGTCTTTGCTGCATACAGTGTCAATCCAAGGCCCAGGTCCCCATATGAGCCCAGGGGGGGTGTGGCCAGGAGAGAGTTAACCATCTCTACAGTGGGGGCTGGGGGCTTTGCATTGCAGAGCATGTATGCAAACACACTCAGGTCCTTTGCTTCTAGTCAATCATATTAAAGATAAATCCTGTACAACACACCATCTGGAAAGCAATTCAAATGTACAGGAGAAGCATGATTACCTGCTACATGTCCAAGAAAATGAGTCTCCATGTCCAGACTCAATTAATTCTATAACAGCACATAAATCAATAGCTAATGCGGCCCCCGACACCGTGCTCACCACTCGCCTCCTGAAACATTCTAATTAGATGTGAGAAATAAAGGCTCATTGTCAACAATAAAGAGCTCCAGTGTCCTTATTCTAAACCATGTTTTTCTTTTGCACGGGAAAATAGCATTAGCTGGTGCTTAGAAGAGCTAGTAATATAGCAGACCAGATGAAAAATAGCTATTCAGTGACCACAATACAGGCTGGGTGAAAACGTATCATACAAATGAGAAACAGACTCAGCCAAATTGTTCCTGACACCAATCTTGTCCCCCATTTGGTCTCACATGTTGTAAAGATAATATTATTTTGTTCCTTTCAAATATAATTTAGTTGCTTTCACTATACACTATACATGATGTGGGTTTGAACAGTCCTGGAGAATGCTTGTATAATCAGCCCAAGCATTCCAGACAAAAGTCACCGAATAAGTATTTCACTTCAAGATCACAGGCAACCGCAAGCTCTGAAAGGACACTAATAAATTAATCTTCCAAAAACAATACTGATATCCAACACTGTCAAGCAAGGCTCTCTAACCTAGCTTAGGGTCACAAAGGGATGTGTTCTCTTTGGAAAACGGCAGTGAAATGGACAAAAATATTGAGCACACACTAAACCTTCAATAACAGGATCCTAGATAAATCAGTGTTAGCACTTCCACAAGACAATTTTGTGGCATCTGAAATATTTACAAAAGGCTTAGCATGTAATATGTATTGTTATGATTTATTCACAACAAATAAACACAGAATCAACTGTGAAGAAATGCATTAAGACGTTAGCAAGGGCTGCCTTCGAGTGATGGGACAATGGTACCTATTTCCTTCCTCTAGTCATTCCTGGCTATAGTACTTCTACAGACAAATAACATAAAAAAGACAAGCATAAAAAAGCCCAGGAAGCCTTGGGCAGCCATACCTGTCAGGTGACATTTCTGCGGTGGGAAGGGTGTTAAGTCTCAGCAGCCCTTGGAAGAGGCTTGGGGTTAATGTTGGGCCTAACTTCTTCCTTCTGGGCATTCAATATGCTGAGACATCTGCCCCACTGCATCCTCATCTCGAAATACGCAAAGGGCGATGATCTGCCCTTTAAACATCATTAAAATTGCTGTCAGACCTTCATCATCAATACTAGTCTCCAGGAAATGGCATTTTCAATATCTCACAATGTAGTCCACGCCTGAAAGCAGCATTAATGCCGTAACAGGAACAGAGTAACTGTGTGCACTTCTGGCCTGGCCGGTATTTGCTGTTCTTCCTGGGTTACGTCTAACAGTAAGAAGTCAACTCTCTCCCACAAGAACTTCTGGAAATAGCGGTGCCTTGGCAAAGTCTACCTCTGCATGTCATGTTTGCTCCTGGATGCCTTTAGGGGAAAAGCGAGGGTCCAGATAAGAGGGCAACTGAACACAGAACGTTACCAGCACTGACCTTTTTCTTAACATGCTGGAGAAAGGGGCGCAGCTTCTGCAGCTGCCAGGACCCCGTGCAAAGAAGTACACTGCTAAATACACCCTCTACCAGATCCATCCTCAGAGACAAAGAAATCTGTCACCCCCAGAGAAGCGGCCACAAGACTCGGGGGGAAAAGTCTGCTTCTGCTTGTTGCCCTGTGATTTTCACATTTTTCTAGTCATTTCCAAGTGCATACAGTACTGTGTAGATTTAAAATAAGCCACATCCGTGTTATGGCTGAATTATGTCCCCTCAAAATTCATATGTTTAAGTTCTCATCCCCTGTACCTCAGAATATACTTTGTTTAGAAATAGGATCACTGCAGCTGGGTGTGGTGGCTCACTCCTGTAATCCCAGCACTTTGGGAGGCCGAGGCGGGCGGATCACAAGGTCAGGAGACTGAGACCATCCTGGCTAACACAGTGAAACCCTGTCTCTACTAAAAATACACGTGGTGGCATGCACTTGTAGTCCCAGCTACTCAGGAGGCTGAGGCAGGAGACTCTCTTAAACTCGGGAGGCAGAGGTTGCAGTGAGCTGAGATCGGGCCACTGCACTCCAGCCTGGCAACACAGTGAGGAAAGAAAGAAAAGAAGAGACAGCGAGAGAGAGAGAGGAAGGGGATTACTGCAGATATAATTAGTTGACATACAGTAATTTGCGTAGGCCCTAACCCAATAGGACTGGTGTCCTCTAAAGAGGGGAATTGTGGAGACAGTCACACAAACAGGATGAAGGCAGGGCTCTAAACTAGGGAACATCAAAGATCGCCAGCAAACCACCACAAGCAAACGGAGACGCATGGGACAGACTTTCCCTCACAGCCCTCATGAGGCACCAGTCCTGAGGACACCTCAATCTGGGACTTCCAGCCTCCAGAACTGAGACAGTAAGCTTCTGTTGTTTATGCCACCCAGTCTGTGGACTTCTTACAGCAGCCCTAGAGAACTAAGAAAGTCCATAAGGATCATGTGCCCTTTATTCAAAGTTCAGAGTTCCCTTGTTTTTCATCTTCTGGGAAATTCTCCCGCATGTAATCAGGAATATTTTTTCACCAGGGATCTAACCATTGTTTCCACTATTGATCCCTTATTTTTCTATATAAATTTTAGAATCCCATTATCAATATCTAGTTTTTTAAATCCTGCTGGAAATTTGATTGGGATTGCAATGAATCTATAGGTCGATTTGGGGAGAATTCACAACTATACTGAATCTTCCAAAATATAAATATATCTTTCCATGAGTTGGGTCTTTGATTTCTCTCATCAGTATTCTTTAGTCTCCAGCATACGGATCTTGTATATTTTCTTATTTATATGTAGTTCTTTCTTTTTTGGGGGGATGCTATTGTAAATGATACCTTTTTTTAATAATTGCTTTTTTTTTTTTTTTTCTGAGACAGGGTCTTGCTCTGTCACCCAGGCTGGAGTAAAGTGGCACAAATATGGCTCACTGCAGCCTCAACCTCTGGGGATCAAGTGATCCTCCTGCCTCAGCCTTCTGAGTAGATGGCACTACAGGTGTGTGCCACCAGGCTCAGCAAAATTTTATTTATTTACTTATTTATTTAGTAGAGAAGAGGTCTTACCATATTGCCCATGCCGATCTTAAACTCCTGGCTCAATGATCCTCCCACCTTGGCCTCCCAAAGTGCTGAGACTACAGGCATGAGCCATCACACCTGGCCTACTCATTTCTTAAACTCATTTTTCTTTTATTCAGGATAATTTCTATTGATCTACTTAGAGCTAACTTAGATTCTTTCTTCTGTCATATACATTTGCTTTTGAACTCATCCAGTAATATTTTTACTTCATTCTAAAATTCCTATTTTTTTCTTTTTTTTTTCATATTGCCCTGCTGCGAATTTCTATGTTTCTGTTAATTTCAGAACTGTCCATCTTTTACCTCATGGAACATGGTTATAACAGTCACTTTAAAGTCTTTGATAATTTCAACATCTATGTCATCTCAGGGTTGACATTTGTTAATTGCCTTTTCCCTTGAGAACTGGGTCATTTAAAAAATATTTTTAATTGATTGACTGAAGAATTAGTCAGATTTTTTTGCTTCTTTGTATCCCAAATAATTGTAGATTGCATCCCAGATCGCTTTAATATGTACATTTTAACCCTGATTAAAAATGTTGAATGAGAGAGAATGTTGAGAATGTAGAGAATGTTGATTTTCATGTGTCTGCTTCATCAGACGATAAATCCACTCAGGTTGAGAACACAAGCTCTGGTTCCCCTTCGTTAGGGGATGGAGTTAACGTCAGTGCGGTTTCAAAACCCTTTGCTGTGCTCTGTGAGTTGGCTTCAAGCACGAGCTATTCAGGGATTAAGTCTGGGACCCGGGCCACGGTTTCTATTGCAGCTTAAATCCAAAGCCTTTGCTATGGTTCTCTGGGTATATCCCATACATGGAGTTGGTTCAGAAACATAAATAAACCCTCTTTTCCAGATTTCCCCTCTCCAAGATTTCTTCCATATTCCGCTACTACCAGATGCACCTTTTCCTGGTTCCTCTGCCCATAAAGTTGGGGCTCTCCCAGAGTTTTAGCCTAACACATCACACTCTTTCACAGTTTCTTGCAACTGCAGCCCCTGCTGAGGGCAAAGCAGAATGAGAAAGAGAAAAAAATGGGGATTCTTCCCACCACCTTTATGCAACAACCGGTTCCTCCAACCAGAGAGTTGGATTTTCTCTCAGGGTAGTAGGTGCTACTGCTCTGGGTCTGGCAGGGCCAGGAGAGAGGAAAAGACAAAACAAAACAGTGATCCCTCCTAATCTTCAGCTTGCAGCGTTCCTCTTTTCAACCCTCTGGCCACAAAGATGGGTTTCTCACAGAGTTTTGCTGCCTCTGCCCACTGTGCTATTTCCCAAATCAGTCAGCACTCAGATCAAAGGAGGGAAAAAAACCCAACCACAGAAACTCTATTCTAATGTGCTGCGCATTCAAGCTCCAACCCCCTTCCCGATGGGGTTGCTTTTCATTCTGTTCAGAGTTTTGAGTTCTAATCCGTGAGTGGAATGGACGATAGTGGGCTTACTCCATCCTGGACAGCACTGATGTCATCCATGGATCTCTTTACAGATTTGGGGAGGTACATTAAGTTAAAACCTGTTTATTTTTACTTCATTCGATTAATCAGACACTGCCCATCAGCGTTCAGCTAGGCTTGACATCATCAGCATTATCATCGGCAGGAAAGGTCACGCCACACGAAAACTGGCAGGCTGTGGTCCTCGGGCCTAAACCCCGGTTGGATGCTAGAATCAACCTGAGGAGGTTTAAAAAATATCAATTCCTGGATCCTGCCCCAGCTCCATGAGGTCAGAATTTCTGGGTGAGGAGAATTTGGACACTCTGGGTGGCTGACATGCAGCCAAGGCTGAGAACCACTATAATGAATATGACAAAAATGTGAAGGGTCCATGGTCCCATCATATCTTAGGATTCACAGTTTCTGATGGGGAGCTGGATGCCAGGAGGATAAGGAGGAACTGAGGAAGGAATGAGAGAGTTACGCTGTTAAGGGCTGGCCTGACAGCCTCTCCTCTACCACTCCCTGCTGCAGATATCCCAGGTCTTTGTGGTAATAAGATACGACCTTCTTTAATAACACATAAAACTTCAAAGGCCCTGTCTGACCCCCTCACAGGAATCTCCCTGGTGGGCCTTAGGGAAGCAATGCAACTCCTCAGCAGCAACCCTGATACACACACACACACACACACACACACACACACACACACACACACACACACACACACACACACCCTGACATACAGCTGAAATAAGGCTGCATGCTCAAAGGACACTTTCAAGGCAGCATATCTCCCCGCTTCATCTTCTTCCTTGATCAACAATAGTAAATCATCTCAAGGTCCTTCTAAAAAATGCATGCGCCAGGCGTAGTGGCTCACACCTGTAATCCCAGCACTTTGGGAGGCCAAGGCGGGCAGATCATGAGGTCAGGAGTTTGAGACCAGCCTGGCCAACATAGTGAAATCCTGTCTCTACTAAACATACAAAAATCAGCCAGGTGTGGTGGCGCACACCTGTAATCCCAGCTACTCGGGAGGCTGAGGCAAGAGAATCATTTGAACCCAGGAGGTGGAGGTTGCAGCGAGCCAAGATGGCCTCACTGCACTCCAGCTTGGGCAACAGAGTGAGACTTCGTCTCAGAAAAAAAAAAAAAAAAAAAAAAAATGCCTGCATATAGGACAGAGCCAAATAGGAAGTGGGTGTGTGTCCCTCCAGGGCCCCTACTCCAGACAGAGTCTGGGCTTCTGTCCCCACCGTTCACCTAATGCTTCAGTACTATCTTGAGGGCTCTAATCGCAGGACCAGGAAGCTCAACTGTCAGAGTTGCAAAGTGCAGCGTTGCTGATTTGGTTCAGCACTGTGGAGACAGGACAGGAAACCAACCCATACCACGGAAAAATGCACAATTATTTTCAAAAGCTAACCATTCAAGGATGACCTACGGTTTCAATCCCCCAATCCTCTGAGCTTCTCCATAGCTGAGGTTCTGTGAATTCCCAAGTAGCCCTCGGAAGATAGGTCACTTGGAGCCAGAAAAGGGGATTTCCCAGGTGCTGTGGAGGGACGTGCCTGGAGAGGAGCTCTGTGGTGAGCCAGAGTCCCCCAACACCAAAACGAAGAGGAGACCCTGGAGTTCAGACAGTGTGGGGAAGGCAGAAGTTGTTGTCAAAGCACAGAGCTGGCAAGCACAGCACCAGCTGCCTTGGCTAGAGCTTACAGAGTCCTGGGGGGCAAAACCAGAGGTGCCAGCCAGAGAGTGGACTGGGCCCAGGGTGCAGGACACCAGGATCCATGGGGAAGGCAGTCCCTCTGCTATGGTTCAGAAGTCCCTGCCAATACTCATGTGGAAATTTGATTGCCATTATAACAGTATTAAGAGACAGTATGCTGAAGAGGTGATTAGGCCATGAGGACTCTGCCGTCAGGAATGGATTAATGCCATTACCCAGGGAGAGGGCTCCTCATAAGAGGTTAAGTTTAGCCCCTATCTTGTCTCTCTGTCTCTTTGCCATGTGATGCCTTCCACCATGTTATGAGGCAGCACAAAGGCCCTCACCAGATGCTGGCACCATGCTCTTGGACTTCCCAACCTCCAGAACTTTGAGCCAATAAACTTCTTTTCTTTATAAATTACCCAGTCTGTGGTACTACGTTATAAGAGGACAAAATGGACAAACACACCCTCTAACAAGGAGAGTCAAGGGTCCCAGTCACTCTGGCCTGATTTCTTCCAGCCCCACGTAACTCTGGCTGTCTCTCTCTGCTTGCCTCAGGTCCTCACCCACAAAAGACATGTAAAGACCCTCCTCTCCTGAAAGGCCTGGAAGCTGCCCCTCTAATCCCAACAAACCCTCAGAGGCACTGGCCATGGTGATGGGCAACCTGTAATCTCACACGATGATTCACATCATCCTTCTGGTAACTCACCCCAGGCTGTTTGCCTGGTCCCTAGAACCATCTTTAACTTTCTGTACACGGTGGCTACACACCCACCCAGTCCATAAGCCAATGGAGGCAGGGGCTGCATCTCATATTTAAGTGTGCTTTGGAGCTACCAAGACGGGTTCAATGATAGCTGCTAAAAGGGTAAACATGAAATTCAAATGCTTAAATTAAACTCCACTGGATAAATTACAGGTTACTCAATCACTTTGATAAATGATTATCTTCTGAATAAAAATTCTCCCAAAAGATGTCTTTAAGTAGCAAGTTTCTCCTAGCTTATTTTAAACAATTTAACTTTTATTTTAAATAATTTTATTTTAAATAATTTAACTTTATTTATGCAAAACTTTCTCTTTTTTTTTTTGGAGACAGGGTCTCTCTCTGTTATCCAGGCTGGAGTGGACTGGTGTGATCTCAGCTCACTGCAACCTCCACCTCCCAGGTTCAAGCAATCCTCCTACCTTAGCCTCCAAAATAGCTGAGATGACAGGTACACACCACCTTGCCTGGCTAATTTTTGTATTTTTTATAGAAACAGGGTCTCACCATGTTGCCCGGGCTGGTCTCAAAGTCTTGGACTCAAGCAATCTGCCTGCCTCAGCCTCCCAAAATGTTGGGATTTCAGGCATGAACCACCATGCCTGGTCTACTTACTGCACAACTCCTAAACAAATGTTACCACTGTAAGAAGCAGGGAACTCTGGGGTGTTCAGCAGGAGATGATGTAAAAGAGGTGTGGGAGTCACCTGCTGGGCCTCTGGCCACCCCTCCTTTGAAGGCCACCTGAGGTCTCTGCACCCCAAACCCTCATACACAGTTCCCCAGTCCAGTGGGGAGGCCCCATATCGCTTGCTGGGGTGGAGGCAGCTTCACCCACCACCCGACCAGGTTTCTCCAGAGCTGCTCCCACCACCCCTTGGCTCAGCAGCACTGCCTCCCATCCTAGCTGTGCACCCTGTGGCTACTAGTGAGGCTCGCTTTGAAGTGAGCATCTCTGCTGAAGCACCCCTTCCTCAATGCAGGTGATGCTCATCCTCCCTGAAGGAGACCTGGGGACATTTGTCTACTAAGCAACATTTTCTTCCCCAAGAAATACCTGGTAAGGGGAGAGTCTGTAGATATGTTAAAAAAAATAGTTTTTTAAGACAAAAAATATATATATATGTATTCAGGCCATCTGTCAGGCACTGAGGCCTGGGCAAGGAGGTGTGGCTGGTGGGTGGCGGGAAAGCATAGGGGGGTGAGGGCTCTGCCTACAAGGACACAAGGGAGGGGCAAGGCAGCCTCTGGCAATGAACCCTGGCACCTCTCCAGCCTCCCGGGCCCAGCCCTGAGCCAAAGGGCACAGCCAGGGCCAGGTAAGGGGGTCACCAGCGGTGGAGTCCCTGGGCCTTGGCTTGCAACCAGGAAGGTTGCCAAAGCTTCCCCAGGTAGGGGGGCGCTCCGGGGTGACAGCTGGCACCCTGAGGGGTCCATATTCAGCTTCAGATCTTTGTCTGCTCCTGTCCTCTCTGGCCTGCTTTGCATCCCAACAGTTCCTTCCCATGCAGCAGAGCCACCTGCGGGGCTTCTGGCTCCCAGCCCTAGAGCTTCTGGCTCAGCAGGTCAGGGGGAGGCTGGGAGTGTGCACTGCTCACACATGCCCAGGGGATGCTGAGGCTGCTGGTCCAGGGCCCGCACGTCACGGAGAACCCCTGCTTCGAACGTGGAACACCACATCGATTTCTTGTCACATAATGAGCCAGCAGTCTCCCTGCTGAAATCAATAATAAAAATCCCATGATGATGTCCCAGAAAAACACATTAGCAGCTTCCACAACTGAGACAGACTACAGTTAATCATCACATGGCGCCCCCAAGGTCCCCACACACACCCCTAATTCCACCCTCACTGAACATGAGAGAAACAGGATTTCCAGGCCACATCCACTGTCACTTAACTGGCCTGAGCAGGGTCCCAGCACCAGAGCCCTACCTGAGATAGTAGTCGATTCATGCTTTCCCCTCAAACTGGGAAACCACACCCAAATGCCCTCCCAGGCTGTTCCTGAATCTATTTTTTAAGATCTGATGGCTATTTACTAATTAATCCTAATGACCCCACGATTGCAATCATTCGATGTTCTCTGCCCCGGTAGCAAGCCCTTACTCCTCTGCCTGTCTGGCAAGACTGAAGGAAGGGCAGTGGCCCCAGGTGACCAGGCCCCAAGCCTAGCAGCCCAAGCAGAGGCAGCACTCCCTCCCCTGCAAGAACAGCCTGCACTTGCCCATCAATTGCCATTAAAGTCCAGCCAAAATGTGAGACCTGGGACCTGAATGCTAGCTAGCTGCTAGACAGAGACACCAGGCCAGGGCCCAGGGAAGAAGGACCTCCCCGGGAGCCTGTGGGTGGAAGTCATCTTTATTCCTGCCAAACTTCCCATTCTGTCATTGTAATGTAAAAACCTATGGCCAAGAATCCAAAGTTCAAACACCCACCACAGAGTCTATTCCAGGGCTTCTTGAAGTGTGGTCCCTGGGCCAGCAGCATCAGTGTCACCTGGGAACTCCACAAACACAGAAACTCTTGGGCCCTCCCCCAGACCAATGAAAACTCAGGGGCAGGACCCTGAAGTCTGCATGTTAAAAGATCTCCAGGGGATTCTGATGCCTACAAGTCTGAGAGCCACTGCTGTAGGGTAACACTTCATTCATTCTGAATATGCACTTCACAGTCTGTGCCCCAGCAAGTCAGGGCAGCCTGTAAAACTGACATTGGTTCCAAGTGTCACTCTTCAAAGTAAACAAATAGCATGCATACACCCTTCCTAACACTTTCATTTCATGTAGTCTATATCCAAGGGGTTGTGTCAGGCCTGAAATCTAAAGGAACCCCAAGCCCCACTCTTTATTAACCACTAAGTCATGGCAATCAGTTGGTGTGTAATAAAGAACTTGGCTGGCCTTCTGGTACCTTGGAGGGAGCCTCTACATCCTTGGAATCTCCAAGTGATAGGAGTGTCCTTGTTATTCGTGGTGCGTTCCAAAGTTTATGCAAAAGAGATGACTCAGGATGGAGGTTGGTGATGCCAGAGAGGCCAACTAGCTACTAGAGGGTTGGGGCTTTGAGACAGGAGACACGGGCTACCAGCCTGACTTCTGGGAAGGCTAGATATTGAGCTCAACCACATGGCCAACAATTTAATCAATTCACTGATTCAATTCATCATGCATCATACCTACATAAAGAATCCCAAATAAAAACTCTAGACATTGAAGCTCAGGTGAGGTTCCTTTTTTGGCAATACTCTTTGATTACTGTCACACTTGGATGCTGGGAGGATAATGCATCTCTGAGGACGCCAAAGCTTTGCATCTGGAAGCCTCCCAGACTTCACCCTAGGTGTCCCTTCTTCTTTTTTTTTTTTTTTTTTTTTTTTGAGATGGAGTCTCACTCTGTCGCCCAGGCTGGAGTGCAGTGGTGCCATCTCAGCTCACTGCAAGCTCCACCTCCTGGGTTAACGCCATTCTCCTGCCTCAGCTTCCCGAGTAGCTGGGACTACAGGCGCCCGCCACCACGCTCGGCTAATTTTTTAAAAATATTTTTAGTAGAGACGGGGTTTCACCGTTATTAGCCAGGATGGTCTCGATCTCCTGACCTCGTGATCCAGCTGCCTCGGCCTTCCAAAGTGCTGGAATTACAGGCGTGAGCCACCGCGCCCAGCCAGGTGTTCCTTCTTTTGTCTGGTTCTGGGTTGTAAATTTTTGCTATAATGAAACTGTCATTGTTAAGTATAATGGTGTTCTGAGTTCTGTGAGTCATTCTAGCAAATTATCTAATTTAAGACTGGTCATGGGAACCCCTGACCAGCTGGTAAGAAGTAAGGATGGGCCTGAGGACCCCTGAATTTGGGGCTGGTGTCAGAAGTGAGGGCAGTCTTGTGGAAGACTGTGCCCATAACCTCTCGCTTGGCTGACTTTGGAGAGTTGAGGAAGCAGGTTTTGAATCAGGGGTTTAAGGCACAGGGAACTATTAATACATGGTAGGAGAAGAAGATGGGTAAGACCATTCCTGTTGTGGACAGAGAGGTCTTACCACATAAACCAAGGAAAGGGAATGTCAAGAAGAGGTGTCAGGTGCAGAAAGGACATCAAAGAGGAGAGGGCTGGGCAGCAGACGTGGGCCTTGTCTAACCCTGATCCCAGATCGTCCTTCTGGAGATGTCTAGTGCAGACCTTCTCCACCTGCAGCACATGCACAGATCACCTAGGCATCTGGCTGGTATGCCAATTCTCGTTCAGAGGCTGGGGTGGGGCCCACAGTGCAACCTCAGAGGGGCCAGCCCTGAGTGATGCAGCTTGGATAAGGATGGCAAACGCTCCCATTCCTCAGCACACAAGAAAGCCCAGATCTCACCACAGAGCCATCTCGCCACAGCTGTGGGCAGAGTCCATGCTCCCCATGCTGCAGCTGGCCAATCAGTGTGTCTGTCTGACCTGTCCACATGTACTGTCCGCCTTCTGTGTGATTTCCACAGCAGGGGTGGAGCAGCCCACAAAGAAAGGATCCGGGATCTGGTCTCAGAGGCAACAGCCCCAGAGGCACAGAACCCAATGAGATGAAAAGTACTGAGTGCCACAGTCTTGTAGGAACTGGATCTCAGAAAACTGAACAGGGCTGGGCAGTGCTACTAACATAAAGGCATATTTTGGCATGGGGCTGTGCTTTGGGGATGGAGGGTCCAGGAGACACATGACTTCTGACTCTGAGGCTGTCCCAACTCAGAAGTTAGTGAGATAGCCAAATAGATCACCAGATGAAAAAACTACAGTATTAGGAATTTTCAGAGAAAGAGAACCAACAGGATATATAAAAAGAGATTTATTTCAAGGAATTGGCTCACATGACTGCAGAGGCTGGCAAATCTGAAATCTGCAGGGCAGGCCGGCAGGCTGGGAACTCCAGGAGGAGTTGACATTCCAGTCTTGAGTCACAAGGGGGTCTGGGGGCCGACCTTCCCCTTCGGGGAACCTCAGCCTTTGGTCTTAAGGCCTTCAACTGATCGAATTAGGCCCATCCAAATATGAAGGACAGTCTGCTTTACTCAAGGTCTACTATGTTCATCTTACCCAAAAATTACCTTCCCAGCAACATCCAGACTGGTGTTTGAGCAAATCAACTGGGCACCAGAGCTGGGCAAAGTTAACACACAAAACTAACCATCATGACTACACAGGAATGACTCTGCCTCTTTGACACACACCAGCCACAGGCTGGGGAGACAGGGGCAAAAAAGACAAAGTCCCTTTTCTCATGGAGGTGTCACCTCTTCCTATCCTGCCCAGAGTTACACACTCTTCTTCTAGACAGCCCTTCCAAGGAGAGCCCCTCTGCTACATTAACTCTCACCCCTGGCCATGAAATTCTGTGGTTAACACCACCTTCCTTTTCTCAGTATCAAGACAGCATCCTGTGCATGGCCTGCACTTCACCCTCAACTTTCTTGGGGTGGTTGTGAGAGGTGAAGCCAGCTGAACTTCCTGGGTTGAGTGGGGACTTGGAGAACTTTTCTGTCTTACAAGAGGATTGTAAAATGCATCAGCGCTCTGTAGCTAGCAAGTGGATTGTAAAATGCACCAATTAGCACTCTGTAAAAAAGCACCAATCAGCACTCTGTAGCTAGCAAGAGGATTGTAAAATGCACCAATCAGCACTCTGTAAAACACACCAATCAGCAATCTGTAACATGCACCAATCAGCAGGATCCTAAAAGTAGCCAATGGCAGGGAGGATTGAAAAGGGCATTTTGCCAGAGGCTAAGGCAGAGAATCACTTGAACCGGGGAGGCAGAGGTTGCAGTGGGCCAAGATTGCGCCACTGCACTCCAGCCTGGGCAACAAGAGCAAAACTCCATCTCAAAAAAAAAAGATAAATTGGGGTACACAGAGAGACCCCAGGGGCACACAACAGGCACAGAAGGAAGAACACATGCAGGGGCATCAAGGCCAAGGAGAGACGGCCCGAGGAGGCCAGCCCTGCTGACACCTTGATCTTGGACTCCCAGCCTCCAGAACTGTGAGGCAATACATTTCTATGGATTCCGACACCAAGTCTGTGTTTTGTTACCGCAGCCTGAGCAAATGAATGCAGTGCTCTTTATACTCTCTTTTAGTCCATCTGTTGAAAAACATAGATTTTCAGATTATTTTAGAAAATTAAGCCATGAGTTGCTTAGTCTCTTCTGATGACACCTGAAAAAAATGGCACGAAGACTGCTAAAAATAAAAGTATAGGAAAAGATACACCAGACAAGTGCTAATAAAAAGAAGGCTCATATGGCAATATTAATCAGACAAAATGAATGTAAACAACAAAGTATGCAAAGGCATAAAAGGAAAAATTCCCATTAATAACAAAAATAATCCACCAAGAGCATCATGTACCTTTATAAACTTCACAACATAGCTTCAAAATATAAACCAAGCAAATAATGATAAAAGGTGAAATTAATAGCCACATTCATATTGAGAGATTAAAATCAAATTAACCAGACAAAAATGAGATGGGATATAAAAATTTAAATAACAATAAGATTTATTTAGAACCCCGTACCTAACAAATAGAGAAGGCGGAGGTTTTACACACACACACACACACACACACACACACACACACATACTCACATGGGTTTAACCAAAACTGCCTATGTAGCATTAGGCCACAAAAGAAATGTGACATTCTACAAAGAATCTGTACTGGCTACACCCACTGACTACAATGGGACAATTAGAAAGGAATGACAAAAAGGTTGTGTCAGTTATCAATTCATTGCCTCCCAATTCTGAATGTACCCCTCAATATGTTCTCTGAATAAACAGAATTCCCTTAAGCGTTTCTCCTTTATTTTATTATTATTATTATTATTTATTTATTTTTATTTTTTTGAGACGGAGTCTGGCTCTGTGGCCCAGGCTAGAGTGCAGTGGGGCCATCTCGGCTCACTGCAAGCTCCGCCTCCCGGGTTCACGCCATTCTCCTGCCTCAGCCTCCCGAGTAGCTGGGACTATAGGCACCCGCCATCACGCCCGGCTAATTTTTTTAAGTATTTTTAGTAGAGACGGGGTTTCACCATGTTAGCCAGGATGATCTCTATCCCCCGATTTCGTGATCCGCCTGCCTCTGCCTTCCAAAGTGCTGGGATTACAGGCGTGAGCCACCGGGCCCGGTCATGTTTCTCCTTTAGAGTGAGCACATTAAGCTTTCTGGGCAGAGGGTGATGGAGCAACATTGCTGGAGGAAAACGGTTCCCGCAGTTCCCGGCTCAGGCCACAGAGGCACCTAGTTCTTCTGCAACCCTGCAGCCTTGTTGGGGCCACACCTGTTGGGCCTCGAACCCAGAGCTCCACATGGCCAGCCACCTCTGGACTCCCTCGACAAACCCCATGTAGCCCGCGTGGTCTGGAGAGTCCTGCGTTGAGCAATCGTTCCTTCTGCATGTCCGGCACCTCTGGACGTGCTGGTGCCCGAACTCACACCGCAGGCCCAGCCTCAAGCCACTGCTCCCCAGCCTGTACTCCAGAGGGTGGCCTATTGTGACCAACAGCATCTCTAGACCAGTGCTGGACTGCCTGAACCAGCGGCTGTCCCTGCTCTCCACTGCTGAACCACACCTTCCCTAACAAGCTGGTCCTTCCCTGGGGCTTTCCCAGGTCTGCCCCTGCTTAGGTCCCCCTCCCTCCACCCCCACGATACCACACAGAACTTCCACCTCTTAACAGCTACTCTCTCATCATACCTAATAATTCTATTAAATATGATGCTCCCCCTGGGGTTCCCATCTCCTGAGTGGACCCAGACTGCTACAAAGATAGTTAAAGAACAAAAACAAAACAAAATATGACATGCCTGGGAAATTCTTAAACATTAAATAACTGAGGCTTAGAAAGCATTCAAAATGTAAATGATGTATTTTTAGACATGAACAAAAAATTAGATATCACAACTAGGGGATATGGCCAAATTAGTACTCATTAGGAAATATACACATTTACTACAGAGGGGTTTTTTTTTTTTGGTAGAAAAGTGGGTTAATGTCATCTGATCTTCAACAGACCTGACAAAAACAAGCAATGGGGAAAGGATTCCCTGTTTGTAAGTGGTGCTGGAAGAAGTGGCTAGCTATATGCAAAAAATTGAAACTGGACCCCTTCCTTACACCTCATACAAAAATTAACTCAAGATGGATTAAAGACTTAAATGTAAAACCCAAAACTATAAAAACCCTAGAAGAAAATCTAGACAATACCATTCAGGACATAGGCACCAGCAAAGATTTCATTATGAAATCGCCAAAAGCAACTGCATCAAAAGCAAAAATTGACAAATGGGAACTAATTAAACTAAAGAGCTTCTGCACAGCAAAAGAAACTATCATCACAGCAAACAGGCAACCCACAGAGTGGGAGAAAATTTTTGCAATCTAGCCACCTGGCAAAGGTCTAGTATCAAGAATCTACAAGGAACTTAAATTTACAAGAAAAAAAACCCAAACAACCCCATTAAAAAGCAGGCAAAGAACATGAACAGACACTTCTCAAAAGAAGAGATTTATGTGGCCATCAAACATATGAAAAAAAGCTCAACATCACTGATCATTAGAGAAATGCAAATCAAAACCACAATGAGATACCACCTCATGCCAGTCAGGATGGTGATTATTAAAAAGTCAAGAAACAACAAATGCTGGCGAGGTTTCGGGGAAATAGGAATGCTTGTATACTGTTGGTGGGAATGCAAGTTAGTTCAACCACTGTGGAAGACAGTGTGGTGACTCCTCAAAGATCTATAACCAGAAATACCATTTGACCCAGTGATCCCATTACTGGTTTATAGGCTCAAAGGAAAATAAATCATTCTGTTACAAAGATACATGCACCCCTATGTTCACTGCAGCACTATTCACAATAGCAAAGACATGGAATCAACCCAAATGCCCATCAATGAAAGACTGGATAAAGAAACTGTGGTACATATATACATACCATGGAATACTATGCAGCCATACAAAGGAATGACATCATATCCTTTGCAGAAACATGGATGGAACTGGAAGCCATTATCCTCAGCAAACTGACAAAGGAACAGAAAACCAAACATCACATGTTCTCACTTATAAGTGGGAGCTGAACACTGAGAAAACATGGACACAGGGAGGGGAACAACAAACACTGGGGCCTGTCAGGGGTGGGATCGGGGGAGGGAGAACATTAGGAAAAACAGCTTATGCATGTGGGGCTTAATACCTCGGTGATGGGTTGATAGGTGCAGCAAACCACCATGGCACACGTTTACCGGCCTAACAAACCTGCTGCACATCCTGCACATGTACCCCAAAACTTAAAAATTAAATTAAAAAAAAAAACGAAAAGAGTGTTAATGTATAAAATAAGTCTAAGAAATAAAAGTGAAAATCAAAATGAAGGAATTAGAAAAATATAAGACTAGGCCGGGCACGGTGGCTCACGCCTGTAATCCCAGCACTTTGGGAGGCTTCAAGGTGGGCGGATCATGAGGTCAGGAGATCGAGACCATCCTGGCTAACACGGTGAAACCCCATCTCTACGAAAAATACAAAAAATTAGCCAGGCGTGGTGGCAGGCGCCTGTAGTCCCAGCTACTCGGTGGGCTGAGGCAGGAGAATGCGGGAACCCGGGAGGCGGAGGCTGCAGTGAGCTGAGATCACACCACTGCACTCCAGCCTGGGCAACAGAGCAAGACTGCCTCAAAAAGAAAAAAAAAGAAAAAAAAGATAAAAGACTAAAAAAAATTAAGACAGTAATTAATTGAAAGTTGGCCCAGTATAAAAAGAATACATATCATAAGACAAATCAAGAAAAAGAAAGAAAACACAAACATTAGAACTGAAAAGCCCATAATTACAGATGCAGAAAAATTTATAAAATTATGAGAATACTTTTCAGAACTTTATGCCAATGAATTTGCAAATCTAACTGAATGAAATGTAAGATTTTCTAAGAAAATATAAATTACCACAATTGGCTCAATAAGTAGAAAAACTGAATAGCTATAGAAGATATTTTAAAATAACAAGGTAACCTAATAAAGGCCAGACCGAGATGAATTGACAAACACGTTTTATTACATTTTCAAGGAATAGATTACCATGATGTCACATCTCAAAAAAGAGATGGAAAGCTGAAGCAATTTATTTTATGAAAGGATAAGCACAAACTAGTCTCCAACATGAGAGAGGCAAAGATCTTACCTCAAACTTTAACAAATAGGTTCACTATTAGCATTAAAAACTAACACGTCATGACCAAAAATGGTTTATATCATAAAGGGGAAGATGGCACACCCTGAGAATGTATCATACCATTAAAATTGGCTATTGCCAACTTCTTATTCTGAAAATTAACAATTGAAGAGAAATAAGGATTTGGTTTTTTTTGTTCTTGTTTTTTTGAGACAGAGTCTTGCTCTGTCGCCCAGGCTGGAGTGCAGTGGCAGGATCTCGGCTCACTGCAAGCTCCGCCTCCTGGCTTCACACCATTCTCCTGCCTCAGCCTCATGAGTAGCTGGGAGTATGGGCGCCCAACACCATGCCCAGCTAATTTTTTTTTTTTCTGTATTTTCAGTAGAGACGGGGTTTCACCTTGTTAGATAGGATGGTCTTGATCTCCTGACCTCGTGATCCGCTCACCTCAGCCTCCCAAAGTGCTGGGATTACAGGCGTGAGCCACCATGCCCGGCCTGTTCTAACGATACTGTATTTCAGGGTGGTCTAACAGCTCCAGGTGATAAGGAAAATCTCTTCTTTACAGAAGAATAACAGCTAATAAATGAAAACAGTATGAGAGAATTGTGAAACCACCAATTTGCAACAACTAATGAATTAACTGATTCAGGCCAGGATCACCAATGGATAACAGAGGGTTAACTGGCCGTTCATATACATGGTGCCAAAGAACTAGCCACAGATTTCTTGTCAGTCTCAAGCATAAGAAACTTTATAAAAGAAGACTCAAGCTGTCACCAGCTGTAGGGTAAATGCACCTGACAGCGATAACTTGAACCTACCCTCAGAAGGACCCTGTATGGCAGATGCACCTGAGTGTGTGCTCTGAGCTGGGGAATCAGGTGTGGCCAACCCAGAGATTCGTTCCTTGTCTATGAGGAACATTTGAGCCCCTGGAACATCCTATGGAACACGGGCCATACAGGGCATTGAGGCCCTGAGTTTTGGGGTAAATGAAGGTTGCTGGGTAGGGGTCATTAAGAGGAGGGTGTTAAGTAGAAATGCTAAATAAACTGCATAAAGTTGGCAAGAAGTTGCAGCTTTCCTGCCCAGCCCACTGCCACAAGACTGCAGGAAGGCCGATATGTTATCCAGCCCGCCATCTCTGGGCCATTTCTTTTCTTTTTTTTTTTTTTTGAGTCGGAGTCTTGCTCTGTCGCCCAGGCTGGAGTGCAGTGGCACGATCTTGGCTCACTGCAACCTCTGCCTCCCGGGTTCAAGCAATTCTCCTGCCTCAGCCTCCCGAGTAGCTGGGATTACAGGCACCCACCACCACGCCTGGCTAATTTTTGTATTTTTGCAGAGATGGGGTTTCACCACGGTGGCCAGCCTGGCCTCGAACTCCTGACCTCAGGTGATCTGCCCGCCTCGGCCTCGCAAATTGCTGGGATTATAGGCGTGAGCCACCACGCCCAGCCCATCACTGGACCATCTCTGTACATAAGGCGGTTCTCTGGTCCAATCCACCACCATCCGTCTCCCCTGTATGCAGGCCCCTAATAAAATCCCAAGTCTTGGCCAGGCGCAGTGCCTCACGCCTGTAATCCCAGCACTCTGGGAGGCCGAGGCAGGCGGATCACAAGGTCAAGAGATCGAATCGAGACCATCCTGGCTAACACGGTGAAAACCTGTCTCTACTAAAAATTACAAAAAAATTAGCTGGGCAGGGTGGCACGTGCCTGTAGTCCCAGCTGCTCAGGAGGCTGAGACAGGAAAATTGCTTGAACCCAGGTGGCGGAGACTGCAGTGAGCTAAGATGGCGCCACTGCATGCCAGCCTGGGCGACAGAACAAGATTCCATCTCAAAAAAAAAAAAAAAAAAAATCCCAATTCTTGTTTCCTGGCTCTGGGTCTCTTCTTCAGCCTTGAACCTGGTGCTTTCCCCTTTTGAGGTTAACAGAAGTTCAGCACAGCATCTTATTAATAAATGGTAACTAGTCAGATCAGTTGCTAATGAGACAACCACGTATTACATGTGAATTGTGACATGCTGCAATAGAATGCATACACCACCGCTTATGAAGTATTCTTGCCAAGAACTTTTAGTCTGAATCTAAACATGCTTTGGTGGGTTGGATTTAATCATTCAGCAAATACCCCTTCCTCCTCCATGGGACAAGCACACTGCCCACTCCATTGATACTCGACAGTGGAATGGGAACCGTCCACCTGCAAGCCCCAAGGCTATACCTCAGGCCATCTCCTGCTTCCATCCGCTCCTCCTGTGTTCCTCTGACTCACCATGGGCAACACGAGCCCCATGCAGCCCCTACCCTCTAGTTTGGGTCTCAGAATAAACATGTCAGGCAGAGCTACCCCAGCAGACCTGCAACCTGAACAAACCTGCCCTTTTGCTGACCCTGCCTACAAACAGGAAGAAAAATTCTCGTCCTATGAGATTCTGCTGTTGTTTCACAGCAAAAACACACAAGCCTTTGGACTGAAATTCCCATTTACAAGAAGCGCAAGAGCTAGAGAGAAAAGTTAAATGCTAGCCCAGAAAGCAATCAGACGAACGCTGAAGATGGGATTTGATGCAGGACAGCTGGTCCACGTGAGTCTCTGCAATAGAGAGGTGTAATGGAACAAAAAGGAAGAGGGTGCATTCCAGTTAGAGAAGGAGTGGAGACATCAGGGCCCACAGTGCTGTCTCCGCAGTGACCAGGCCCTGGTAAAGAAACCAGCTGTAGAGGACATTCTGGTAACAACTGGAGAGTGTTTACCATAGACTGGGTATTAAATGTTATCAATGAATTACTGTGAATGCTGTTACTATGATAATGGTCTCGTGGAAATGTAGGAAGATGTGCTTATTTTTAAAGTGCACGCTGAACTTATATGGCCAAATAATGATGGCTACAACTTTTAAAACTTCAGCAAAAAAGGCCGGGCACAGTGGCTTGTGCCTATAATTCTAGCACTTTGGGAGGCTGAGGTGGGTGGGTCACTTGAGGTCAGCAGTTCGAGACCAGCCTGGCTAACATGGTGAAACCCCGTCTCTACTAAAAATACAAAAATTAGCCAGGCATGGTGGCATGCACCTGTAATCCCAGCTACTCAGGAGGCTGAGGCAGAAGAATCGCTTGAACTTGGGAGGTGGAGGTTGCAGTGAGCCGAGATCATGCCACTGTACTCCAGCCTGGGCAACAGAGCGAGACTGTATCTCAAAAAAAAAAAAAAAATCGACAAAAAGGAAAGAAGTAGCAAATATAATAAAATGCTAACAACAAATCTAAGCAAATATGGCAATGGATATGTTGTGTTTATTATACTTTTTTCTCTTTTATTGTGAATTAGAAAATGTTTACTTCCATGAAAAAGGTATAAAATGGGGCCAAGTGTGGTGGCTCATGCCTATAATCCCAGCACTTTGGGAGGCTGAGGCAGGTGGATCACTTGAGGTCAGGAGTTCAAGACCAGCCTGGCCAACATGGCAAAACTCCATCTCTACTAAAAATACAAAAATTAGTCAAGCATGGGGGCGGACGCCTGTATTCACAGTTACTCGGGAGGCTGAGGCAGGAGAATCGCTTGAACCTCGGAGACAGAGGTTGCAGTGAGCCAAGATCGCGCCACTACACTCCAGCCTAGGCAACAGAGCAAGACTCTGTCTCAAAAAAAAAAAAAAAAAAAAAAAAAAAAAAAAGGAAAAAGGTATAATGGCCATCAAATTCGACAACCCATTCCTGATTTAAAATAAACCTTAAAAGGTAGACCAAGAAGCAAACTCCCTTAACTTGATAAAGGATATTTATCAGCCAAGTGCAGCAAAACATCTCATTTTATAGTGACGCCATAAAAGTATCCCCTGTAAATTTAGGGACAAGATTAGGAAGGCTGCTATCACTGTCACCTTTCAGTCTGGGGCTGGTTACCCTACCTAGAAGTACAAACACAAAGAGACATCTCAAGAGGTGTACAGTTTGAGAAGGAAGAGGGGAAGAAGGAGGCATTTTTTTCAGACAATATTCCTGTCTTTATAGAAAACCAAGAGAATCAACGGACGAATTATTAGGACTAAGAAAAAGGTTTAGCAAGGTGGCCAGGTATGAGTTTAACACATAAATCAATGGCTCTCCTAAGCACCAGCAACAACCAAATAGAAAATGTAATAATAAAAAATATTTCATACACAATAGCAACAAAACTATAAAGCATATAGGGAAAGAACATAACAAAAGTGTACAAAACTTTCAAGAAAAAAATACACTACATTCCCAGATAAAAACAAATAATACTGCATTTTAATATAGTAAATATTTCAATTTTAAGTATTTTAATTTGGTCCAAATCAACTTAGAAAGTCAGTGCAATTCCAAAAGAACCTCCAATGAGAATAATAAAATTCAGATGGCAGAGGAAACAATTGCAGAAACACTCTAGAAGAACAATGAAGGATATAAAACCATAGAATTTTTTATTCCACGAGAGTATACAAATAGACCAGCAGAAGACAGTCCAGAACAACTCATCATCTATAATGATTTACCATATGATAAAGGTAACATGTCAAATCAGCTGGTGGGGGGAATGGGTTATAAACTTTGCAACTCATTTTTTAAAAGCTATATATATATCCCTGAGTTACGCTATTCACAAAAATAAATTTCAAGGGGACTAAAGACTTATTGTAAAATAGGTGACTCTAAAATGTTAGATACTCAGTATAAGGAAGCCCTTCTTAAATAAGACAATAAAAAATCATCAAGGAAAAGACCAATCGGGGAAATGCAAAACACACTATTACCTGTAAGAATGGCTAGTATCAAAAGGATGAAAGATAAGAAGCGTTGGTGAGAATGTGCAGAAAAGAAAATCCTTGTGCACTGTTGATAGGAATACAAATTGGTATCACTATTATGGAAAATAGTATGGAGGTTCCTCAAAAAATTAAAAATAGAACTTCCGAATGATCCAGCAATCCTACTGCTGGGCATACATCCAAAGGAACTGAAATCGGTATTTCAGAGAGAAGTCTGCACTCCCACGCTCACTGCGGCATTATTCACAATACCCAAGATATGTGAATAATCTAAATGTCCTTTGAGGGATGAACAGATAAAGAAAACATGGTATACACTTACAATGGAGTGTTATTCGGCTTTTAAAAAGAAGGAAATCCTGCCATGTACAGCCACACGGATGAAACTGGAGGACATTAAGTGAAATAGGCCAGGCACAGAAAGATAAATACCGCATGATCTCACTTATATTCAGAATCTTAAAAAGTCAACTCATAGAAGCAGAGAGTAGAATGGGGGTTTCCAGGAGCTGGGGGTAGGGGAAGTGGAAAGATGCTGGGCCGAGGGTACACGGTATCAGCTGTCCGAGCTGAGTAAGTTCTGGAGATTTACTATAAAGCACAGTGCCTACAGCTAACAACACTGTATTGTACAGTTAAAAATCTGCTGAGAAGGTGGATCTTCTGTTGAGTTTCTCATCACAAATCATCATCATCGTAATAAAGTAGGCAGGAGGAAACGTGAGCAGGTGATGGATCTGTTTACGGCACACGCTGTGGCAATGGTTTCATGGGGGTTGGCTTCGCTCTAAACTCACAAAGTTGTACATTAAATATGTACAGCTTTTTGGAGTGCAGTGGCATGATCTTGGCTCACTGCAACCTGTGGCTCCTGGGTTCAAGTGATTCTCCTGCCTCAGCCTCCCGAGTAGCTGGCACTACAGGCGCGCGCCACCATGCCCAGCTAATTTTTGTATTTTTAGTAGAGACGGGGTTTCACCATGTTGGCCAGGCTGGTCTCAACTCCTGACCTCAGGTGATCCGCCCGCCTTGGCTTCCCAAAGTGCTGGGATTACAGGCATGAGCCACTGTGCCTGGCCCCCATCCTCTTTTTTTTATTTTTTAAATCTCTTCTCCCACCATAAAATTAATTCCTTTCATATTTTTTGGTCAGTCAGAATTGGGAAAGTCCCACACTCTCCTATTCTCCTATTACCTTAACATCCCAAGCTTCCTTTCCTTTTTGGTCTTTATGAATATATTTATATGGAAAGAATTAAGATAAACAAAACGGATTTCCCCATTCTCTCACTTCCCCATCTTGTCTTCCTAGACCCCACAGAGTTAAAACTTGGGACTCTCCCGACCCCCCAGAACGCTTATATATTGTCTGAGGTTCGTGCCGCAGTAACAGACACAGTATTGAATTGCACATACAAATGTTTGCTGGGTATATTCACTGTAAATTTTATTTAATCTGGTTTTTTGTTTGTTTGGGGGTTATTTGGGAGGAGGTCGTTTTGTCTTTTGTTTTTTGAGATGGAGTCTCACTCTTGTTGCCCAGGCTGGAGTGCAATGGCATGATCTCAGCTCATTGCAACCTCTGCCTCCCGGGTTCAAGCAATTCTCCTGCCCCAGCCTCCCGAGTAGCTGGGATTACAGGTACATGCCACCACACCCAGCTAATTTTTTTTTGTATTTTTAGTAGAGACCGGGTTTCACCATGTTGGTCAGGCTGGTCTCAAACTCCTGACCTCAGGTGATCCACCCCTCTCGGCCTCTCAAAGTGCTGGGATTACGGGCGTGAGCCACAGCACCCGGCCGGTTTTGTTTTTAAATATATTTTTTAAAAAAGTCACTGGAAAAAAAAAATGTGTACAGCTTTTATATGGCAATCTTACCTCAACAGACTGGTTTTTTAAAAAAGAAATAAGTTTCATAATACTAAGAAAAAGGAAAAGAATGCAAATTTACTTTCTACATTTTCTTATAATCCCTAAATAAAGTGAATTATTTAGCTACAACAATAAACAATGTTTAAACCTGGATGAGAAAAAAAAAAAACACCTAAAACAGAAGACAACAGACTGGAAGAAAATAGTCGAAGTAAATGTATCAAAGAATGAGCATCCAGGATGTATTAAACCTTTTTTTGCTTGTATACCCACACACCCAAACACTCACATGAACGTGTGACCTTCCTAGATATCAATAAGAAAAAGACGAATAACCCCATGGGAAACTGAGCAAAAATTACAAAAGGGAAATTGACCAAAGAGAAAATACATGTGCCAGTAAACACAGGCAAATATACTTGACTTCACAAATAATCCAGGAAATGAAAAAATAAAATGGAGATTTTCTCCCTATCACATCTGCAAAGTTATAATGTCGGGAACTGATGACACTGCAGGGACCAAACCACTCTGTAGCCATTTGGGAAGGGAACCTGACAGTATCTGGTAAACTGCAGAATGCAGATGACAGCCAGCACTTCTGCTTCTTGCTCTCTCCCCTAGAGAAGCATTAACCCACCAGCATCACTGTTTGTGACAGCAAACATTAGGAAACAACCTAAATGTTCATCAGTAGGAAAGTGTTCATTAAACAGTATCTAGTACTGTACACACGGTCCCTGGAAGCCTCTGCAGCAGTTAAAGCAAATGAGGCAGGTCTCTAAGATAGACCTGTGTGTACAGTCATGTGGTTCTCCACAATACCATGTTCTGAACAACTCCGGCAGCAGAACAATGCACAGATACCTTCTATGTGCATAAAAACAAAACACAGCCATCTACATCTACACATGCATAAATGCTTATATAAGATAATGAAGGAAAACACACTAACCACAGAGTGGTTCTCTAGGGAGAGGAAGGTTGTAGATGCAGCCAAGGGAGAACTCTGCTTTATCTCTGATGTCTGAATTTTCTTCCCGAATGCACTCCTGTGTTGCACAATTCTTCAGATGATTTACAAAGAAAATGCAAATAATTTCTCCCTAAATATGATATCCTTAATCAAAAATAAGTGACAATAAGTAACACACCAACAGGGAATGCAAAAGGCCACCTTCCTCCTTCGAAGAATGGCCGTGTGAGGCCCAGCCCCACAGAACAGGAGGGGGAAAGGGAGAGACACGCATAGGCAGGCAACCCCCTCCTGGGCCCTCACTCCAAGAGCACAAGTCACCAGGGGTGAGGGGCCGGCCTGCAGCATGACCTGTCCTCTGCTTACTTTTTTCCCTTTCCAGCCCTGGCCTTAGCCAGTCTGCAGGTTTAGGGGCAAACCTGATCCCTACAGCGTGGGAGAAGGTTATACCATAAACTCTGAGAGTCAATTTGCTTCCTATGCCCCAGTCTCTACTGCCTCACAACACACATCAGCCCATTTCCTCTCCTGCTTGGCAGAGATGGTCAGGATCCTCATGTCCCAGTTAAAGAAGCCAAAACTCCAAGAGAAGGTGTGGCAGGTGCAAGGTCACTGGCAGCAAGTGGGGGCCCAGGTTCCGGCCACCTCTCTCAGGTACAGAGTATCGCTCACTGGCCTCCTGGTGTTGCCCCTCCAACTACAGGTTCCTCCTCCTTATGGAGCTACCATATCCTGTCACTCCAGGACTCCACTGTTTTCTCAGAGCTTGGGAGAGGAACAGTTGGCTTCATGAGAGCCCAAGAGCCAAGTTACCTGGCCTCAAAGCTTCCCTGGCAGCTCCAGCTCCATCCCTAGCCAGGGGCTGCTCAGTGGCCACACCTGCCACCAGGTGGCCCCTCCTGGATCCTGCTCTGCACAGCTGCCCTTCCCATGCTTCCTGTCCCAGCCCTGATGACTTGTCTGGCAGAAGGACTGCTGGCCCCTCCCCGGGAAGCCAGTTCATCCTTCTTGCTCATAGGTCCCTGAAACTTCATTCACTGAAGTCTCTGTAGGGATATATAATTCCTCCCAATCTGCAATTTGCCAGAGGTACAGAAAAAGAATCATATGGATGCAATCAAAGTCTTCCAGGCACCCGGCACAGTAAAACGCAGAGTGGTTTCGCTGCACGGTAATTATACCAACTCTCCAGAGGCCCGGCACTGTCACCCAAGACTATACAACGCTCAGCCCTGCTTGCACATTAGAATTGCTGAGGAGGGAAAATCTGTATTTCTACCTACCGATCTCTATCAATATCTTTATTTATCAACCTATCAATATGCAGACCCCAATCTAACAGATCTTCATCCAATGGCCCTGAGACTGTCCCCCGGGAGAGGTAGTTTTTAATGCTTCCAGGTGATGCTAATGTGCAGCCACGTTGCAGACACTCCAGTCAATTTTCAGTGCTTCACTTCTCAATGCGAATTAACAACCACGGCTCACAGATCTGGGAGGAAGGTCTCAAACAGGAAGAAGAAAATCCAGGCAAGCAAGTACAAGGACAGCAAAGGAAAAAAGATAGTGAAGGAAACAGAAGTAATTGTCAAAAAAGAAACAAAATAACAAATTAATACCTTTAAATAAATAGAAGAAGATATTGCCGCAGAAACACAAAGATACAGTGCTACAAAATAAGAAATGACGAAAGAATAGAAAGAGCCCTCAGAGAGCCAAAGTAAGAGCAAGCATAAACATTTCAATATGGGTATTTAAAGTCGTTGAACTATCCCAGAAAACAGAACGGAAAGAAAAGAAGATGGTGCCGGGCACATTGGCGCATGCCTGTAATCCCAGCACTTTGGGAGGCCAGGGTGGACGGATCACTTGAGGTCAGGAGTTCAAGACCAGCCTGGCCAACATGGTGAAATTGCTGTCTCTACTAAAAACACAAAAATTAGCCGGGCGCAGTGGCGGGCTCCTGTAATCCCAGCTACTCTGGACGCTGAGGCAGGAGAATTGCTTGAACCTAGGAGGTGGAGGTTGCAGTGGGCAACAGAGAGAGATTCCATCTCAAAAAAAAAAAAAAAAAAAAAGAAAGAAAGAAAAGAAGATGGAAAAATATGAAAGAAAAGAGAGACTTCAAAGATAGAATGAATAGGTCAAAAATCAGATAGATGGGAATTCCAGAAAGAGAGGAAAGAGAGAAAAGAGAAAATGGAGAAATTAAAATAGAGAAAATAAGAGGAAACCTCCCAGAAGTGCGTGCAGCAAGCTCCGGGTGCATCTGGCCTTGGTTCTGACCCTCTTCCCACCACAGCCCTTCAGATGCCCCACACCAGGGAGCAAGGACCTCAAGCTGCAAAGCCTCCTATCCTCAAGCAGGCAGGTACCACTCTATGCACAAACACCCACCGAATCAGGGGTACCCGGGACCCAACCCTCCTTCCTCCAAAGCGCTGCCTGCCTGTCATCATTATTGTCTTTTCACGGACTGAACTTACACAGTTATTTTGATCAGCTTTCTTAGAAACAAAAATATAAATCACCAAATGTATTTAATAAGCATCATTTGATGAAAGGAACAGGTTAAAATCTGAAGATAAAAAAGGAAGAAAGAAGGAATAGAAAGAGACAAAATGCAGGGAGAGAGAAACGGAGACAGAGGAGCAAAGGAGAAGCAGGCAAAGAAGGAAGGGAGGGGAAAGAAAAGCCCAGACACCATCAGAGGAGACACCTGCACCCAGTAACACACTGACAGGGGGTGACACATGGACAGAAAAAAAGAGCAGCCATTTCTCTTTCCCCGCCAGGCTCACTGCCTGAGTTGCAAGGTGCACAAAATAATGACTCCCTTCTGAAAAGCCAGCCAGCTATTCCCAGTTTTCCCCTGGCTCTTGATTTCTAACCTTCCCTCCTAATAATCCAGGCCTGCACGTGTGCAGCACACTTCCAGTGTCACTTAGTCCCCACACTCCTGCAAGTCAGAGGCTGGGACTGTTGTCTCCATACTGTGAGGCCTTCCCTGACTCACCAAAGGTCCCACAGAGAACATCAGGACCAGGAAGTGAGGGGTCTTCCCATAAAAATAATAAGCGTGAATTTGTGCTTCCTTGTGACATGCATGCTCATTAAGCTCTGTTGCTTTGTCTATCAAAGGGGATAACAAAAGCTTACCTTGTTTCTGTGTTGACCAGAGGTAGATATGTTTGTTTGTCTGCTTGTTTGTTTGTTTTTTGAGACTGAGTCTCACTCTGTCTCCAGGCTGGAGTGCAGTGGCGCCATATCAGCTCACTGCAACCTTCGACTCCCTGGTTCATGTGATTCTCCTGTCTCAGCCTCCCAAGTAGCTGGGATCACAGGCATGCGCCACAATGCCCAGCTAATTTTTGTGTTTGTAGTAGAGACAGGGTTTCACCATGTTGGCCAGGATGGTCTCGATCTCTTGACCTTGTGATCCGCCCGCCTTGGCCTCCCAAAGTGCTGGGATTACAAGCGTGAGCCACCGCGCCCGGCCAACCATAAGTAGATATGTTAACCCAGTTCCTGCACATACACGCACAGTTCCTCACAATAATTCTGGGAAGTGGGGGGCCAGGGGGCAGTGGCCAAAACCAAGGCCCAGCACTGCAAGGATCTGCCCCGGGTCACATGGCTGGTGGCCAGGGTCCCTGCCTCCTGGCCCAGAGCGACTTCCTCCGAACTCCCTTCACTCTTGTCCCCCCACAAACCTGGCTCATGATCTGCTATTTGGATGCAGTTGTCACTGAGCAAGCAAGTTTCCAAACAGTGAGTGGATTTTCAAAAATCCTATTAGCATATGAGCAAGAAATCCCAAGTGCCTGACGAACACTTTATCATTTTTTAAAATGTATTCACTCAACTAACAATGATTTTTCTTCTTCCTGACTTGATAATAAGTTCTCCACTAACAATGATCTCCAGGATCTGTTTTCTAAAAGATTCTCTCCCTCTTATCATCTGCCAGCTGACCAAACTGGTGAGTGTGGCTCCTGGGGGACAGCAGGCAAACCACAGACAGGAGAGGAGCTGCCCCCTTGGGATGGGATTTACCAACTGAGACTGTCAACCCCAGGAGAGCTGGGCACATTTTTTTTGTCTCTTAACACTGGAATTTTATTCTACTACAGATGCTGTAAAGAAATAAATGAAGGACCCCAGGCACTCATTGACAGTGTGCTCACTCTGCAACTGCCCTGGACAACATCCACTCTGGAAAAGACAGCTTGATGGCTGATTCTCCAAGAGCATGCCTCTCAGCTCCAACAGCACTCAGAAACAGGTATGCTGGGCCAAGCAACGTGGATCCCATTCATTTCTCCTTATTTCCCTTGACAATCATAGCAGTCATATAAACATCAGCAAGACAGAAAGCGCTATTCTTCAGGCACAAATCCTAGAATATCAAAGGTGGCTTCAGCTCATCTGCAACACAACCTCATTAGAAACCAAAAAAAAAGTCCACATCCAACACCTACACTGTAGACTGATTTGGGCAATACAGAAATGGAGTCGCCTTCAAGGTGATTTTGAAGGAAATGGAGAAAAAGAGAGGTGACAGGAAAAAACACATGTAGATGTTTCTTAAAGACTTAAATAATGTCCAGGCCTGGTGCCATGTACCTGTAGGCCCAGCTACTCAGGAGACAGGCAGGAGGATCACTTGAGCTCAGGAGTCCAAGGCTGCAGTGAGCTATGATGGCACCACTGCACTCCAGCCTGGATAACAAAGTGAGACCCTGTCTCTTTAAAAAAAAAAAAAAAAAAACAGTCAAATGATGACTGAGTAATCTGCAGACGGGTGAGCTCAGATCTGATTCTAAAACAAGGTTTTAGAACAGCTCTGTTCAACAGAAATTTCTGCAATGATAGAAGTGTTCTATCTGCACTGCCCAATATGGCAGGTATTGAACACTTGAAACATGGTTAGTCCAATAGAGAAACTGCATTTTTTGTCTGCTTCATTTTAATTCATTTAAATTAAATTTAAATGGCAAGTAGCTGCCACTATGGACAGTGCAGTTCTAAAATGCATTTATTAAAGGATTGTTTTGGGATCACATCTAAGAAAAGTGGTAATTATTAGAGCTATAAATGAATTCGGTAAGAATAAGTTTGTGAAATTAGCCTCACTTCTTTCTCCGATATAGAATCTGCAAAGGCAGTTAAGGGAGATCTGGAAGAGAGTATACCTGGACTTTAGCAAGGCAGGATTTTGGCAGGTCCTTCCCAATGTTCTTGTGGATCATCTGAAATATGTGAGCTGCATGCAGCGAAGTGAGATGGAATAGGAGCTACCTGCATGAGCACAATAAGCAGGCATCGATTCAGGGAAAACTGTCAGTCTGTGGGGATTCTCCAATGATCTGGCTCTTTTCAACCCTGGATGATGATAAAGCACAAGGCAGCTCTTCAGAACTGTAGATGACACAAAACTGGGATGCAGACTTGAAGGGGATGTAAAAATATCAAGTCAAGTTCAGGGATGGCAGCAGTAAAGTTTAGCAAAAGCATACACAAAGATCTTACATATCCTGCTTGATTGAGAAAGGTAACGCTTTCACTGCCAAATATGCTAATGTGAATCACAAACTTCATCTCTGAAGCAATCTTCTTACACAAGTCCATTATTAACCATATAGGGAGGCTTAATTTCTTTAAGGCCTAACTAGAAATCTGCACCAGTAATTACACTGTCCCATTAGACTGAAAAGCCTGTTTTACATAGTTCACTCCAATTGCTCCTTTCATCAAGCGCTTTTATGATGAATACTGTCTTCCAAGGTCATTATTTATTTCCTTACCTTAAAGAGAGGGTGGAAGCCAATTCTTTGCTAAAGCCCTTGTGACTAAGGGCATAAATGAATGAAATGCAAAGAATGACTCATTTTCGGCCGGGGGCGGTGGCTCACGCCTGTAATCCCAGCACTTTGGGAGGCCGAGGTGGGTGGATCACGAGGTCAGGACATCAAGACCATCTTGGCTAACACGGTGAAACCCCGTCTCTACTTAAAAAATACAAAAAATTGGCCAGGCGCGGTGGCGGGCGCCTGTAGTCCCAGCTACTTGGGAGGCTGAGGCAGGAGAATGGCGTGAACCCGTGAGGCGGAGCTCGCAGCAAGCCGAGATCATGCCACTGCAGTCCGGCCTGGGCGAAAGAGCAAGACTCTGTCTCAAAAAAAAAAAAAAAAAAAAAAAAGAATGACTCATTTTCCTATATGACATAACATCTTCGTTACTCAGGATAGTTGCTGTATGGGTGCAAAGCATCAGATATTAAAATACCATGAGGCACCATCAACTATGACATAGTAGAAGAAGTAAAAAAAAATATTATGTCTGAAGAATTCCACCGCCTGCTATGATGCACTAGCTTGTGTCAGACTAATCCTCTCACCAAGAACAACTAGAAACTCTTGACGAAATTTTTTTAAATGATCTCTGTGGAAGCATCAGAGAGTCCAAGGCAGCTAGGACTTGAGGGGCTGAGATCATGACAAGTAGATAATTACCCAGAAATAAGCTCAGCATTCTGTGCTGCTTTTCTCGTCAAGGCATTTGGGGATTTGTGAGTGATGGAAGCCAAAAGGTTAAAAACACACACAGGAAGAAAGTAGTGGTTAAGAGGCAATAGGCCTAAGCAGAACTTTCAGTAGTCTCAGAGGACTGGGGAAATAAGAAATTGCAATTTATGGCTAATAAGGCAACAAGAACTTGAGGGTCCAAATTGGTAGAGTTGAAACACAGAGGGGTGAGTCCACTATCTTAGGAAAGGGCAAAAGCTGGAACTATCTGAACAACAAAATTAATAATGCAATACTGGTTTATAGCCCAAAGTATACAATGAATATCCATGAGTCCATACAAATATAAATAAATGAATGAGAAAATAAATGAGTGAGAACAGACCAATCTCCCTGTGCAGAATTGCAAATAATTTGTGTAGATACTGTTCCCTCATGGAGATGGTGCATAACACTCAGACGATTGAGGGTAACATCAGCAGTGATAAATTATGTAGCCCTGATTTGATAGGATAAGAATGGCACTTTTTCAGATGGGATCTTCTGCCCCAAAGCCCATAGCCCCTATTGAACCATGAGAAAAATGCCAAGCACACTCAAATTTAAAGATATTCTATAGAATACCTGACCACTACTCTTCAAAATTGTCAAGGTCATCAGAAACAAGGAAAGTCAGAGGAACTGTCACAGTCTAAAAGAACCTAAAGCGACATAATAACTGAACTCAAAGCAGTCTCCTAATAGAATCCTGGAACAGCAAAAGGACATTTGATAAAAACTAAGAAAATGTGAATGAAGTATGGACTTCAGTTAATAATAATGCATTGGCACTGGTTCATTAATTGTAACAAATGTACCATACTAATGTGAGATGTTAACAACAGGGAAAAGTAGGTACAGGATGTATGGGAACTCTCTACTATCTTCGCAACATCTCTGTGAATCTAAAACTATTCTAAAGCAGTAAGTTAAAAAAGAAAGTTTATATACCTATATTGGTAATTAGACAAACTAGATTTTACGAAAAGCAGCATTCTTATGGAAAAGAAAGAATTCATAATTAAAAAGGGCAACCTACTAGGAATAAATTCTAAATTTATATGTATCTAGTTAAATGCACTCAAAATTTATAAAGGGAGAATTGACAGGACTATAATAAGACAAATCTAAAGTATTAGACATTATGAAATTTATGTCTATTAGACACAGACATTATGAGCAGCTGGATAATTTAACACACTTCTTTCAGTAAATGATATAACAAAGAAGTAAAAATAAGAATGGAAATATAAGATTTGAACACCACAATTACCCATTTTTCCTCATGAATATATCGAAAGTACTGAACTGAGGAACTACACACAAGGGCACATGGGATAGTCTGTCAAAATTAATCATATGGTGGACAAGTCTAAAGCCAGTGTAAACAAATTTCAAAATGTTAACATTGTAAATAATCTGTTCCTGACTACGGGGTAAGCAAGCTAGAAATAAATAACAAAAATATAACCAGAAAATATGGAGGCATTTGGAAATCAACTACTTTAAAATAACCCACATTTCAAAGGAGAAATTTTAAAAAGTGAACAGATTTTGAACTAATTAATAATAAAAATACAACGTATCCAAAAATGGTGCTGGACAGCCAGCCATGTTCACAGCAGCACTATTCATCATGGCCAAGGAATAAAAGCAACCCAATGTCTATCGATGGATGATGGATAAACAAAATGTGGTCTATTCATACCACATAATATTATTCAGCCTTAAAAAGGGAGAAAATCTTATCACACAACCCAGCACAGATGAACCTTGAGGACACTGTACTAAGCAAAATAAGCCAGTCACAAAAAGACAGAAACTGTAGGATTCCACTTGAGGTACCTAGAGTAGTCGGAAAGTAGAATGGTGGCTCCCAGAGGCTGGGGCAAGGAGAATGAGAAGTTGCTGTTTAATGGGTATAGATGTTCAGATTCGCAAGATGAAAAAGTTCTAGAGATCTGCTTCACAACATTATGAATTTACTTAACACTACCGAACTGTACACTTAAAAATGGTTAAGATGGTAAATTTTATGCTGTGTTTTTTTACTACAATTTTTAAAAATAGTGGATTACAGCTAAAGCAGGCTTAATAGGCTATTTATAACCCTAAAATCATATATTAGAAAACAAGAATGGCTGGAAAAAATAAATATGCTGTTGTTTTCATGTTCTTAGGTATGCATAGATTTCCTAAACAGGGCACAAAAAGCATTAACCTTAAAGGAAAAGATTGATAATCTGGGCCTTCTCATCAAAAGATACCACTGAACGTGAGAAAGTGTGAGAAAATATTTGTAATATGTACATCTAGCAAAGGTCTCAGGTACTAACTATATAAAGAACTCCCGGCCGGGTGTGGTGGCTCGCACCTGTAATCCCAGCACTTTGGGAGGCCGAGTTGGGCGGATCACGAGGTCAGGAGATCGAGACTATCCTGGCTAACACGGTGAAACCCCGTCTCTACTAAAAAATACAAAAAATTAGCCGGGCTGGTGGCGGGCGCCTGTAGTCCTACCTACTTGGGAGGCTGAGGCAGGAGAAGGGCGTGAACCCACGAGGCGAAGCTTACAGTGAGCTGAGATCGCACCACTGCACTCAAGCCTGGGCGACAGAGCGAGACTCCATCTCATAAAACAAAAAAAGAACTCCTACAAAGCACTAAGAAAGAAAATGCAACAGAAAAATGAGCAAAAACTTGCACAAAAACTTCAAGAGAAGGTTTCGAAAAGCACAAGACAAGTATTCGAAAGAGATATTCAACAGTCTTCAGTGAACTGAAAATCATACCAGAGGATCCCACCATGCATCCACTAAAAATCAAATTAAAATGACTAACACCACCAGTTATGAGCAAGGATGTGGAGCAAATGAAACTCCTATTTGCAGGTGGGAGTGTAATTGGGTACAATCACGTCAGAAAAAGGACTGGCAGTGTTCACTAAAATAGAAACATACCCAGACCCTGTGACCTACCCATTCCAATCCTGGATGTACCCTCAATAGAAATGCAATCATGTGTACAACAAATGTGTAACAGTGTTCCCAGCAGCAATCATGACCCAAAACTAGAAAAGATGCAAATGTCCATCAAACATAGAATGGATGAATTATTTGTATTTTTACAATGCTCTGTAACAGTGAGTCAATGAACTACTGTCACACCACCTGTGAGTGACTCTCACAAACATAATGTTGCATAAAATAAGCTGACATAAAACAGTATATATTGTAGAAATTCATTTATTTAAAAAAAAATTCAAACATTTGCAAAAATAACATTTGGTGCTAGGATTCTGATTACCTTTAGGTGGTGGTGGTAGTGGTCGGGGGTGGGTTATGGCTGGGAGAGGACCCTAGGGGAGATTCTTGGGTTGTGGTGATGTTTTGTTTCCTAGTCTGGATGGTAGTTTCATGGATGTGTTCACTTTGAAAATATTCATGGTAATAAACACTTAGGATTTTTGTACTTTTCTGTTTATATTACACTTGAATTAAGAAGCTTATTTTAAAATAAGTGGCTTATCATTTGCACACTGTTCAATTCAAAACAGACTTCAAAAAGGTGACTGTCCAAAGCTTCCTCCCACTTTAGTCTCCATGAACAACTCCAGGTGCGCGTTCTGAGGGTGTGGATTGTTACAGTGAGGGGAGGGGGTGCAATGTGCTATGAGACTAGAAAAGGCACCATATCTTGGGCAGGGGCTCGTCTTTTTAGAGTCTTTCCTCAGATTCTGCTTTGAACCCCAAGCTCTGCCTGCTGTCATGGTACTGTAAACACTGCCCTAACTTCTGTGAGTCAGATTTTCTGATGCCTTCTCAGTAGGATACTTTGGTGCACTAGGGGATCCAAGGCTCTTGGGGAGGATCCCCATGTTAGTATCACATTCCATAGTCCAGCATCTGGGAGGAAGAGCCTGCCGGCTTCTCTCCCCTGCACATACACACCCTCTGTCCTGGTTAACTCACACTAGAGAACAGCTTCCCACCTGGCCATACTGAAAGAACAGAAACATAGTTTCAATTACCTTTGTCAGAGAGAACAGGAGAGGTGAGGGAATGGAAACCAACTCCCAGAGAATGGTGGGAAGGCAGACACTCAGGGGCACGAATGACTGTGGGTAGAATTCATATGTATGGAGTGTCCCTGTGACTGGCTCTGTGCTTTTATTTTTTTATTTGTTTTTTGTTGTTGTTCTGAGATGGGATCTCGCTCTGTTACCTAGGCTGGAATGCAGTGATATGATCACAGCTCACTGCAGCCTCGAACTTCCAGGCTCAAAGGACCCTCCCACTTCAGCCTCCTGAGTAGCTAGGACACCTAGCTAATCTGTTATTTTAATTCTATGTAGAGATGGGAGTCTCCCAGTGTTGCCCAGGCTGGTCTCGAACTCCTGGACTCAAGTGATCCTGCCATCTATGCTTTCAATAACAACATTCAGTGTGTGTTTTACTAGATATGGTGTTGAGTCCTTTCCGTTGTAAGAAAAAAAAATTGTGGTAAAATACACGTAACATAAATTTACCATTGGAAGCCTTTTTAAGAATACAGCTTAGTGACACTAAGTACATTCACACTGCTGTGCTACCATCATGACCATCCATCTCCAGAACTCTTTTCACTTTGTAAAACTGAACCTCTGTCCTAATTAAACACTAACCCCCTTCCCTCTCCTTCTAGCCCCTGGCAACCACCATTCTACTTTCTGTCTCCATGAATTTGACTATTCTGAGTACCTCATGTCAGTGGAACCACACAGGATCTGTGCTATTCTATCTGGCTTCCTTCATTTAGCATAATGACCTCAAGGTTCAAGGTTCATCCATGTTATAGCATGTGTCAGAATTTCCTTCCTTTTCAAGGCAAAATAATATTCCATTCTATGTATACACCACATTTTGTTGATCCATTCATCTGCCAATGGACTCCTGGGTTGCTTCCACCCCTTGACTATTGTGAATCATGCTGCATGAACATGAATGTACAGATATTTCCTTGAGCCCCTGCTTTTACTTCCCTTGGGCATATGCCCAGAAGTGAAACCACGCCTAGATTCCACGGCAATTCTATTTTCAATTTTTTGAGGAACTGTCATACTGTTTTCCGACGGGCTGCACCATTTACATTCCCACCTAAAGTGCACAAGGGTTCCAATTCTGCCACATCCTCACAGACACTTATTTTCTGTTTTGTTTTGTTTTGTAATAGCCGGCCTAATAGATATGAGGTGGTATCTTGTGATTTCGACTTGCAATTCTCTAACGATTTGTGATGCTGAGCATGTTTTTCTGTGTTTACTGGCCATGTGTCTATCTTCTGTGGAGAAATGTTTATTCAAGCCCTTTGTTCGTTTGTTAATCAGGTGGCTTCTTTTTATGTTAAATTCTAAGAATTCTTCACACATTCTGGCTATTAACCCTTTATCAGATGTATGAATTACAAAGATTTCCGTCCATTCCTTGGGTTGCCTTTTCACTGCTGACTGTGTCCTTTGAGGAAGTTTTTATATTAGATGAAGTCCAACTTACCTATCTTTTCCTGTTGCTGCCTGTGCCTTTGGTGTCACATCCAAGAAGTCACTACCAAATCCAATGTCATGAAGTTGTGCACCTGTTTTCTTCTGAGTTTTATGGTCTCAGCTCTTATGTTCAGGTCTTTGATCTATTTTGAGTTGATTTTTGTATTCTCTTGTGTTGTTTTTATATTGTTTTCAGTTTTTCCAACACCATTTGAAGAAACTATCCTTTCCCCACTGAATGACCTTGAAATCCTTGTCAAAAAATCATTTGCCCATATATGTCAGGGTTTACTTGGGGGCTGTCTACTCAATTCCTTTCGTCTGTATGTCTGTCTTTATGCAACTACTACATTGTTTTGATGACTACAGCTTTGTAGCTAGTTTTGAAATTAGGAAGTGTGAGATCGCCAACTTTGTCCTTCTTTTTAAGATTGCTATTACTATTCAGGGTCCCTTGAGATTGCACAAGAATTTTAGGACGAATTTTCCTATTTCTACAAAAAGCATCATTGGGATTTTGATAGGGATTGCAATGAATCTGTAGATTGCTTTGGATATGACATAGTTTGGCTATGTCCCACGCCAAATCTTGCCCTCAACTGCAATAATCCTCACGTCAAGGGTGGGGCCAGGTAGCGATAACTGTATCATGGGGGTGGTTCCCCCACACTGTTCTTGTGGTAGTGAATAAATCTCATGAGATCTGATGGTTTTATAAATGAGAGTTCCCCTGCACAAGCTCTCTTGCCTGCTGCCATGTAAAACATGACTTTGCTCTTCCTTCATCTTCAACCATGATTGTCAGGCCTCCCCAGCCATGTGGAACTGTGAGTCCATTAAACCTCTTTCCTTTGTAAATTACCCAGTCTCGAGTATGTCTGTATTAGCAGCATGAGAATGGACTAATATAGGTAGTATTGACATCTTAACAATATTGTCTTCTAATCTAAAAACATTCCATGTCTTTCCATTTACTGGTGTCTTCTTTAATTTCTCTCAGCAATGTTCGGTAGTTTTCTGTGTACAATTTTTTTGCTTCCTTGGTTAATGGAATTTTTTTCTTAACTCCCCTTCCAGATTGCTCACTGTTAGTGTATAGAAATGCAACTGATATTTGTGTGTTGATTTTGGATCCTGCAACTTTACTGAATTCATGTATTAGTTATAACAGCTTTGTGTGTTTCGTGTGAAGTCTTTAAGGCCTTCTACATATTGCATAAGACCATGACATGTGAAAAGAGAGAAAATTTCACCTCTTCCTTTCCAATTTGGATGCCTCTGATTTCTTTTTCTTGCCAAATTGTTCTGGCTAGAATTTCTAGTACTATGTTAAATAGAAGTGGTGAAAGGGGGCATCCTTGTCTTGTTTCTGATCTTAAGAGGAAAAGCCTTTGCAATTTTTCACCACTGGGTATGCTGTTGGCTGGTGGCTTTGCCTGTATGGTCTTTATTATGTTGCGGTATTAAACTCTTTCTTTTCTAACTGTCAAAGCAATATTTATTTATTTATTTATTTATTTATTTTGAGACAGAGTCTCGCTCTGTTGCCCAGGTTGGAGTGCAGTGGCATGATCTCGGCTCACTGCAACCTCTGCCTCCTGGGTTTAAGTGATTCTCCTGCCTCAGCCTCCTGAGTAGCTGGGATTACAGGGGTCTGCCACCACGACAGGCAATTTTTGTATTTTTAGTAGAGATGGGGTTGCACCATGTTGGCCAGGATGGTCTTGAACTCCTGACCTCAAGTGATCCACCTGCCTTGGCCTCCCAAAGCACTGGAATTTGCTGGCGTGAGCCACTGCACCCGGCCAGCAGTTTTTATTTAAAAAGCAGCAAGAGCAGTGACTCACGCCTGTAATCCCAGCACTTTCGGAGGCCAAGGAGGGAGGACTGCCCGAGCTCAGGAGTTTAAGACCAGTCTGGGCAACACAATGAGACCCTGTCTCTAATTAAAAATTTAAAAATTAGCTGGGTGTGGTGGTGTGTGCCTGAGGTCCCAGCTACTCGGGAGACCAAGGTGGGAGGACCGCTTGAGCCCAGGAGGTTGAGGCTGCAGTGAGCTGAGATTGCAGCACTGCACTCCACGCTAGGCAACAGACAGAGGTGCTACCTCAAAAAAACAAAAAAAAAGGCACATTATTCCCATTGTCCAGATAAGGAAATCAAGGCTTAGAGAGATCAAGCAGTCTGCTCAGGGTAACACAGAGACAGTTAAGTGGTAGAGGCAGAATTCCGATGCAAGTCTGGGTAATTCTTAAGTGCTTAATTTCGGCCCCTATCTACGCCTTTGCTATTTAAGATGTGGCCTGAGGACCAGAAGCAACTGCACCACCTGGGGGGTTGTTAGAAACACAAAATCGCAGGATCCACCAAAAACCATGGAATCAGAATCTGCATTTAAACAAGGTCCCTGGCCGGGCGTGATGGCTCACGCCTGTAACCCCAGCACTTTGAGAGCCCAAGGCGGGTGGATCACCTGAGATCAGGAGTTTGAGACCAGCCTGGCCAACATGGAGAAACGCCATCTCTACTAAAAATACAAAAATTAGTCAGGCGTGGTGGCATGTGCCTATAATCCCAGCTACTCGGGAGGCTGAGGCAGGAGAATTGCTTGAACCCAGGAGGCGGAGGGTACGGTGAGCAGAGATCGTGCCACTGCACTCCAGCCTGGGCAACAAGAGTGATTCTCCGTCTCAAAAAATAAAAATAAAATAAATGAGATCCCCAGGAGATTCCGGCGCACACTGGAGTTCGAGCAGCCGTGCGTTATGCCAGTGGTCCTCAACTTTGATGTAGGTCAGAACCACCAAGAAGGCTAATAAAGAACACAGAGGCCCAGGATGGAGGAAGCAGAATATGACCTGCATTTGTATTTTTACCAAGTTCCCCAGGTGATCCTGATAGCAAACACAGTCTGAGAACCACGGTGCTACACCAATGTGGAAATGGCCTCTAGCTTTCAGGACTGAGAGTGCCACTAGGCTAAGCTAGGGCTGGGAATAGATTTCTGACAAAATTGTCCCCAGCACTGATTGTCTCTGGGGCATGGAGTGCAAAGAGGCAAAGAGCCCTCTGTCACAGGAAGGGGGCAACCAGGGGTAAGACCTTCACTTCCAAGACTGAGATCAGGAAGGAAGTCTGCTCAGAAGCCACATGGGGTCTCTCCAACCCTGAAAGGCCAGATTCTATCTAGAACTTGGCTTTTAGAAGGGATCCTAGACATATCCCAAGTCTCTAAGACAAAAGCCTGGGCCTCAGTCTCCCTCCAGCATCCCTGAGAGCAGGTGTGGAGCATGCTACAGCCACCAGCCCACTGTGACCCTGAGGTTAGTGGGAGACAGGAAGTGACAATGCTGCCACCCCACACATCTGCAGCACCAGCTTTTGGTCCTGGAGCCCCCACGTGTTATCAAGAGTGTGGTCTTTTTGAGGTACTGACTTGGCTAGGCAATCAGCCACTCTTCCAGACGTTGCTGTGAAAGTCTTCTGTCCATGTCATTAAAGTCCATAATGAGTTGACTTTTAGAAAGGAGATCATCCCAGACAATCTGTCTGGGTCTGGATCAATTTGTCAGGAGACCTTAAAAGTAGAGCCAAGGCTTCCTTCAGGAAGAAGAAATTCTGCCTGTGGACTGCAGCTGCAGCCATGCCTGGGAGTTCCAGCCTGCCCTTCCCCATGGCCTGCCCTGCGGGCTTCAGGCTTGCCTGGCCAGGTCCCAAAACCACGTGTGCAGATTCCTCACAATGTATCTCCTCATATCCATCCCTTACTGCTTCTCTGGCTCAACCTGACTAATAGACCAAGCCTTTCTCCTATCCATCCCCTACTGTTTCAGTGCACCACTGAAACTATTCCACCTCCATAGAGACTCCGCAGGTTGATGTCCTATCAGCCAGCTATGAGACCTGGAGCTAGTGGCTTAACTACTCTGAGCCTCTTTCCTCAAACAGCAAGAGTCTAGACTAATTGATGCACAGAAGGAACCCTCATGGTGGAAAAACATTCAGCACCTGCATTAGCTTTTGAAGCGCTATCTCCAGTAGCAGCAGATGTTCTTTGGAGGGTAGATTTGACTCATCTTAAGTAGATTGTGAAGCGAGTTTCTGAAGACAACCTTCATGCCATGAAAACGCTAGCCTGGTCATCTCTCTGTAGAGACTCTATGAGGAGCCTCTGGTGCACGGGCCTCCACCCCATGCCGCACCCTCCAAGGTCAACTATGGAAAGCACATATCCCTTCCTGTCAGCCCTCCAACAAAGACCTGCCAGGGCTTCTCCCAAGCCATCTACACAGGTCAAGCTGGCCTCTGCCACCTCTTCTACCTCACCCCCTAGCTCCTCCATCAAGCCAGATCAAACAATTCCATTCCCAGACCAGCCACGCTGCTTCCTCTGTCCACGCTTCAGTTATATATACACGCTTGTTTGCCTGGAACGCCCGTCTTCCCCCTCTCTCGCAGAAATGTATATTCATCCTTCGAGATGAAAGATCAACCCTCACTCCCTCCTGGACAACCCACTGGACTGATGAGTCCGCCCTCCCCAGGGTGCACTCTTCGTCTCCCTTGACATTCACAGTATGCGGCCACCAAGACGCCACCCTTTCCTGCAGTGGCTGATTCTCGAACTGAAGGTCAGGGGCTCTCTTTCCAGCCTCGCATTAACCCATGCCAAACATGCCTGTCTGCCACCATTCTGTTTTTCAACATAATCACTTTTAGATGAACAATGAATACAAATCCAACAACGGACAAAACACAGTGTACCCCACACGTGAGGCTCAGGAGGTAACTGGTGGTCTCTCCCTGCAGCCCCCCACTCGCTGACCCCCCGAGACCAGCACATGGCAAATGACGTGGACTTTCTTGTAATGAGGGTTTCTTATGAGATGGTAACAGCCACCACTGCTAGGAGTCCTCCCACCATCCAGGGTGGCATGCCATCACCCTTTCCTCTGCAGATGTATGAACTGATTGAAGGAGATTAAGCGATTTGCCCAAGAAAGGAGATTAGTTCACAGCAGCCCTAGACTGTATGGAAATGCAATTCTTTGCAGTATGCTCTGCTGCGATACAGGAGACCCCTGCTATGACTCTGGAAGACTTAGAAAACGTCTCCATGACATGTACATTGCTCATCAATTCATCCAAGCACACCTTGTGGTATGAGAGTTAAATTAGCATGTCCGTATGTGCCTAGCAGCACACATGGTAAAAGTAAGTCTGGGAAATGACAGGTTAAAAGAAATTTAAATTGTTCCTTTTCTTGCAGGACTTCTGAAGGCCTTTTATATGGTGCTTTGGGAGTGTCCAAGACGGGCAGTACACACAGCACTTCCCAACCTAATGTGACCGGGGACTATTATATTCAAGAACATCCGCTGGGAATCCTCAGAATATAGTTTGAGAATGCCAGCTTGCACACTAATGTCATTAATTAGAATTGGACATAATTAATTAGAGCTGAATATCATTAATCAAAAGTTACATACAGAAATGGCTAACTTCTCTTTCATCACACTAATTATGTTGGGCTCACAGTTCCTCGTGCTACTTTCTTAACCCATTTTCCATCTTTTAAAAAAAAGGGTGTTGATGAATTTTTTTCTCTTCTAAAGTACAACTTAAAACAAAAAAGAACTGGGTGTCAGAGCAGGAGCTTCCAATTTGAAAGCACACACCAAGTCTGCAAGCAAATAGTAACAGCCAGCTCCTTGTCCTCTCTTTGCCTCTTCCAGGGAAGGAAACCAGCAAGATGGGAAAACTCACATGTGCTACACATCCCCTCTTCATTATGTGGTTCATTCTCACAATCTACCCGCCCCCAACTCATGAGTCTCCACTTTGCAGATGGGAAGGTGAGCTTCTGAACATTTCTAAAGTCTAGAGGCAGTGGCTCATGCCTGTAATCCCAGCACTGCGGGAGGCCCACGTGGGAGGACCACTTGAGGCCAGGAGTTCGAGACCAGTCTGAACAATATGGTGAAATGCCCTCTCTACAAAAGATTTTAAAATTAGCTGGGCATGGTGGCACTCACCTGTAGTCCTAGCTACTCAGGGGGCTGAGGTGGGAAGATTGCTTGAGCCCAGTTCAAGGCTGCAGTGAGTTATGATCATGCCACTGCACTCCAGCCTGGGTGACAGAGTGAGACCCTGTCTCAAAAAAAATAAATAAATAAAAATAAAAATAAGAAACTAGAGCTATGTGATGACTACACACTTCTTGAGCATCCACTGTACATGAGGCACTGGGCTGGGCACTGGAGGATATGGGACAAGCAGGCCTGCAAATCCACAGAGACAGAAGCCAGGCAGGAGGGCTGTGGACTCAGATGTCCACCTAAGGTCCCAAAAAGTGAAGCCCATGAGCCTCGTCTGTGAAGATAAAGAGAAGCACCTGAGAGAGGAATCAGCCACACAGGCAGGGCCAGAAGGAGCCTCCCATGTGAAGGCAGCAGTTCAAGAGGCAGAGCCAGGTCAATGTGCAAAGCCTGGCTCATTCAGAAATCCTACTCATTTCACACAGGGAATGATGGCTTACACTTGTAATCCTAGCATTCTAGGGGCCAAGGAGTTCAAGACCAGCCTGGTCAACATGGCAAAATCCCACCTCTATAAAAACAATACATAAAAATAAGCTGGGTGTGGTGGCACATGCCTGTAGTCCCTGCTACTCAGGAGGCCAAGGAGGGAGGGTTGATTGAGCCCTGGAGGTCAGGGTTGCAGTGCGCCATGATCAGACCACTGCACTCCAGCCTGGGCAATAGAGCAAGACCCTGTCTCTAAATAAATCAATAAATCCCACCCATTTCAATGAAGAGACAAACAGAAGCACCTGTACAAGGGTGAGGCCAGGTAGTCAGCCAAGGTGGAGGATGAACCAGCAAGACGGGAGCAAGACGGCTGCATCAGAGGGACCCACAGCACAGAACACTGGGGTCCGTGTGCCTACATCCAGGGGTTTACCACAACTTCTTTTCTCCTCAACTTTGCAAATACATAGAAGTATAGAAAACAATGTAGCAAACCTCCATTCAGGCTTAACCATCGCTGTCAGTCCCATCCCCTCAAAGTCCCCCTTCTCAGGATCACTATCATTCACTATGCAGAACAAACTCTGATATCTTCTGTTCTAATCTGGTTCATATTTTTAGAAAACGCTGGTTGTGACCCACTTGTGATGGTTAATTTTATGTATCAACCTGACTGGGCCACAAGGTGCCCATGCGTCTGGTTAAACACTGTTTCTGGATAGTCTGTGAGGTGTTTCTGGAAGCGGTTACCATTGGAATTGGCAGACTGAGTAAAGCAGACGGCCCTCCTCAGTGTAGGTGGGCATCGTCCACTCCAGTGAGGACCTGCATAGAACAAAACAGCAGAGGAGGGTTGAATTCACTCTCTGCCTGACTGCTTGACTGGGACATTGGTCTTCTCTGCCCTCCATGCTGCTGGTTCTCAGGCCTTTCGGCCTGGACTGGAATCTGCACCAGTTCTCTGCTTTCCAGGCCTTTGCACTACAATACTGGCTTCCCTGGGTCTCCAGCTTGCAGATGGCAGATTGTGAGACTTCCCAGATGCCATATCATGCAAGCCAATACCTTATATCAATTGACCAATCAATCGATTGATCGATACATAAACTCTAAGATAAACTGATCCTATTGGTTCTGTTTTTGAGAGAACTGACTAATACAACACTGAATCCCTTTCATGAGCAGAATTGCTGGGTCATGGGGGATCCACATTTCAACCTTACTAGATAACACCTAATTGTTCTCTAAAGGGGTTTACTAACTTGCCCTTGATAAACAGGACATGAAGGCCCCCTTGCTTCACACTCTGGGCAACCCTTCGATTATCAGACTTTCTAATTTGCCAACATCTCATGGTCTCCCAGGCAGTTCCCAGATTAGGAGCAAGGCAGAGTTCATTTGTCTATTTGACATTTTCATTTTTTCTTCTTCATAGTATTTGCTCATTTTTCAATTCTATTGTCTTTTTAAAATTAATTTGAAAGAGTTCTTGATACAAACAGAATACAAATCTCTCACAGTAAATTCATCATGAATATTTATTCCAGCCTGTAGTTCTCTTAAAGAAGTTGCTAATACTGATGTTTGATTAATCCATCTTTTCTTTTATGATGTGTGTATGTTTCCCACCTCAAGAGCAGATAGAAAAAATCTTCTATGTATTTTAACATTTTTGTCTTTACATTTTGGCCTTTTTTTTTTTCTTTTTTTTTGAGATGGAGTCTCATTCTGTCACCCAGGCTGGAGTGCAGTGGCATGATCTCGCTCACTGCAACCTCCGCCCCCCAGGTTCAAGCAATTCTCCTGCCTCAGCCTCCCGAGTAGCTGGGATTATAGATGTCCGCCACCACACCCAGCTAATTTTTTATATTTTTAGTAGAGATGGGGTTTTGCCATGTTGGCCAGGCTCGTCTCGAACTCCCGACCTCAGGTGATCTGCCCACCTCGGCCTCCCAAAATGCTGGGATTACAGGTGTGAACCACCGTGCCCGGCATAGGCCTTTAATTCTATGGCCGTTTACTGGTACATGTGCTGTGAGGTAGGGATCTCACTTTATCTTTTCTCTTTTCCTATGTGGCCAACCAGCTGTCCTGCATCACATCCCACCTGGTCCATAACACACGTCTGCCACCTCCTGGCTTCCTATACATATGAGCACTTGCTCCTAGCCTTGCTACCCTGTCCCAGCCATTGCCGTGTCTCTCCCTGCACAAATGTCACACAGTCTTCATCATCCTGGCTCTCCATCAGGAACCTCACTGCTTGGGGGTCTCATGGCCTCCTCCCTTAGTGCTCTGGCTTTGTGTTTTCTCTTCATGTCTCATAGCTTGGAATTTCCATGCCTTTCTTTGGATCTTAGGTTTTAAAGAACACTTTGGGCTAGGTTTTACACAGCATTTATATGCATCCATACGGGGGTACATGCTAGTATCACATCAGCCCGTCATTTTCAGGACGTGATGTCTTCTAACTTAATATATGTTCTGAGACTTGCCGTGATTTAAATACAGCTTATTAATCTTTTCTGTGTTCCTTCAGGATAATCGCTGATTTTATATATTTCATTATGCACACATTTTATAGATCGAGGGCCTATAGGACGGTTATCATAGGATATAGTGAGGCCTAGAATTTAATTCTCAAAAAAAAAAAAAAAAGAAAAAGAAGAATAAGAAAAGAGCCTCAAACTTTTCCTGTAAGTGGAAGCACATTCACAAATTATCCTATGAAAAGACATCAGGCACATCACAGGGATTAGTATTCTGAAGCTACAGAATGATTCCATTCGCAGCAGAAAAATAAATAAACCCCGGCCCTTTCTTCTCTTTACAGATCTCCTCACAGAGACTCATTCTGGCATAATTGGCATTTAAAAATATCCATCTCCTTGCCGCCTTTCTCTCTGAGAAGGAATATGCTTTTCTGCTGGGAAGCTGCAGAGAATTGTGATGAGTATATTCACTTACATGATAGGCCTATTACACTGCAGATGGGTGAGAGCAATTGGGAAGAGAGCCCAGCACCTTCTCTATTGCAATTGATTTTGATCGTCTAATAGTATTTCAGGATACATAAAAATTCCAGTAGGTCTTTTCTAGACTCAGAAGAAAAAAATACCTTATACCTTACAGGCATAAATAGAACCACCCTATGACTCTAACAGAATGTAATGACACCCCAGGTTCCATAAGGAAAACGTCAAGAAGCCAATTTCACCGTGGACAGTCCCTAGAGGGTGGATGGGCTGAGGCAGCTGCTTAACCCTGGGCTCCCAGAAGACTGGAATTTTATGGAATCATGAGCTGTGTCTCCATAAGTAACATCTCCCTTCATAAGCTGTCCTTACTGCTGGTGATAATCAAAATCTCCAGCATTTTCAGAGCTGAGAGTGGATGATGTATCTAATGTCATTACGGCTGAAGTATGTTTACAACCCTAAGTAGAAAGTTAAATAGAGCAGAAAAGGCCTGTTGAGAGCACAAAAGTACATTCACAAACTTTGAAAACTGACAACTGAGAAAAATTTCAGTAAACACTCCAGCTTATGTCCAAACCCATTAATAATCACGCAGCTCTTCTACGTTTCACCCTGTTTCATGGACGAGGGCTGATTGTCCTGCATCTCTTAAATGCCTTGTGAATGTGCTCCCTCCACGGAGAGCCACCGTGTAATTCATCCAGGACATTTGTGACAAGAATGCTCCCCAACTGGATGCAAGGGAATTCCTGCCTCATCAGCAGAACAGGGATGGTGAGTGGTTACCACAATGTGGGAAAGATGCAGGGCAGAAAGTGAAATCAATAAAGCTGCCTTGCTTTACAAATAATGGCTTTTTGGGTGGCTTCAAATAGCCACACTTGTGGCCTTGTGCTGCCCTGGAAGAAAAACTGTGATTCTGAACCTGAGTCTTGACACTCCAGAATCCCGTCCTCACCCCTGCTGGTCTTCATCCGTCCCCTCACAACTGGCACAGAGATTCCACACTGGGACACACAAAGTGTTCCTTGCCTTGGTCAGGCAGGGGGGGTGTTCCCAAGGCCACCGCTGCCTTGCATGTAACACTCTGAACTGCCTCCCTGTCCAAGCTTACCACATGCTCCTTCCCAAGAATACATAAGAACCCCCAGAATCCATCAGAAGCTCAGGCCTGCTCTGGGCATCAGGACATGAAGACCATCCCTGGCTCTGCTTCTTTAACTCCAGCAACAATGCCCTCTGCTCCTCGTTCTCCAAACACGCCCCACCCTGTACACCAGTTTCCCTACAAAGCCGCTGCCTTGTGTGTCTCCAGCCACAGAAGAAGACAGCCAATTCATCTGCAGTGCAGAACCTGTCCCTTGCAAGTCTCCCCTGTGTGGAACACTCGGCTGGCACCAGGGCTCTGTTCCTACCAGTCCTACAGGGCAAGGGCAAGCCAGATGCTGACCATGGGGCAGTGTCTTCAGGGCTGCAATACTGCTCCATGCACAGGGAGGGAGGATGGACCACGCTCCATCCCTGGCAAGATGAGGAGGCCTCTTTTTATCAAAGTTAGATTTCTTCTGCTCAGCTTCCTGGTATCTCACAATGGCTGGTCCCTTCTCAAAGTAGACCAGCCACTGCCCACACTGGAGAGTGAAAGGTTCGAGTGCTACCTATTATTGCCGATATACATGTGTCTACTTTCGCTGTAACTAGGAACCTAGGTAGGGGTTACACAAATCAATGACTGAGTCTGGTGAGGACCATGGTTTACAGAAACACCAGTATAATGAGGAGAGGACAGATGGGGAGTGCGTGTCTTGCTGTGTTGTCATTGGGTGGTGGGCAGGTCGGTTCCGGGCAAGGTAAGTGCCAGAAGCGTCCCCAGTGTCCATCCACTCCTTGGCTGTGACTCAAACCCCAGCTTCAAACTCCCCAAGCTCACACACACAGGATCCCAGAAAACAAAGAGCCACGGCAGTTGCCAGCTCTGCCTGCAATGTAGCATTTTCCCTCCAGTGAAACGGTCCGCTCCCCACATGGCAAAAGCAAAACCTCATTCCATGCAACGCTGCCTTGTATTTCTTACCTAAAATGAGTGGTTTGGTAATGTCCCGAAAAATCTCCTGGTGATCAAATCTTTCTGGAATAAAGCAGAAGAAAACAGAGAAAATTACTTTCACTTCAGCAATGATACAGGTGCGCACATAGAGCTCCTTCAAGTATAAAAATGTAAATATGAGGCTTTGAATCACCTGTAAAAGTGGACAGATTATAATTCTAATGAGATAATCAGAAATTACCCTAAACAAATAATTAAAATGTTTCTTTAGCCATTCATCGCATAATTATTGCCTTAAGAACAATGTGTTGGGCAAATAAAGAGATGGCTTATGTACCATTCTGAAAGGAGAGACTCTCTGCATTTTAATGAGGCTCCTCAAAGCCCTCATGAATATGTATTTTCCCACAACAAAGCTTGACCCCACGGGTTTGCAGAGCTGGTGCTTCACGACACTTTCAGACTGCGGAGGGTGTGCATATGGGGGTGGGCGGGGAGAGGACTGCGATGAAAGTGAAGAGAGGAAGGAGGACCACCTCTCCTTTCCAATGCCCAGGGTCTCAGCCCACCTTCTCCTGGGCAAGATGGTTTCATGAAAAGAATGAGAAAGAGGCCACCAGGTCTCAGACTTCCCTGAATAGAGGAAGCTCTGCACAGGAAGGCTGAAGAGGAAGCTACTGCCAGCAGGCTCGGGGGTTTCAAGGCCAGGCCCTTGGGTTGGATCAGGAATTCAGGGCAAGGGCATTAGAAGGCTACGGGCAGGAAGCTGGGGTGGAACAGGAGGAGGGGTGTTCAATTGTCTGCAACATCACATCTGAATTCTGCCTCTCCCTCCATGTTGGCTACAGACAAAGTTACAAAGGGCTTTCTGTGTTCCTTTCAAAAAGGATAGTAATACAGCCTCCTCCCGGGGGCATCAGCTGTTGAGCCGGGCCAGGCTGCGAGCCCTTCACGAATGGCTGCGCTGCTGGACAGGGCACCTGCAATCTGGTCCTGGGGTCTGCAGTCGTAGGGAAGAGCCCCATTCACTGGGGAAGGAAACAGGACACAGGCAACACAGTGGCTTCGACTTCATCACAAAGGTTTAGTCTACTCAGCGTCTTCACTTCTCTAAGAAAGCGGCCAGTTGCTCTCACTTCCTAGGTAGACACCCCTAGCAGAGGGTTATAATTACGAAATTTCCTCCACCCAAAATGGCCCAGGGAAGATACTTCTGGTCCCCATGTAAAGGAGATGACCCAACGTCTCTGAGGAGGCTAAAGATGTTTCCATGTTGAACAAGCTACCCGTTAAGGGAGCTGCAGAGCCGTAACCTGCTTGCCTCTGCTCAGGGGAAACTGGCTGTTTGCACCGTTGTTCCATTTCTTTCCCAGGCTATGGTGCTTCTGTGGCTTTTCACGGCCTGTTCTGTGAAGCAACATGGTGCTTCACAGATCCTGGCCCTTTGCAAGGAGGCCTCTTTATCACACCCAAAGTGAGCACCACACAAAAAGCATGTCAATCACACACACGCTTTCCGCAGTGGAGTCAGCATGGGCTGCTTGCTTCCTGTGTGAACGTCAGAAAATCCCTTCACACCATCTCTGTCAGTTTCATCGTGTATAAAACTGGCCAATAACTACTTCAAAGGTGGCTGGGAAGGTGAATTGCAAGGGAACCTCTAGAATGTTGCCTGGAATCACATTAGCATCAAATAGTATTCCCTTCTTCACTCCTAAGCTCGCCATCTGCGGTCCTCCAAAAATAAGTAATTTCTGGGTGAGTTCATGAACTAAAGGTTAGTCCAGCAGCAAGAATCCTCCACTGGGAGTCCAGCAATGCGGCCTCAGTTCCTCACTCTGTTACAGGTTGGCTCTGTGACCCCAAGTGGATCAGTGAGAAAGTCAGGCCTGCCAGCCCCTGTCCTCTCCAGGCACCCTAAACTCCGGCTCTGGGCAGCTGTCACTTGACCAAGCCCTGCAGTCCAGCTTTTCCCACTTGCTCCTGGCCCAGAAGCGCCTCAGGAAACCCGGAGCCTGTCTCAGGACTGTTTCCCAGCCCTAGGAGACCTGCCCATCGCCCACCGCCTCCTTCCCAGAGTCTGCGAGTCTCCAGAAAGCCCAGAGCTCATCCATGTGCATCCCCCAGAAGCCCCACAGGCTTCACACTGACTTCCGACAAAGGCACAGAATCATCACACCGCCCAGGAGCAATAGCAGCACTGCACCTTATGTAAGGCCTTTCCATAAGAGGAAGCAGGCCCATGTCTTCACTCCATTTAGAACGGGTTTTGAGTGTCTATTTATAGGCATCACACACCCAGCCTTTGCGGAGGGTGGAGGAATCAGGCCTCTGGGCCCCTGTCCACCACCCTCATTTGCATTCTTTTCATGTTTCTTTTCTCTCATTTCCCAGCAGCATTTTCGCTCAAAAGCCAGGTCACCTACCACTTGGACCCAGCACCACTTTTCATTTTCTGCAGAGAAAAATATTCATTTTCGTTTCCATGCAGGAGTGTCCTGTCCTTGCCCTCTCCAGGGCCCCTGGCTAGCATTCACTAAAGCACGGCTGTGTGATTCGAGTGACCTATGTCTCCTGGACAGAGGGCTCCCCTGAAAGTCATGCCCAGCAAGGTCACGAGAGCCGGGAAGTCCCTGGGGGCAGCTGACTCTGAGTCGTAAGTGAGCCAGGCATATTTGGGGGGCGGGCTCCATCCCAGCAGGCAGAAGGAACACAGAGGATCAGACATGGCTTGGAAACCCTAGGCTTTTCCCACTGCCTGGCCATTCCTGCATCTGCCAAGCACATCACTCCATCCTCTTCCTGCCCCTCCAGGGGCAGTGAGGACCAGGCCACTTCCCCAGTCCCCCTCGGCTGTTTGTGATCAGACAGAAAGGCTGGGACCTGCTCTTTTCTCACCATTTTTGGAACAATTAAATCCTTCTCAATCTTCAGGCCGTAAATTAAGTACACAGGTCTCCCCATGATATCAAAACACTCTGCTCTCCAAGTGTAGCCATTCACAGGTCTTTATTTTTGTTTGGAGGATTGGGAGCTGGTTTATTCTGCAGCCCTGCAGCCCAGAGGGACACACAAATACAAGGCCAAAGAGTCTCAGGGGCTCCCTTCTTCTCCAGGGTGCAGGGCCTTCCTGAGCCCCCAGCCCTGGGAGCCAGTCCAGAAGGAGAGGCAGGCCTTGCCTAGACTAGCCCAGAATCCACAGCAGAACTCAGCCACAGAGAACACGTCCAGTACACAGCCTCAGCTGCCTGACTTCAAACACCACGCACGAGGTTTGCTTCTCTCATGAATATTTTGCTGAGGCTGTCGGCATTTAGTTTCAGGACTAATTAATTTTCTCACAGGATACCACTTCAACTGCCATCATAGGCTCTGTATTATTCTACGTGCAAATTTCTGGCAGTAAATTGGACTTGTGATCTAACCAAGCCTTTGAAATGCCATGCTTCCAGGGACTCTGGAATGAGCAGAAATGCTAAATATTCCTTAAAGAAGACGATTCATACATTTCCTGATTACCTTTGATTATTATGTCACAGGAGTTGGTGAGGGGGTCCAAGATCCAGAAGCGATCCTCAGGGACCCAAGGTGACCCAAATGGCTGGGGAGGGAGCCCGAGACAGGAAGCCGCTTAGGCTAAGAGAAACTTGACGGAACCCCAATAGGGCAGCTCATGTGAGCGTCCCCTCCAAAGCAGGGGACACCAGCCCTGGAGCCAGAAAGGCACATGAGTGGAAGAATGGGTGAAGGAACCCATCTCCCTAAGCATTTTCTTAGCAAAGCTAAGGCAACACTCACAACATCACAGACTCCCAGACCTGGAAGCTGTCCCGGGAAGGCACAATCACACTCCTTCCTCTAGCTGGCCCCAGAGCTATGGCTGCATTTCCCAGAGTGAAATGGGCAACGCTGCACTTGCTAAGGGGCTGGCACTCGGCACACAGGTTTGGGAAACTCTGGTGCACTGTGCCTGGGTTGTAGAGCAAGTGGAATCTGGTGAACAATAATAACCCGAAGGCAGTGACATACTTGTTGACAGGAGGCTCTGGCCACACTGAGCAGAGGCCCTGGGATGGGTTGGAAGGGGTCTGTGCTGAGCACCATGGTCAGCAGGATGGGGGAGGCATCAGGGTGCATCAAAGACAGAGCGTCGCCCCAGTGCCAGCTCGACCTGGCTCCTCCTGGTACCAGCCTAATGGCTGCAGCCCATACTGAAAGGCAGGTATCCCCCAGACTGATCAGCGCCATCTCATGAGGGAAAGCTTGTAATGGGGGTTCACACTCACATGGCCTTCGTGGGCTGGCTGGGCTGCCAGTGAACTCACCTGCAAGGGGCGGCCTCACAGTGGGGCCGGGCAGCTGGCAGAGCTCAACACCTGGCACAAGGTGAGCTCCGGCACAAGGTGAGCTCCGGCACAAGGACGCCTCCTGCGGCCCGGCCCTGTAGCTCAGCCAAGCTGCCGCAAGAGCAAGAGGGATGCAGTGAGATGGCGGTGTCCCCACAGCTGTGGCTGGAATCCCAGAACACCCAGGATGGGACTGGGGACATGGGGGATGGATGCGCCCCCAGACCAGGAGAGACGTTTTTACTGTGGGGCTTAGGGAGTTGTCTGTTGCTTCCTGATGGGACACACAGAGATGGTGCTGAGACAGGCAGAGGAGGGCCCTTGGGGTGGATACCAAAGTGCTCTTTACAAGTAAAATGTTTAAATTCTGAATAACTGAGTCCCTAGGCTGGCTGCAATGTAAAGGACTCCAATGCCATAACTCTTATTTATAAACACGAGCATGTATTATTTTTCTCCTGGGCAAGAAGCTGAGCCTTTAGAATAGAAAGCTCAAACCTCAAGACTCTCATTTGTGCAAATGTTTTGAGAACAAACTGGATTAAAAGTTAAGTCTTCAAGAGTCTAACTTCCAGAAACAATTGTTTTGTTTGGGAAGGTGGCCTGTAAACACGGCATTAAAATTACTTAGTAATAATGTACAAATTGCTATCATGAAAATGGTCACAGAGCTCTGTTCTTGGAAACTTACCTTGAAGTCTAGTACTGACGGGCCACATGTGATGAGTAACATTCTGCCCCCATGTCCTCACTTTTTATTCCAGATTTGAATTGGGAGACTCTTCATGGGTGATTAGTTCACCCACTGGGGACCAATTCTTTCAAGGAGACCACAGGGCTCACAAAGCCAAAGGCAGAGTTGGGAGTGCAGATATAGAGTATCTCAGCCTGTTTCCAGACTCACAGATGTTATCTAAAACCAAACTGGCTTTTAGAGCTCAGAAATTTGCCCTCAGGACAAATGTTCAATATATCTGACTTTATCGCTTTTTACACATTTGCTTTTATGTAAAGTTATCTGAGGCTCACTTAAATAAACCCAGGAGCTCCTTGCAGTGGGGCTGAGCTGACTTGTTCTTTTTTTTTTTTTTTTTTAAGACGGAGTTTCCGTTGCCCAGGCTGGAGTGCAGCTCACTGCAACCTCTCCCACCCCGGGTTCAAGCAATTCTCCCGCCTCAGCCTCCCGAGTAGCTGGGATTACAGGCATATGCCACCACAACAGGTTAATTTTTGTATTTTTAGTAAAGACGCAGTTTCGCCACGTTGGCCAGGCTGGTCTTGAACTCCTGACCTCAGGTGATCCACCCGCCTCAGCCTCCCAAAGTGCCCACCGCGCCCAGCGGAGCTAACTTCTTCTGTGTAGGGTTGACACTAAACGTGCCCTCTTCCCCCTGGCCTGTAATCTTCAGTAAGTCCGTCCTTGTGCAGCCCACAGCATCAGGTAGACAGGAACACAGTTCCCCGCGCCCTTCTCAGCAGGGCTCTGACACGGCTCTCCAGTGATTCTCGATACTAAACTGACCTTGTTTTCTGCAATTCCTTCCTGGCTTTGAGAAATCAGGGAACAGTGTGACACTGAGGTATTAAGAACTGGAACTTGGTGCCAAGACAGCCCACGTCCCAGGATGGACCCTGATGCCCACTGCAGGCCAGGATGAAGGGGAAGAGAAGGTCTGCAGGCAGCTTAGCCACGTCTACGTCTGACCCCAGGGAGTGCGGAGACAAGCAGAGGGTGTACACAGCCCGCCAAGGCCGCCTCTGCTGGCTTGCCTCCTCGTCATTGTTCTCTCCTAAGCAAATGAGGCTTCTATTTTTGCTGTGAGGAGCCTGATGCCTTCCAATTCCCAGGCACCCCCTGGAGCGGGGATGGGATTTCGTTTTCCGTTCAGGCAGCTCAGGGATGGAAGCAGGGCCACCCAGGAGACCGGGAGCCAGAGTGAAGCAGCATCTGCCAATCTTCTCAGACACATCTGAGCTCCAGCTCTGGCCATGGTGACGCCTGTGCATACAGCCCCGTGTGGCCACACAGGGCCCAGCACACTAGGTTGCATTAGTCTATCTTGTGCTTACTATGACAGGCACTAACTGATTCACAGATACGAACCTGCGCATCCTCCCAGGCCCACCGTGGGGAGCCATCATCCCATTTTGCAGATGAGGACACTGAGGCATACACAGACTAAGCCTAAGGCCACACAGGAAGTGTTGAAGCTGGGATTTAACCCTGGCAATGTGGCCCCAGAATCCACACTCTTAGCTTCTACATTATGTTAGAAGGAAGAAAAGAAAAAAGATATTTATGGTACATAAACTCAACAACGGATCAGATTGATCAATAAGAAAACAGAAAAAAAGGTGCAAAAGATATGGCCAGTCATTCACAGAATACCAAATATATGAAAAAATATATATGTGAAAATAGATACATGGAAAGATGTTAGCCTCACTGGCACGCAGGGAAATGCAAATTAATACCTCATGTAGACAGCACTTTCACGCATTAGACAAAAATGTAAAATGTCTGACAACACCAAGTGCTGTCAAGAAAAAGGAGAAGAGGAAACTCATACGCTGTCAGTGGGACCACTCATGAGGACACCCACACACTTTGGAATAAAATTTAGCTGTTTCTAGTACGTTTGAAGATTACTGTACTCTCTCCCATAGCAATTCCAATCCTTGCTAAATATACTGACAAATCCAGCTCACGTTCACAGAGAGACACATACCTGAGTACTCAAGACAACCTTGTTTGTAGCAGCAAGTCACAGGAACCCAACTAAGCATCCATCAATGGAGAACGACAAATAGTCTTATGTTTGTACAATGCAATACCACACAGCAGTGAAAATGCATGAAATACAGCCACCTGTTTTCACATGGATGAATCTCACAAACATAATGTTAAGCAAAAAAGGCACACTGGATGGGCGCGGTGGCTCAGGCCTGCAATCCTAGCATTTTGGGAGGCCAAGGTAGGCGGATCACTTGAGGCCAGGAGTTCGAGACCAGCCTGGCCAACATGGCGAAACCTCGTCTCTACCAAAAATACAAAAATTAGCTGTGTGCAGTGGCGGGCGCCTGTAATCCCAGCTACTCGGGAAGCTGAGGTAGGAGAATCGCTTGAACCCAGGAGGTGGAGCTTGCCGTGAGCCGAGATCACGCCACTGCACTCCAGCCTGGGCAACAGAGCAAGACTCCATCTCAAAAAAAAAAAAAGGCACACTACAGAAAAAAATACAAGGTGATATCATTTACATAACGCTTACAGACAAAATGCAGAACTAACAGGGATAGAAATACTTATACATGTACTAGGCCATAAACAAGGATCAAACTTCAACAGTAGTTACCTCTGTGTGAAAGACAAGATGCAACTGGGGAGGGGCTCTAGCTGCAATGGTGTTATGATGCTTTAAAATACATCCACAGGCTGGGCATGGTGGCTCATGCCTGTAATCCCAGCACTTTGGGAGGCTGAGGCGGGCAGACCACTTGAGGTCAGGAATTCGAGACCAGCCTGGCCAACATAGTGAAACCCTGCCTTATTAAAAATACCCAAATTAGCCAGGTGTGGTGGTGTGTGCCTGTAAATTCCAGCTACTTGGGAGGCTGAGGCAGAAGAATCACTTGAACCTGGCAGGCGGAGGTTGCGGTGAGCTGAGATCACATCACTGCACTCCAGCCTGGGTGACAGAGTGGTGAGACTCCATCTCAAAAAAAAAAAAAAAAGAATATATATATATATATATATATATCTCTCTCCACATATTCTTTGACACTCCCTTCAAAGAGTGGAACCTAATTCCTTTCTCTTTGAGTGTGGCCTGAATTTAGTGACTTGCTTCTAGTGAACAGACATAAGCAGAAATGACAGTGTATGACTAATGAGACCAGGTCATAAAAGGCACAGCGGCTTCCTCTCTACTCTCTCTATACTCTCTCTTGAATCACTGAGGCTGGGGGAATCCGCCTGCCATGTTGTGAGGACACTCAAGCAGCTCTGTGGAAAGGTCTATATGGCAAAGAACTGAGCCCTCTTGCCAGCCAACAGCCAGGTGAAGTCGATCTTGGACGTGGATCCTCCTGCCCCAGTCAAGCCTTCAGGTGCCCCAGCTCACATCTTTCCCCTCCACTAGAACCACCCAGCTCAGCTGCTTCCATATTCCTGGCCCACAGACTATGTGTGAGATAATAAATGTTTACTGTTTTATACCACTAAGTGTTGGCATAATATGTTACACAGAAATAGGTAACCAATATGGTAGTATTCTCTACCTTTAGCAGCTTGTGGATACCTAGCTGTTCATCACATTATTCTTGTTACATTTTTGTATGCTGCTACAGACTGAATGTTTGTGCCTGCCCTTCTCCAAATTCACATGTTAAAACCTAATGCCCAAAGTGATGCTATTAGACAGTGGGCCTTTGGGAGGTGATTAATGGGATTTGTGCCTTTGTAAAAGAGACTCCAGAGAACTCTCCTGAGCCTTCCACCAAGTGAGGATGTAGTGAGAAGATGGCCTTCTATGAACCAGGAAGCCCTCACCAGACAGCAAATCTGTTGGCGCCTTGATCTTAGACTTCCCACATCCAGAACTGTGAGAAATAAATGTCTGTTGTTTGTAAACCACCTAGTTTATGGTATTTTGTTACAGTAACCTAAACAGACTAAAATATATGCCAATTGTTTCCAAAGACTAACATAAAAATAAGAAGGGGACCAGGAGCAGTAGCTCATGCCTGTAATCCGAACACTCTGGGAGGCCAAGGCAGGCAGATCACCTGAGGTCAGGAGTTCAAGACCAGCCTGGCCAACATGGTGAAACCCCGTCTCTACTAAAAATACAAAAATTAGCCAGGCGTGGTGGCACACACCTGTAATCCCAGCTACTAGGGAGGCAGAGGTGACAGTGAGCCAAGATCATACCACTGCACTTCAGCTTGGACAACAGAGGGAAACTCTCAAAAAAAATTTTTTTAATAATTAAAATTTTAAAAAGAAAAGCAGAGTGGCCAACAGTAGTGACCTGCTAAGTACAGGCTGAGAAGTGGCGCTCCTTCTTACGGAACAGGCTGAGTGTTCCTACGAAACAGGCATCCACTGCAACACTCAAGAGTGCTGGATGACAGGAAGTGACCAGCCAGCGCTGGCACAGGAAACGCTGTCTGTCACATTAACCAACTAGTGAGTCCTACACCTGAATGGGCTCAGCACTTTAGTTAATGTTTGCAGATGTTGGGCAGTGACAAGCAAGGACGCAGAGTGGGCACATACTTTGTCCTTTTGGGTGATCGGGGAATGGCTTCTCTCCTCCAGGAGGCAGGAAACTTTGAGAAGCCTCCTCTATGGGCTGGAGAGCCGCCGGGAATTGTAACTGGGCAGGGGAAGAGGAGGCAGAAGGATTTACTGCATTACGATATTAATTTTAATTAAGGAGACTTTTTTAGGCCAAACAAGCATATGCTTGTGCCTGAGAGGCAGGGAGGGCACCACATCCCCCAGGAGGATCTTGCTGGAATGGAGGTGTCTGGCAAGCCCAGGGCAGCCACCTGCTCCGCCGCTCCTCCCAGGTCCTGAAGCCATCAGGAAGGACTGTTCAGAAGCCAGGGTCTGGCCACCAACACATCTGTCCTTCTTTGTCTTCTATCTCTCTCCTTCCTTCAGATTCCAGAAAGCAGAAGTGCGTTTCATAGAACGAACCAGCTGAGCTGGTCAGACAGAGTCAACCGGATCCAGTTAAAGCAGCAAGAACTCGTTACATCCAGGAGACCCCATCTGTACCAGTCTCGAAGATCCGCTGTGGAACTACTGAAGACCACTTATTTTAAATCCTTTCTAAGAGCAGAAATCCAAAATCTCAACATGTGCTATTTCCCTCAATTTACTCATTCCAAGAAAAACGAAGTCCAAAATCCATTTTAATTGAAACAACCCCTTTTCTGGCCATGATCTGACAACAGACATCACCGTAACACCTAATACACACATCCCACGCATGCTTTCCTTTTTGAAAAACAGTCAGCTGAGGTGGCAGAAGCACTTAGGCCTCCTTTCAGTGCTCTCTGACCTCGGCTTGTTAGGAAAATGACCACGAAAATCTGGACCCGATGTTGTTTGTTCTCATTATTCACTGCCCTCTGGCTGGTAGACAAAAAGTGCAAAGCATGAAGGGGCGTGTGGGGTGCTGGAGCCTGATCTGAAAGCATTGTGTGCCCTGGCCCAGAACATGCTGAGCCCGTGCCCCTGCAGTGCAGCCACAGAGCACAGCAGCCGTGCTCAGCCTCAGGGCCTCCCAGAACCCCACCTCCTCCTCTTCTCCCAGCCAGTCAGAGCCTGGCTCAGACAGACACAAGCCTGAAGGGTGTGATGTCACCAAACCTTCCTGCCACAGCCACCCAAGCTCAGCCTCAGGATCCAATGTGTACAGACTGGACAGAGGTCAGCTCAACCACTGAGGCAGAGGGAGCACCAATCCAAGCCGCTCTGCATCCCAGGCAGCTCCCCCAACCTCCAGAGACGGCAGTGGTTGGCGGAGGGGGAGAGAGGGAGAGAGAGAGAGAGAGAGAGAGAGCAGCTCCCCCCAACCCCCAGAGATGGCAGTGGGGGGAGAGAGAGAGAGAGAGAGAGAGATAGAGCAGCTCCCCCAACCTCCAGAGATGGCAGTGGGAGGGGGGAGAGAGAGCGAGCAGCTCCCCCAAACTCCAGAGATGGCAGTGGGGTGGGGGGGGAGAGAGATAGAGAGACAGAGCAGCTCTCCCAACCCCCAGAGATGGCAGTGGAGGGAGAGATAGGGATAGACAGAGAGAGATATACAGCAGCTCCCCCAGCACCCAGAGATGGCAGTGGGGGACACCCAGAGAGAGACAGAGAGACCCTGCCTCTCTTCTAATGAGTGGTAACCACAGCGCGCCCCTCCACTGGTCTGAGTTGGAAACGGGACCAGGAAGGATCCTGGCACTTGAGAGGAAACCACAGCAGAGAGACTGAGTCAGGGGGCTGGAAGCTGATACTGGCTCAGAACTGGGTGGCAGTATCAGCCACCCAGTGGCTAAGCCTAGGTTCTGTGACACTAAGCCTAGGTTCTCCCAGCTGTGAAATGGGGATAATTATAGTCCCCTATAAGCCTATGTCATGGGGTTGCTACGTGGCATAAATGAGGTGCCGGCAGGTACTCAGTGGGAAACACACACCGGCTCTTGTTCTAAAGCCCTCAGAGCCCTGCCTCCGCAGCTCCCCCTGCCCTCACTCCCCCAGCATGGCCCGGCACTCAGAGTCCCGAATAATAACGCCTCGAGAGCTTGCTTTCAACCCCACTGTGAGCCCCTCCAGGGCAGGACCCTACACCCAGACTAGCCTCCCCGATCCCAGAATCCCCCACCTTGCCACCTGTGCACCCCACAGCAGTGTAACTGATCAACCGAGGGCACGCCTCACACCAAAGTGTGAGTGTCTGCACGGCCTCTGGATACCTTCAGAGAGGACACTCATTAGCCCAGAGAAAGCCAGGTTCCTGGGGCAGGGCAGGGCAGGGCAGGGCAGAGGTCTTCTAGCACCACTTATACCTCAGCAGGACTCAAGCCCAGGGGTGGGGACCACAGAGTGGCCTGGGTGCTTGGGATCACAAATCCCATTAATCTACTCCTAAAACCCTTCCCGCAGATCCCATGGCCTAACCTTCCCCAGAGGTGGGTTTCTCGGGAGAAGGCAATGTTCTGTCTTGGGCTACTAAGGAGCGTACTCCACCCAGTGGGGGAAAGGGCCCATCTGCCCACAGAGCTGACCCCAGGCCAGGTCTCTCCAACCCACTCTGACAGTGACTTGGTGGATCCTCCTACACCGCGAGGTGGGTGGGTGGGGCCCATGAGCCGACAGCGCTCCTGGAGGCCACCTTGTTCACTACATTACATGCCTTGGGAGCTTCAGCATGCCACAACCAGCCTCGAAGAGAAAAGTCAAATTTGAATTTGGGGTTTTTCCGTATGCTGGGAGAGACTCTAGAAAATAATGTATTGGCAAATGCTGAAAAGAAACACAGAATTGTCACGCATGGGCCCAAAACTGAGTATCAGAACAGGACTCTGGTGTCCTCCTTGTCAAAACCAAAGCCAATTACTCTCCCGCCACACACACACCACAAATACATATCTTTTCGTCTGGAAAATGAAGGCAAGGAAATGAATTTCATTTTCAAAATCAGGTTCTACTCAGACAAGGACCACCTTACATGACGCCTCCCCAACGTGACGGCTGACTGAAGCACCCAGGGAGACGGCGGCTGGGCTGCAGGTGTTGAGGGAAATGTTTACACCTTCCCAACCTCAGAATTCATGCAGGTGACCCAAGCCCACTGAACAAGGAAGACAGTGATGCCTCTCCAGGGTCTGCACCAGGGGATCCCCCAGCTAACTCCATCAGTGGGGACATGAGTGGGCAATAGGCAGTGACTTCCTATTTCACCAAGTTACCTTCCACCCTGACACACTTGTGGCCTCCGTAGGTGCCAGGACCTCAACCCAAATGCAAGCCTACCTTTGGTTTTAATTATGCATTTATTTCATTTCTACATAGACATCACTACAACCTGGGGTCATCATGGAAGCTGGCCCGTTATTGCGATCTCTAATTCGCCTTCTATAGAGCAGGCTGGACACCAGCCCTGTAGGCAGCCCTGCCAGGTCCCCCAAGCTTGGGAAGAACACTTGCGCTGAAGACATCATCAACGTGTCCTTGAATTGGTCATGCTGGTCCAATGCCTCTTCCTAGTCTTGCTTTGTCATGACAAATTGCTGCTTTATTTTCTTCAGGTCCATCCTTATCAACCTATTTTCCAATGACTAGACTTTAAATAGGACATGAGGACTTCTGACAATCGAATATAAATCCTCCATTGCCAAAGCAGAAATATATATCATCAGAATATCTTCCCTGAACCAGCCTTAGGATGAAGCTGATAAAATACCAGGGAGGACTGAGGGAAAGAAACTGGACCTGTGCTAACAAGGTCAAGCTGCTAGATCAAACCTTGCCTGCAACCAGGTATTCTGGACTTTCCAATGACATAAGAAAAAGTTTATGTCACCATAGGATGGGTACTTAGTTACATCAAATGTCTTAATGGATAAGGAAACAGCCCAGTGAGATAACCTGACTTTATTAGCCCAAAGGGCAACAAAATTAAAGCCTAGTGACACTGCACTAAGTCCTGCCTTGTGTCAATATGTTGGGCTGAGTTCAACATGGCTTAAAATAAACACAAAATCCTTAACTCTTTATAAGTGTGGGGGGCGGGGAAGGCCCACTTTTCCTTATTTTTTGACTAATTTCAACCTTTATTTTACATTCAGGGAGTCCACGTGCAGGTTTGTTACCTGGGTATATTGTGTGATGCTAAGCTTTGGGGTATGATTAATCCCGTCATCCAGGTAACAAGCACAGTACCCAACAGTTAGTTTTCAACCCTTGCCCCGCTGTCACCCTCTGCCCTCTAGTAGTCCTTGGTGTCTACTGTTGCCATCTTTATGAGTACCTAATGTTTGACTCCCACTTATAAGTGAGAACATGTGGTATTCGGTTTTCTGTTTCTGTGTTAATTTGCTTAGGATAATGGCCTCCAGCTGCATCTATGTTGCTGTAAAGGACATGACTTTGTTCTTTTTTATGGCTCCATAGTATTCCATGGTGTATATGTACCATAATTTCTTTATCTAGTCCACTGCTGATGGGCACCTAGACTGATTATGTGTCTTTGCCCTTGTGAATACCACAGTGATGAACATACAAGTGCATGTGTCTTTTTGGTAGAGTGATTTATTTTCTTTTGGAAATATACTGAGGAATGGGATTGCTGGGTCAAATGTAGTTCTGTTTTAAGTCCTTTGAGAAATCTCCAAACTGCTTTCCAAGGTGGCTGAATAATTTACATTCCTACCAATAGTGTGTAAGAGTTCCCTTTTCCTCAGAGCCTTGCCAGCAACTGTTATTTTTTTTGCTTTTGAAAAATAGCCATTCTGACTGATGTGAGATGGTATCTCACTGTGGTACTGATTTGCATTCTTCTGATGATTAGTGATGTTGAGCATTTTTTCATATGCTTGTTGGCTTCTTACCTGTTTTCTTTTGAGAAGTGTCTGTTCATGTCCTTTGCCCAATTTTTAACGAGGTTATTTGGTTCTTGCTTGTTCAATTGTTTAAGCTCCTTGTAGAGTTGTGATATTAGACTTTTGTTGGATGCATAGTTTGTATTTTCTCCCATTCTGTAGGTTGTCTGTTTACTCTTTTGCTGTGCAGAAGCTCTTTAGTTAATTAGGTTCCACTTGTTGATTTTTGTTTTTGTTGCAATTGCTTTTGAGGACTTAGTCATAAATTCTTTCCCAAGGCCAATATCCAGAATGATGTTTCTCTAGGTTTTCTTCTAGGATTCTCATAGGTTGAATCTTTAATCCAACTGAGTTGATTTTTTACATGGTAAAAGGTAGGGATCCAGTTTCATTCTTCTGCATAAGGCTAGCCAGCTATCCCAGCACCATTTACTGAATAGGGAGTCCTCTCCCCATGGCTTATTTTTGGCAGCTTTGTCAAAGGGCAGATGGTTGTAGGTGTGTGGCTTTATTTCTGGGTTCTCTACTCGGTTCCACTGCTCTGTGTGTCTGCTTCTGTATCAGTCCCATGCTGTTTTGGTTACTGCAGCCTCGTAGTATAGTTTGAAGTTTGGTAATTGGTGCCTCTGGCTTTTCTTTTTGCTCAGATTGCTTTGGCTATCTGGCTCTGTTTTGGTTCCATATTAATTTTGGAATAGTTTTTTCTAGCTCTGTGAAAAATGGCCTTGGCAGTTTGATAGGAAGAGCACTGAATCTGTCAATTGCTTTGGGCAGTATGGTCATTTTAACAATATTGATTCTTTCAATCCATGAGGATAGAATGTTTTTCCATTTGTTTGTGTCATCTCTGATTTCTTTCACCTCCTTGGTTCGCTGTAGTCCTAAGTATTTTTGTGTGTGGCGATTGTAAATGGGATTGTGTTCCTGATTTGGCTCTCAGCTTGAACATTATTGGTGTAGAGAAATGCTACTGACTTTTCTACATTGATGTTGTATCTTGAAACTTTATTGAAGTTGTTTATCAGTTACAGGAGCCTTTTGGCAAAGTCTTTAGGGTTTTCTATGTATAGAATCATAACATCAGTGAAGACAGACAGTTTGGCTTCTTTTCTTATTTGGATGCCTTTTATTTCTTTGTTGCCTGATTGCTCTGGCTCAGGAAGGTTCACTTTTTCAAATCTTACATGACCAAACTCTAGCAGAAATCAGATTAAATTCAATCAGATCTTTTCTGGTTCCCCCAAAACAAGCAGGACAAACCTACACGGCCAGTGCTGAATCTACCAAGTGTTTAGCTAAAAGGCACAATTTACATTGAACATCTCTGCACTTCCCTGTCTCTGAAAGACAGCTTTGACCCCGGCTCACATTACTGTGCTTACGGAAAATCTCCATGCAGCTTTCAAAAATAAATTTTCTTTTAACTAGCCACATAAGTAAGCCCTGCTCCACCAATCAGCCGAGGATGGTTGTGTTGGCTTGCTTTTCTCTTTTTTTAAAATAACTGATGCAAAGACCCAAAGAAGGATCAGAAAAATCATCTCTTAACTCCACTGTCTGTCTCATTTTGAACCTGAGCATGAGGACCCAGAGGTAAGTGACCTGCTCAGAGTCTCAGCCTAGGCCAAACCTACGGGGTCAGAGAGCCCTAGGTCCATCTCACCCCCAACTTGGCTGCCCTGCCAAGAGACTGCACGCTCCGCCCAGAAGGCCATCTGCTCACACGGGGCCGGGGGCACTCTGCAAGGCCAGAAAGGGGCCAGGGGAGGACCTGCGCTGGACATAGCACCCTGCTGACACAAATGGGGAGGAACTGACAGGAAGAAACTCTGGACTCCACCTCAAGAGAAGGATTCCAAACAGCTTCACCACTCTGCACCCCCAGGGAAGCCTCATTGTCCAAAACTGACAGGGTCTTAGAAGCTCTGCCCCAGACAGGCAGGCAGCAGAGCCTTTTGCCGGATGAATCAAATGACGTTAGGAGGACCACACACATTGGCTCAAAACACAACAGAGGCCCGAAGCAAATTCCAGCAGACACCATTTGTTCTCACATGACAGGAGTGGACCGGGACCCGGGAGGACCATGTGATGCTGAGGAATACGGCTTGAGGGACAGAAGAGAATGGCAAGGAGAGGGCTTGGTGGTAGGGCCCGAGAGAAAGAGCCACAGATAGATGAGGAGGGGGACGAAGAAGGGAGGGGAGCCCGAGGCCCAGCCTGGAATCGGGGCAGGCCAGGCAGGGGGTGTGGATGGAGATGGCTGCAGGGCACCTGCAGTGCTCCAGGCACAGTGCTCAGGGATCAGCTTGCCTCCAGCACTTCTGGGAAGATAAGCAGGTCACAGCTATTGCTGCAACCCTGGGGACCCGTTGTAGCCAGATAGCCAGAGAGAGCAGAAGGGGTCAGACCCATAGGATTTTAAGAACTTCTTGTCCCCTGACCTGCCGGGCATAGAGCCCTTTGGACTAATCAAATGCTTTCAGGCCCATTAAGCAGCTCAAGCTGCTTAAAATACTTAATGCATTTGGAAAAATACAATCCAACTCCTGGTGTGAGCAGAATCCTTTCAACTGTCTGCTGCATTTCAAGTTGTGGAACTCTGTGCCCACCCTCCTGCAGTCCTGGAGAAGAATGTGACACAATGACTCCATGCCCTGGGAGGCACCTGCCGGATTACTGTGAAGGGACAGGAACTTCATGCCAAGACAACAAACAAAAATCCTCATGGGTGATTCTATTGCAGCTCAGAAGCCATCACAATAGCTCTATGATTTAAAGAAAGGTGGGGAAGAAAGATTCCCCCTTTTACAGCATTCACCATCAAGGCTCCTGGAAGTACACTGCAAATGGGCTGCACAGCCCAGCAGCTGGACTCTGGGGAGCTCCTTTCTCTTCCTTCTGTCCTACCATTAAAGTCATCCAGGCCCAGTCCTGGGTGTGCCACCGGCCTGGGGCAAGCCTCACCCCCTTAGCTCTGGCGGCTCAAAGCTCTACAGAACTCCAGAGCCCAGACCAAAGATGACCAAGGGCATCTTCTCATAGTCATCTGTGACAATGAAGGCAAACGCTGCTGTGTGGAGGAGCCAAGTTGCAGGGCCAGGCTCACGGATCATGCGGCTTATGGCTTCTGCACTGCAACATGGTAACAGCAAACTGGGAAGCGACATGAATGAGCTGCTGGGTGTCCAGACCTTCCTTTGGCAAACGCCCAAGAGGGACAGGGCCCTCATCTTGTAGTGAGAGGAAAGCTGGAAACAGAGAGAGGGAGAATGGAAACTAATCCATCCGAGCCACGGTACACCAGTCTTTTGCCTAAGCCCTCACCACACCCCTTTGAGAGATTGTTTGGTTTTCCCCATGTTTGGCTTTGGACAATAGATGCAGCCTATCTGCACACACAGCCCCTGAGTGGCAGAGCTGGGATTTGAACCGAGGCCTGCCTGAGTCCACAGCCCAAGCTGTTCACTACCTTTCAACTGAGGATGGGCGCAGATAGGTATGTGGGTCCAACTGCTCCACACCCGACTGTATGGGAGAGACACAACAGCCAGTCAGTAGGGTTCTCACTCCTGTGAGAACCTCAGCATTTCTGTACTAGGCAATGAGGTACCTTCTGGAAAGGCTGTGTGCCTGTCACATACGAGAGCAGGAAGGTAGGCCCAGACATGTACACATTGGGAGGGTGGCTCACTTTCCGCAAATTCGGAATGCTTCAGGAGGTTTATGTGCTGGACAGAGGTCACCCAGAGGAACTGGAAGCAGCACCAGGCACCCTAGCAGCTGAGCATGACTCATGTGTTCATCTTACTGGCAGGATGGCATGGGGCTGAATCACAGCCAATGGAATCAGGAAATTCCCATCTCAGCCAACCCCAGTCATGAGAAACCTCCTTCTAAAATGCTGTTAGAGGCCAGGAACAAGGCTGGGGGATGACTATTCATTCACTTAGGAAAATCTTGGGGGTGGGGTTCTGCTAAGGGCTGAATGTGCTCCTCCCAAATTCAGAGGTTGAAGCCTAATCCTTAATGTGATGCTATTATAATGTGGGGCCTTTGGGAAGAAATTAGGCCCTCATGAATGGGAATGAGAAGAAAAGTCACGAGAGAGATGCTCTCTCTCTCCCCGATGTGAGAGCACAGGAAGAAGGCAGCCATCTGCAAACCAAGCAGAGGGCCCTCACCAGGAATCACCAGCCCCTTGACGTTAGACTTCCCAGCCTTCAGAACTGTGAGGAATGAATGTGTGTTCTCTAAACTAATCTATGATATTTTTGTTATAGCAGCCTGAACTAAGGCTCACATACTCACAAGAAAGAAGAAAAATGGTAGTGTTGAAGGAAGCCAACTGATGAGGTAAGGTTTATTTCCTCATTGTGAATAGACTTTAAATGTTAAGGAAATTTAATTAGTCACTTGAAATCTGGCCACTAGTAATGCACTGGAACCAGAAGGTGTCACAGGTAAGTTTTAACAATACCATTGAGGAACATATCACCTCAGTCTTATATTAATTGCTCTCCAAAAGAGAAAAGGATGAGATGCTGAATGTTATGGGTCTAATATAATCTCCACACTAAAACCAATGAAAGGCAGAATAAGAAAGGTAAATTATAGGCCAAACTCATTTATAAACAGGTGAAAAAACATCCTAAATAAAGTATTAGCCAAGTGAACCCAGCAATTTTTAAGAGACATATCATGATGAAATACAGGTTTATCCCAGGCATGTCAACTTGGTGTAATATTAGAAAAGCTATTGTCGCAATCACATAATTCATCACATTAACAGATCATCTCAATTGATGCCCAAAAACCATTTCATAAAGTTCAACATGCATTCACAATTAAAGGGAGAAAAAACTCCTAGCAAATTAGGACCAGAAGGAGACTTCCTTAACAAAGTGAGGATCTACCACAAGTCCACAGCAAACTCCACACCTCATGGTGGACCATTAGAGATGGCCCTACAAGAAGGAATAAGACAAGAATTTGCAGTATAACTGCTTCTGCTTAACACTGTTCTGTCACTCCCAACCACAGAAGTAAGAAAACAAAAAGAAATTAAAGGATGAAGATTGCAATGGATGAATGAAAGCCAACTGTCATTACATGCAGGAGACATACTGTCCATAGAGAAAAGCCCCAAGCTGCTCTTCAGACTGTTAAGCAAGGTTGCTGGATACCAGGTCAAAACACAAACTCAACAAAGGTCATTTCCAGAGGGCTGCCACTGGGACAGTAGCCAAAATTTCATACCTGGGAATCAATTTAATGTAAAAATGGAAGACCTCTATAGAAACATATCTGTTACTTTATTGAAAGACATAAAAGAGGACCTATTAATTTAAGATCTCCATATGCCATGAGCATGTTTGGATTTGGAGTATTGTCTTCCAGGTAAATTCAGGAAGGAGGCATGGCTGAGTCAGGGTCTATGCAGGTGCACCAAGTCCCAAGGCATCCTGTTTCCTCCAGGGGTGGAGCAATCTGAATGGCTGCTCCACAGCCTCGCCAATAGAGGGCGCCATCAAACTTGTATTGTTTTGTTTTGAGTTTTTTCCTCTCTGCCAATATGGCCCATGAGAAATGGTATCTTGTTATAATCTATATTTTGAAGGAATTAGCTTTGTGATATAAGATGCAAATATTTTCTACTGGTTTATTACCTGGCTTTTTCACTTTGCTTATGGTGTCCCTCCCCCATCATGCGAAAGCAGTTTTGTTTTGTTTTTTTCCTAATGCAACCAAATTTCTCAATCTTTTTTACATTGCTTTTGGATTTTGAATCATAATTTTCCCTACCCACAGGTTATTTTAAAATTTACCCATGTTTTCTTGTGGTAGTTTTTCTGGTAACTACCTATTTAGAGACATTTGAAATGTATGCTTGTAGATGATGAAAGATATCGACAAAATTTTATCTTTTTCCAAATGGCTATCCAGTTGTCTCAAAACCATTTTTAAAGGGTTCTCTCTAATACTGTTTTACTTAGGCATTTTACATCAATATTCCTAAGTGAGATTGGTGTGTGGTTTTCTCATTGAATAATCTTAAGGTTTCTTTTTCTATGTTCTAGAATAATTTAAGTAGCATTGAGATATCTGTTCTTTGAAGATTTGATAGAATTCTCCTGTGAAAATATAGATTTGAATTTTTTTCCAGTAGGAATTTTTTTTTAAAACTTTCTGTGTCTACTGGGGTCAATCTGAATAAATTATATTTTCCTAAAGAAGTTCCCTTTCTATCCAGGTCTTCACACTTACTTGCAAAGCACTATACAAAGTAAGCTTTTAATGATTTTTTTAAATATGCTCTGTTCTGTTAATGTCATTTCTTATTCTGTGTTGTTTGGGGTCTCTCTCTCTCCCCTTCATGATTAGCTTAGACAGAGGTTTGTCCACTTGATTCTTTTTCTAGGATGTAGTATTTTGTGTATTTATCAGTTTCATTTTTTTCTCATTCCTAAAACTCATGAATTTCCAATCTTACTCTTATTTTTTGTCATTCTACTCTAAGTTTATTTGGCTATTTTTATCTATCATTTTTAGTTAGATGATAAATCCATTAATTCGTTTGGTTTCATTTCTGAGGTTATAACCACAGCTTTATGTGTATTCCACAGAGTGATATATTTTAATTATCGTCAAATTCAAAAATTATGCACTTGGTTTGTGTATTTCCTTTCACCTAAAAACTTATTTAATAGAGTTTAATCTTGTAACTCTTCAAATTGAAGGGCCTTTTTGGTTTTTAATCTTATGATTAATTTTTAGTTTTATTGCATTGTGAGCACAGAATGTTGTTTGTATTATTTCTGTTACGGAACTCATTGAGGTTGTCTTTGTAAGCTAATATATGTCAACTTTCCTAAGTGTTCCAAGTAGTCTCGAAACAAAGTTGTATTCCCTATTATCACAGCACAAAGTCTGGTACATTTGGAGGCGTATGTTTTGGTCCCCTTCACATGTCTCAGGCTGAGCAAGGCAGTCACAATGTCCTGGAACTGCGTGTCCCTCATGTCTCCCCACCGCCCCTGTGGTTTCCGCATCGTAGAGGTTCTGGTGATGTTATGTGAAGCAGACATAACCACACCTAGTGTATCTTCTCTGCAAATTGCAGCCTTTAGCATTGACAGCGGCCCTCTTTGTTTCCATTAATGCTTTTGGCCTGATACTAGCTTGGCTGCAGTCAGGATTAAAACTCCCAAGCTCTTTTTCTCTCTTCATTGCTATACACCCTCCTGTCATTTTCAGCCTTCCTGGATCACTGTGTTTTGGATATGACTTCTTTATACAGCATAGAGTTGGGTGCCACTATGTGAACCAATCTGAAAATCAGTCTTGCCTTTTAATAAATGGGTTAAATCCACTCTAATTTACTGATGCGGCTGCTAGGTTTGGTCTCAGTTCTATTCTTTAGTGTTATATTGACCGTGTGTATTTCACTATATGGTTTGTTTGCTTCTTTAAAAGTTGTTTTGTTTTGTTTTTGCATTTCTTTGGGTATTTAAGGTCTATATTTTTGTTTCAGTGGTCATTCTTGTATACCAAACAATGTTACCACTTTCCTACCTGCAGGGCAATCAATGAGCTGATTCTCTGTTCCTCTTTTGCTCTTCCTACTCCAACTATTATTTTTATTCATTATTTCTATTTTGTCAGAATATATAACATTTATAGCCATTCCTCCATACTTATCCCTACCTTTCTTTCGGTCATACATATACAATTTTTTTTAAACATTTTAAAATACTTGTTTAAGTGTAAAAATACTATCAGTGCCTTCGCCAAAGTTTCCCACATCATCTTTTCATTGGATGAAGCCTGTCCCCTGCTATGTGGCATACATAATGTGGCTAATTTTTAACACCTTCATCCTCTATGTGACAACAGTGTTTTCAGTAATTATCACATAATAACCAGTAATAATCACTATTTCCTTAACTGGATCTGTAATTTTAAAAACCATGGACAATTTTAAAAGATGAATTTCAGTCCTAATGGTACAGCTCATATTCAGTAAAATATTTCATGTGTCAACTACAAGTTGCACCAATCAAACAAAAATATCCAATCTCATCATCTGTGCTCTTACTCTTCAAATTTTACACACCAATAAAAACCTCTAGTGTTCACATAGAATGACAGAATTGAAGAAATCCAAGTTCTGTTTCTTTGTCTTTACCTATTGTGATATCACTGGTTATTCCTAATCTGCTATCCAAACAGAGGAATACACAGGGTCACAGGAGTCCGGACCTCAATGGAGTTTGCATGATTCTGGATTGCTACAAACTTCCTCTCAAAATAAACACATGTGCCTCAGTCTGCAGATGTCAGGGGCTGATCGTATACTTGGGAGTTCTCCAAATTAAATGCCATGTAGAATATAATGTTTATTAAAGCATAAGTAATGCAAATATGCTAATTTGAGGTTTACACATAGCATTAAAATGCAATTGTAATAGGAAAAATTGCTTAGAAATTAGACCAACAATAGGTTTTTTCAGGAGGAGTATTTTTTGGCTGACATTGTTTAAAAGTGTTGGATCACAGTGACATAAAAAGCAGACGGACTTTCAGTCAGTTTTATTATTGTTTTTAAATTATCGACAGATGATGAAACTCCTCATTGCCTGCAACCAGGGCAGACCATTTCTGCCGTCCAGCCTCTGACATATCACTAATGCCAGCTGATTCTTTAAGTGTGCCTGGTGGGCACAATATTTTTGTTTCTGAATCACTTAAAGAACCATTGGCTGGGCATAAAATCCTTCACTCACGTTTTCTTTCCTTGAGTTTCTTAAAAGTATTGTGCATTGCTGTCTTGCTTTCTTTGTTGTTGTTATAAGTCTGACACCAGACTTTGCATATAACTTGTAACTTTGTAAACAACTCTGTAAATTTCCTTTGTAAATAACTTGGTCCTTTTGCCTGGAGGCCCTGCTGATATTCTCTTTATCTTTAGAATTTAGTCTTCCTAGAGCATAAATCTTGAGTCAACCATTCCCGGAATGGCAGTGGACTATATTTCCATGTAGATTTGGGTCTTAATTTTATTTTAGGAAAGTTTTCTTGACTTGCAGTTTTAAATTTTTAGTTCTGTTCCATTGCCTTGTTTTAGTTCTTCAGGGTCACCAATTACAGGTAAATTGGATGTCTTTCCAACAGACACTTTGGTTTTGATCTTTTCTATTTCTTTCATTTCTATCCCTACTGTGCTTTCAGCTGTAACTACTATCCCTTTGGGGAACCTTATCATTTACTATTAATTTCAGAGATTATCTTAGACTTTTCTTCATTTGCTTTCCTTAATTAGCTCTCATTTCATATCTCCCGTTGTTTATCCATTTCCAGTCTTATTTTATGAAGAGCTGGCTCATGGTGTTTTTTCACATTTGCAATTGCCTATTACTTACATTTCATTTGTGCTTCTTGGCTGTTTTCATGTCCAGCATTTTGCTACACATTTTCTATTTCTTTTTCTTACAGTAATATTGTATGGACGCTAGGTGTGCTTGGGTTTATATTAATTTACTTAGACTCCCCAAAAGCTGATGAGTAGAGTCAGTAGGGAGGGAGAGGTCTGTGTGGCTTGCTCAGGAACATGGTTCAGCCATGCACTCTTCTCTTACTTCTCTAAAGTACAGTTTTTTTAATTAAGGAGAGAGATTTTCCTCTTCTTCCACCTCCTCCTCCCCTGAGAGGAGCTCTTCTTTGTGGATGATTTGTTGTTTTACTAAGTTCCTTATTTTCAGCTAATTCTTCTCTTCCCTTTCACACCAAACCTCCAGGAAACATCTCCCAGGAGCAGACTCTCCCATCCCATGCACTTTCCAAGACCCTCTCTTTTATTCCTGAGTGACATTTCAGATGTCTCTTATTATCTCCCGAGTGAGGGTGGGACCAGGCCGCTGCTGCACTCTCCTGTGCCCGGTCCTGATGGCTCGGGGCTCTGGCCTGGCCCTGAAACCCTGTATCCTGGTCTTGGGTGGAAACAGAGGTTTGCTACATTAATTGTCCCCTAGTTGTGCTATAATCATGGACTATGGGCAACTATATTTTCCTCCTGATTAACTGTATGTTTTTCAGGGAGATTCTAATTTGGTGGGCGCTGTTATCTTGCAGGGATCCCCCCTTATCCAATCGTGATTAAAAAAAATGGCAAGCACAGACAGAAAAGAAATAGAATAAAAACAACTTCTTACTCATTATAAATAGACTAAGAAAGCACAGCGTTCTTATAAAGCCCTAGAATAATTACTTGTTGAAGAAAAGTGACATAAAATGAAATGAAAATAGAAAACGCAATTTACATGGTGAGAGTGAAATGGGCGTGCGGATTACTGCCCTGGTGTCCTGGGTGTCAGGCGTGGTCTGAGGGGATTCTATGTAGCTTAGGAGACATCAAGGCACAACAGCTGATGACATGCATTTGCCTGGTAACTCCAAGGGGACCCGGTGGTGTCTGTGTGCACACACATGGGCACACATACGGGTGTGTGCATGGCAAAGAGCGGCACTGAGACTGGCAGGTGGGGACTCCCTTTCCTCCTTCACCTACTTAACCCCAGCCCTGGGCTTTGTTTTTTCTTGTTGTTGCTTTTATTTTTTTTTTTTAATTCAGCAAGACAAAAAAAAATGAGAATGTTCTTGTTTTCCCTCATACCATATGAAATTTTCTCAAAGTAGCCTTCCTGGTGACTGTTAGAATTACAAGACACTAGGATGGATTTTCCAGGACGCTTTCAGGTGACAAAATGTAAATTCTTTGCTACACTAGAAAAAGTAAAGTATGTTTCCAAAATTGTCCCTTAAAAATAGTAATAGGAAGAATAATAACAAATTACTATTTTTTTTTTTTTTTTTAGAAAGACAGGGTCTCACTATGTGGCCCCAGGCTGGTCTCAGACTCCTGACCTCAAGCAACCCTCCTGCCTCGGCCTCCCAAAGGGCTGAGATGACAAGCATGAACCACGGTGCCTGGCCAGTCATTTTTATTATAATAATTATAATATATTATAAATTATTATATAGTACATATCATACATTACATCATACATCACTACATGCTATATAATGTATAATATATACGTTGTATAAATGTATATTAACATAAGTTTTATTTTGTAATTTAGAATAACATGATCTGTAACAGTATATAATAAAACAATCAGCGGATTCGGAAACCACACGTCTCTGTATTCCTTTCAGAACCACTGGCACACGCACCTGCAGTTGTTTCGGGCTGTGGGGTGTGTGCTGCACTATTTGGTTTTTGCAGCATCATGGGAAGGGTTTAACATTATCCTGGTACATAAAGGAAAACACAAGAACAGACAAGAGGCCAAGCTGTCCAGTCTGAAAATCATGTATCACCTTGAACAAGCAGTGAAGGCTGGAATGTGTGTCTCAAACATGAATTTCAAAGCCAGCAGGCAGCGAGGAGGCTCTGCCCGCCCGGCCTGGCCTGTGAGCAGCTGGCAGTGCCTTGGCAGGCTCCATGAGTAGGCGCCACGCTCCCTCCAATTCTGGCTTCGGCACCTAAGTGGGAATATTCCAGGAACCAGGAAATGATTCAGACCCGAATCTGCCACTCAGCCCCCGCACAGAATTTTGTCAGCTTTTGGCCCCTTCAATCCTCAGTCTCCTCACCAGTCCTGGCGGCAACAGGACCCTCGGGCAGCAAACCTCCCAGAGGCCACCTCCAACTCCGGACACCTTGCCAAAGCCCTTTCTGCTCGGCCGAGGGGTCGGGAACTGACAGTCACATGTGACACAGCAGGACACCTGCTGATCAGGGAGGGGCATGTTTCAAAACACTCTGTGTGTCCTTCTATCTTTACACTGAGAGCCCACACAGAATTCCAGGTTATCTCCTTTTTATTTGAAATGAAAGGTTAAGGCCCGGTGCAGTGGCTCACACCTGTAATCCCAGCACTTTGGGAGGCCAAGGTGGGCAGATTACCTGAGGTCAGGAGTTCGAGACCAGCCTGGCCTATAGGTGAAACCCCATCTCTACTAAAAACACAAAAATTAGCCAGGCTTGGTGGTGCATGCATGTAATCCCAGCTACTTGTGAGGCTGAGGCAGGAGAATCGCTTGAGCCCGCGAGACGGAGGTTGCAGTGAGCCGAGATTGTGCCACTGGATCCAGCCTGGCCGGCAGAGAGAGACTGTCTCAAAAATAAAAAATAAAAAAAAGAAAGAAAGAAAGAAAGAAAGAAAGAAAGAAAGAAAGAAAGAAAGAAAAAGAAATGAAAGGTAAGGTTTTTGTAGACAGGGTCTCCCTATGTTGCGCAGACTGATCTCTAACTCCTGAGCTCCGATGATCCTCCTGCCTTGACTTCCGAGAGTGCTGGCATTACAGGGGTGAGCCACTGTGGCTGACCCTTAAGACTTTTTGACAACCATGATTACCTCCAGAAAAAAAAAGAGTAGCCTATTTAAGACACTCAAGGATTTCCTGTCCAGCAAAGCGTTCAAGAATGAAGGGCAAGAGACAGCCGTGTTTATGTTTATATGGAGTCACCACATCTTCCCATCCTCCCTCTGCACGTGTCTGCTTCCGCATTTCCTCTTCTTGGAAGTACGCTGGGCATGCTGGATTAGGGCCTGCCCTAATGACCTCATTTTGCTTTGATAAGCTCTGTAAAGACCATTTCTCCAAATAAGGGCAGGTTCTGAGATGCTGGAGCTTAAGACTTCAACAAATGAATTTTGGGGAGACACAATTTTACCCAAAACAGGGGCATTGAGCATCAACAGCTGCCTGCTCACAAAAAGATGGGTGAACAGACATAGAGCACTTCCTCTAATCCTGCGAAAGAGACGGAACCAAGTCCAGCAAAGGTACTGGATCCAGCTGCCAATGTGCAGGAGAGAGAGGACAAAGGGACACGCTGAACTTCACCAGGAGTGCACCCATCCAAAATAAGAAGGGAGATGTTCCACAGGTCAAATGCCTCAAAGTCTTCCACACGTGTTTGTAAGGAAAAGACAGGGACAGATAGTATAGCAGTTCCCCCCAAAATTAAAAACATAAATTACCACATCATTCAGCAATCCCACTTCTGAGTATACACCCAAAAGAATGAAAAGCAGGGTCTATCTCCAAGAGATTATTTGCACACTCATGCTCATAGCAACATTATTCACAGTCCCCAAAACGTGGAAACAACCCAAGTGTCCATCATGGATGAATGGATAAACAAAATGTGGTCTACACATACGGTGGAGTATTATTCAGCCTTCACAGGCAAGGGAATTCTGACACTTACTACAACGTTGCGAGAACACTATGCTAAGGGAAAGAAGTCAGTCACGCACAAAAATATTGTAGGATTCCACTTACGTGAGGTACCTGGAAGAGTCAAATTCACAGCCAGAAAGTAGAATGGTGGTTGCCAGGGGGTGTGAAAAGAGGGGAATGGACAATTACTGCTTAATGAGTGCAGAGGTTAAATTTTGGGAAGATGAAATCATTCTGGAGATGAGTGGTGGTGATAGCTGGACAACAATGTCAATGTCCTTAACGTCACTGACCTGTACACCTAAACAATGCTTAAGATGATACATTTGTATGTATCTCTTGCCACAATTAAGAACTAAAAATTAAAATACATTTTAAAAATAAAGAAAGGGGCCGGGCGCGGAGGCTCACACCTATAATCCTAGCACTTTGGGAGGCCGAGGCGGGTGGATCATGAGGTTAGGAGATCGAGACCATCCTGGCTAACACGGTGAAACCCCATCTCTACTAAAAATACAAAAAATTAGCCGGGCGTGGTGGCAGGTGTCTGTAGTCCCAGCTACTTGGGAGGCTGAGGCAGGAGAATGGTGTGAACCCGGGAGGCGGAGCTTGCAGTGGGCCAAGATCGTGCCACTGCACTCCAGCCTAGGTGACAGAGCGAGACTCCATCTCAAAATAAATAAATAAATAAAAATAAAGGGATGGAGAGAGGAACCTGAAATTTATAAAACACTTGAAAAGACTATCAACTTCTAGTTCCAGAGCAAGATGATATAGACTGCTTTTCCTTCTCCCCTCTATCACATGCAAAAAGCCAGACTTACAATTTTATTACATTAGATTGTGGTTATGATTCAAAACTCTGTGAATACACTAAAAACCACTGAATTGTACAGTTTAAAGGTATGAGTTACATGGTATGTGAATTATGACTCAATAAATTTGCTATCAAAAAAAAGAAATGAAGGAGAAATGAAGATATTCTCAGGAGAAGAGAAGCTAAAGAATTTATTACTAGCAGACCAACCTTTAAAGAAGGGCTAAAGAAATGTCTTCAAACAGAAAAAGAGACTAACAGAAGAAGACTAGACTGTCCTTCACCTCATGAGGTTCTTTAATCATACTTTAAGTTGAAGCAAAAGTTATTATGTCATACGATAAGGTACTCAGTGGATACGGAGGAAATACTTAAGACAATTATATTTAAAAAGTAGTGAGGGTAAAGGGTCCAAAGTGGTAAAACTCTGACACCAGTAGGCTGACATAATATTTACAGCAATCATAAAGAACACTATCCAAAGCCGTACATTCAAACACAGTATAAATAAGGAAATGTGGGACTCTAAAAAATGTTTGTCACCATAGGAAGGCAAGGAAAAAGAAACAGAGGAATGAGAAAGAGAAGGAAAAAAATCATAAAATGCAGACTTAAACCCTAGCAAGTCAATAATCATTTTAAATATAAATGGTCTAACTACATCAAATAACAGACATTGGCAGAATGGATTTAAAAAATAACCTACAAGCTACCTACAAGAAACTCATTTCAAACATAACAACATGGGTAGACTGAAAGTAAAGGATGGGAAAAGACATGTCATGCCAACACTAATCATGAGAAAGCAAAAGTGGCTATATTAATATCCAGGCAGACTTCAGAGTAAAGAAACTAAATAAAGACAAGGAATAATATTACATAATAATAAAATGCCCAACCTACCAAGAACATACAGAAATTCTAAATGCGTACCCCCCAGACCACAAAACACATACAGCAAAAACAAATCTTGCCAAGAGAAAAATCGACAAATTCACAATAATATTTGGGGATGTCAGTACCCACTCTGAGCAACTGACACAACTACTGGACAGAAGATCAGCAAAGATACAGAAGTGTGCAACACCATCCAACAAAAAGATCAAATTGACATTTATAGAAAATTCAACCCAAAAACTGCAGAATACACATTCTTTTCAATTGTCCATGGAACATACACTCAGATAGACCATATCCTGGGTCACAAAAAAAAGCCTTAATAAATTCAAAAAAATTAAAATCATGCAGAATATGTTGACCAAAATGGACTCCAACTAGAAATCAATGACAAAAAAACTACAGGAAAATCTCCAAATACTTGGAAATTAACCAACACACTTCTAACTAATCCATAGGTCAAAGGGGAAATCTCAAGGGAAATTTTAAACTATATAGAACTGCACTAAAATGACAACACGACATACCAAGTTGGTAGGATGCAGCTCAGACAGTGCTGAGAGGAAAACATATAGTTCAGTAAGGTTTCAGGGTACAAGATCAACATTCAAAAACTGATTGCATGTCTATACACTAATAACAAAGAAGTGGAAATCAAGACTGTTAAATGCAACACCATTTAAAGTTGCTCTAAAGATAACAAGAAGATACTTATGAATATATCTAACAAAATATGTACAGGATCTATATAAAATAAAAATTACAAAATGACAAGGAAGGAAATCAAAGACCTAAATACTGAAGAGACATACTCATGGACTGGAACGCTCAACATAGTTAAAAGGTCGATTCTGCCTAAATTGACTGACAGGCTTAACAAAAGTCCTGTCAAACTTTGTAAGGTATTTTGTAGATGCAAACAAACTTATTCTAAAATTTATTAGAAAGAGAAAAGCCTGAGAATAGCCAAATAACTTTGAAAAAGGAGAATAAAATTGGGGAAATCACCCTGCCTGATATTAAGGCTTCCTACAGAGATATAGTAATCAAGACAGTGTGATATAGGCAAAGGGAGAGACACAGAGATCAAATGGAATGGAGTAGAGAGCCCAGGAAAAATGATCCCTACAAATATGCCCAACTGATTTGTCACAAGGAGCAAAAGTAATTCCATGAAGGAGGGACAGCCTTTTCAATTAATGGCGCTGGAGTATTTGCACATCTATAGGCAAAAAAAGAAAAAAGAAATTTGACATAAATTTCATACCTTATACAAAAACTAACGCAAAATGAATCAAGGACTTAAATATAAAACTATAAGACATGTAGAAAAAAAAAATCAAAGGAAAGAGCTTTGGGACCTTAATGATTAGGCAAAGAGTTCCTAGACATACACCAAACACAATATCCATAAAAGGAAAAAATTTGATAAAACTTTGACCTCCTCAAAATTAAAAACTTTCATTCTGTCAAGGGTCAAGTTAAGATAACAGAAAAAAAAATTATACTCTGGGAGAAATTATTTGCAAATCACGTACCTAACAAAGGACTTGTATCTAGAATATATAAACAGCCCTTAAAACTCAACAATTAAAAAAAAAATCTAATTAGAAAATGAGCAAAAGTGGGCCAGGTGCGGTGGCTCATGCCTGTAATCCCAGCACTTTCGGAGGCCGAGGTGGGCTGATCACCTGAGGTCAGGAGTTCAAGACCAGCCTGGCCAACATGGTGAAACCCCATCTCTACTAAAAATACAAAAATTAGCCAGGCGTGGTGGCAGGCGCCTGTAATCCCAGCTACTCGGGAGGCTGAGGCAGGAGAATCACTTGAATCTAGGAGGCGGAGGTTGCAGTGAGCCAAGTTCGTGCCACTGCACTACAGCCTGGAAGACAAGAGCAAGACTTCGTCTCAAAAAAAAAAAAAAAATGAGCAAAAGTGATGAACAGATATTTCACCCGTGAAGATACACAGATGGCAAATAATCATATGAAAAGATCCCCAACATTATTAGGCATCAGAAAAATGCAATCTAAACCACAACTAGATATCACTACACACCTATGAGAATAGCTAAAATAAAAAACAGTGATAACACCAAATGCTGGCAAGGATGTGGAGAAACTGAATCATCCATACATTGCTAATGGGAATATAAAATGGTACAGCCACTCTGGAAAATAGTTTGGCAACTCCTTTAAAAGTAAAAATGAATTTACCATGCAATCCAGCAATTGTAGATAATTGATCATAGAGGAATAAAAACTTGTTTTCACATAGAAACTTGTAAGTGAATGTTCATATAGCAGATCTGGGTTCATAACAGCCCCAAACTGGAAACTCCAAATGTCCTCCAGTGGTTGCCATAGGTTAGGAATGATGGAAGAGGGACTGTGCATGTGGCTACAATGGGGTAGCATGAGGCAGTCCTTTGCTGATGATACAATTAAATATCTTGATTGTGGTGGTGGTTACATGAAGTTGCACATGCAATTGGACAGAATCACACACATACACACACACATACATACATTATAACTACTGGAGTCTGACTAGTTTCTGTTGACTACATCACTGTCAGTTTCCTGGTTTGACTATTGTACTATCGTTATGCATAATGTTAACATTGAAGCGGGGCTAAGTGAAGAGTGTTCAGGATCTTCTTGAATATTTCTTTGCAACCTCCTGTGAATCTAAAAATATTTCAAAATAAAAAGTAAAAAACAAGAGTATATCAACTCCCCCCAAATTCCTTGAGATTTATATTCTAAAACAAGCCTATTTGTTGGATTATGTTGTCAAAGAGACCTTGGTCATAGCCCGTGTTTAGTGGACTGTGGCCGGCTTTCTCACCCACTTCTGCTGGTAACAGAAGTAAGTCACAGCTGAGTTCAAATTCCGACTCTGGCACCTGTTAGCTGTGTGGCTTGGAGAACCCATCTGGAAGGTTCTCATCAGTCCTCCACTTCTCATCTTTCAGGTGGGTGGGGAGGATGAAAGGACATCTTTCAGGCAAGGTCCTCAGCAATGTGCTGGGCACAGGGAAGGCGCCTCACTGGCTGAGGATCTTCAACAATGCCCCTGCCGGGCCTGAGCTGCATGACTTTCCTTTCCATTCCTAAAGCACCTGAGTTAACAGAAACATCTCCAACAGAAGGGCATCCCTCCTTCCCAACTCTAGGAAGACCTATACACTGAAAATACCACGTCCCACATCAGGCCAGACCAAACAAACAAACGTAATTAGAAAAATATTCTTTAAAATATGAACCTGATAACCAGCTAAAAAATTCACACCAGGCCTTCTTCACTAAAGGCTTTAGGTCTGGTCCTCTCTGCCACAGCATCCCATTCAGTCCCCAGTGCACCTGCCACCCACCTAGTGCCCCACCCAGAGTTTTCAGCCCTGGATTGCCACCAAGGTCTCCAGGCAACTTTCAAAACATACTGATATCTGTGCAGGTGGTATAATGGTGAGTGTAGCTGTCTTCCACACCATACTGATATATCTGTATGCAAAGTCCCTGCCTTGTCCAGGAAGCGGTTAAAGTACCAATTTAAAGAAGACCAGCATCACTAGCATCTAATGAGTCTGCAGATCATAACCTCTAGGACAACCTAAAATAATAAATTAACACATACTTAAAGCTAGTGGAAGAGCAATGGGAAATAAAACTGCTTTACTCTTAAAAGGCAAGGAAGTTAGGCTGGGCATGGTGGCTCACACTGTAATCCCAGCATTTTGGGAGGCAGAGGTGGGCAGATGGCTTGAGCCCAGGAGTTCGAGACAAGCCTGGGCAACATGGCAAAATCTGTCTTTATTATTATTATTACTATTATTATTATTTTTTGAGACGGAGTCTCACTGTCGCCAGGCTGGAGTGCAGTGGCGCGATCTCTGCTCACTGTAACCTCCGCCTCCTGGGTTCAAGCGATTCCCCTGCCTCAGCCTCCTGAGTAGCTGGGACTACAGGCGCCCGCCACCATGCCCAGTTAATTTTGTATTTTTAGTAGAGATGGGGTTTCACCATGTTGGCCAGGATGGTCTCAATCTCCTGACCTCGTGAACTGCCCACCTCTGCATCCCAAAGTGCTGGGATTACAGGCGTGAGCCACCGCGCCCAGCCGAAACCCATCTTTATTATTAAAAAATATATACAATTATAATTTTTTAAAGACAAGGAAATTATCAAAGATAACTAGAATCAGGTCAGAAGGTCTCAGAGGCCAATATGAAGACACTACCACCAGCCACAATGAACCTCAATGAGGATAATGATTGCAGTGGTTTGAAACCTATGACACACGTTCACGCCCCAGGAGTTCACGACGATAGATTAAAATAAATTTTAAAAAACCACCTTTGGAAGGTCATGGGAAACAAATTCATCATCTTCAAAACTGGTAAATGAAGTAGAAGAATCACATGCCACCCGGCCTTTTCTCTCTCAACTGTCCCACTGGGTGACCACAAAATGGATAAAGGGAGGTATCTCTTTAGAGAAGCAACAAGCTGAGAAGTAAAAAGAAAATGATAGAATTAGAGTATCACTTCATTTAAAAATATGCTTAAAAATACTAACGTCCGGGATCTATACCCGAGACTGATTAAATCCAAACCTCCAGGAGTGGAGCCCAGGCACCTGTCCTTTAGAAATGGCAGCTGGAAATCTGCAGTCAGAGTTGAGAAGCGCTGGGTGTCCCTGCAGTTCCCTTCAATGCCCTCACCTGCGACAGGCTTCTCCTTCCATTGGCGCCTCAGTCACCCGCCCGGCCGCTCCCCCGGGATCCTGTTCCTCCACCAGGAGTCCCCTGCAGCTGTCTCTCCTTACCAAAGACACTCCGTCATTCACATCCAGCTCAGAGTCCACTTCCTCCAAGAAGACTCCCTTGATTTTCACAAAGCTGAACTGAGTGGCTTCCCTGGCTTTCCTGAGATAGAACTTGGGCCCCACACAGTTCACCCTCCGTCAGCACGGAGGACTTCTAGTGAATGTCGCAGTGGCTCAGGCACACGACGCACTTTTAGAACCCTCATCACCCTGAAGGCTCCTCATGGCTGCCTGCAGCCAATCCCCACTGACGCCCCAGACCCAAGCAGGCCCTCATCTGCTTTCCATCTCTGTCATTAGGCCCTTTCTAGAAACGTCCTATACATGGAATTGCACCACATAGTCTTTCATGTCTGGCTTCCGTCAGTCAGCACACTGTTTCTGAGTGAACTAGGTATTTTTAAGCGTATATGGGGATTTGGTATTTAAAGGAATCCTGGATGAACTTAACAGTAAGCAAATGAATCACTTCCCGGTGTGACTCATCATCTCCCTGGGTCTTCACTGTGTAAGAATGATGGGTGTCGGCTAGGTGCGGTGGCTCACGCCTGTAATCCCAGCACTCTGGGAGGCTGAGGCAGGTGAATCACCTGAGGTCGGGAGTTCGAGACCAGCCTGACCAACATGGAGAAACCCTGTCTCTACTAAAAATACAAAATTAGCCAGGCATGGTGGTGCACGCCTGTAATCCCAGCTACTCGGGAGGCTGAGGCAGGAGAATCATTTGAACCTGGGAGGCGGAGGTTGCGGCGAGCCGAGATCACACCACTGCACTCCAGCCTGGGTGACAGTGTGACACTCCGTCTCAAAAAAAAAAAAAAAAAGAATGATGGGTGCATCCTGGTTCCTCTCCCAGGGGTGGTCTGAATCCTGGTCCACATGATAGGTTGGCTCTGACGTGGGCAAAGCTTCTCATTCCATTTTCATCCATTTATTCCACAAACCCTTCCCATACCTGAAGCCTCAGTTCCTAAAGGGGAACCTAGGAGGGTGTGAGAGTCCATCTGCCCCCCGCAGACCACCAGCATTATGTGTGACCACCCACCAGCGAGGGTTTCTAAGGTAGACAGATGTCATATGATTATGATTATGAGAATTCAAAGTGCTCTTTTTTTTTTTTTTGAGACAAGGTCTTGCTTTATCACCCAGACTGGAATACAGTGGCATGATCATAGCTTACTGCAGCCTCAACCTCTCAGGCTCAGGCAATCCTCCTGCCTCAGCCTCTAAGTAGCTGGGACTACAGGCATCCACCACCACACCCAGCTAATTTTAATATATTTTTTGTGGAGACAGGGGTCTTGCTGTGTTGCTCAGGCTGGTTTTGAACTCCTGGCCTCAAGCAGTACTCCTGCCTCTGCTTCCTGAACTGCTGGGATTACAGGCACGAGCCACTTCGCCCAGTCTCAAAGTGTCTTTTTTTTTTTTTTTTTTTTGAAACAAGGTCTCACTCTGTCACCTGGGCTGACTGAAGTGCAGTGGTGCAATCTCAGCTCACTGTAACCTCCGCCTCCTGGGCTCAAGCAATCCTCCCACCTCAGCCTCCCAAGTAGCTGGGACCACAGGCAACTGCCACCAGGCCCAGCTAATTGTTTGTATTTTTAGTAGAGATGGCGTTTCACCATGTTGCCCAGGCTGCTCTCAAATTCCTGGGTTCAAGTGATCCACCTGCCTCGGCCTCCCGAAGTGCTGGGATTACAGGCTCAAGCTCCCACACCCAGCCTCAAAGTGTTGTTAACTGAAGCTTGTCCTCATGAATTTTTCCAGTTTCCGTAGAGTGTCAGTTTCACAAGGGCAGGTGCTGCCTAGTTCTCTGCTATAGGCCCCATGCTCCCTGAACTTCGGGAGCAGTCCATGAAGATTGCTTAAAAACTGGAACTGCTGACACTGAACAATAGCACACAGGCACTGTATTAGTTTTCTAGGAATGCTATCACAAAGTACCACAGGCTAGGGGACTTAACCAACAGAAATGTATTTTCTTCCAGTTCTGGCGACTGGAAGTCGAGATTATGGTGTCAGCAGGGCTGGTTTCTCAGGAGGCCTCGCTCCTTGGCTCACATACGGCTGTCTTCCGCCATGTATGTACATGGCCATCCGTCTGTGCCTGTCTGTGTCTGAATCTCTTCTTACAAGAACATCAGTCAGATTGGATTAAGCTACCTTGATGATATCATTTTAACTCAATTACCTCTTCAAAGACCCTCTCTCCAAATACAGTCACATTCTGAGGTCCTGGGGGTGAAGATTTCAACACATGAATTTTCAGGGATCACAATTCTCTCCGTTTTTACATATATTTGAATGCGGAGGCTCATGCCTGTAATCCCAGCACTTTGGGAGGCCGAGGCAGGTGGATCATGAGGTCAAGAGATCAAGACCGTCCTGGCCAACATGGTGAAACCCCGTCTCCACTAAAAATACAAAAATTAGCTGGGCATGGCGGCATGCACCTGCAGTCCCAGCTACTCGGGAGACTGAGGCAGGAGAATAGCTTTAACCCAGGAGGTGGAGGTTGCAGTGAACCAAGGTCGCACCACTGCACTCCAGCCTGGCGACAGAGGGAGATTCTGTATCAAAAAGAAGAGAAGAGAACAGAAGAGAAGAGAAGAGCCCTATAGAAGAAATAAACTTAAAATGAAGAGATTTGTTTAATGAATAGTTACTGAACCACCAAAGCAGTACTAAAAACAAGACTATAGCCAAGTAAGGAAAACTTGGAAATTTTCTGATATTAAAAAGGCATTTCTGCAGTCAAAAAAAAAAAAGTTGGGAATAATGCTTAAAAACAACGACCCTCCTGCTTTGGAAGTATAATGAGGTCCACAGAGTCTGAAGTTGTCTCCTGAAATGTAAACAGCTCTGGATTTGATAAGCACTGGAAAACACAGAGGCTGTTAAAGCCAGGCAGAGATGCAGGGTTCATGAGTTCTCATTACCTCCCTGCCCCAGTGGGGACAGGCCTCAGACACGCACAAGCCAGAGCTCTGTGCCGCTGACAAAATGAAGCCATTACCAGCTGATAATGAACTCTTCAGCAAGAGATTTACCTACAGAAAAGTTCAGCCCCTTCGCCAAATCTCGAAACTGCTGGAGATACTAAGAAGCATGCAGAATTATCCCAAAACGCTACACTTTCATCTTCACCTATCTGTGCACTTAAAATACTTTTCAGGTTCCTCCTGGATCAGTGAGGACAGGCTAGGCTGTGCTGTGACAACAAACAGCTCCCACGCCACAGGGCCTGGGCCCAGTAATGGTTTCTGTCTTGCTCACTCAAAGTCCACTGTGAGTCCAAAGCAAATAACAGCCACGTTGCTATTATGGCCCCTCCTCCTAGGCATGTGCTTCTAGGACCGATGTGACTGGAGAAAGGACAGCATAGAAAGTCCCTTCCAGCTTCTACCCACAAGTCACTTCTGCTTACATGTCATTGGCTGAAGCAAGGCACATGGTCTTATCTAACTTTGAGAAAGCAGAGAGTGCAATCCTCTCATGTTCCCAGGAGCATCGAAAATACTACTGGGCAGTGCAAGTGCTGGCCACTTCTGCAAAGACACCACAGCAAGGGACACGTCCTCCAAATGCTCCCCCGCCTGTCTCGGCTCCTCTGACTTCAACCCAGTCGCAGCAGGACACAGTCATAGGCCAAATGTGGTGGGCTTGGTGAAGTACAGGCCACACATCAAACCAGATGGTGCTCCCTTCTGCCTTGGGGATGGCACCCTGGACATATTGTGCTCCCACAGAAGCCACCAAAGTAGCATGGGGGAGGCCTGATGTGCAGGTGCAAGGGACAGCGTTCCCATCACCCCGAACCTGATGCACAGCACCACCCGTCGCCCTCTCCTACAGCCCTCGGCACGCGCCTCCCCACCACAGAGCCCCTGCTCACCAGGCCACAGTGCTCCCACACAGGAGAGGTGCTCCACACCATCGTGCATCAGGAAAACGCCATCCAAACCACAGAGAGCTGCTACCCCACTCCCATCAGGGTGGCCACGATTGAAAAACCAGAAAATAACAAGTGTTGGTGAGGATGTGGAGAAAACTGGAACCCTTGTACACGGTGGGTAGGAATGTAAAATGGTGTGCAGCCCCTTTGGAAAATGCTATCCTTAAAACATTAAAAATAGAATCACCATATGATCTAGGAATGACTCCACTTCTGGGGGTATGCCCGAAGGAAGTGAAAACAAGAGCTCAGGCCGGGCGCAGTAGCTCACGCCTGTAATCAATCCCAGCACTTTGGGAGGCCGAGGCGGGCGGATCACGAGGTCAGGAGATTGAGACCATCGTGGCTAACACAGTGAAACCCCGTCTCTACTAAAAATACTTAAAAAAATTAGCCAGGCACGGTGGCGGGCGCCTGTAGTCCCAGCTACTCGGGAGGCTGAGGCAGGAGAATGGCGTGAACCCGGGAGGCGGAGCTTGCAGTGAGCTGAGATTGCACCACTGCACTCCAGCCTGGGTGACAGAACGAGACTCCATCTCAAAAGAAAAAGAAAAAAAAAGAAAAAGAAAACAAGAGCTCAAAGAGATTGTACCCCCATGTTCACAGCAGCATGATTCACAACAGCCAAGAGGTAAAAGCAACCCAAGCATCCTTCACCAGATGAACGATCAACAAAATGTGGTCTATTCATACAAGGAAGTATTCCTCGACCTTAACAGACAAGGAGACTGTGACACGTGCTACACTACGACGTGTGTGCACCGTGAGGACGTTGAGAGTGAAATATGCCAGTCACAAAATATAAATCCTATACAATTGCTCTCATACGAGGCACCTGAAGTCGTCAAAATCATAGACAGAAAGTACAATGGTGGGTGCCAGGGGGTGAGGGGAGGAGGAATGGGAGTTAAGTGTTTAATGGGGACAGAGTTTCAGTTTTGCAGGGTGAGGAGAGCTCTGGAGGTGGATGGGGTGATGGTTGCACAACCGTGTAAATGTACTTAATGCGACTGAGCTCTACACTTAAACATGGTTCTAGAAGGTGAATCCTATGTTATGTGTATTTTACACAATTTTTTAAATAAAATAGTATTTAATTTTAAAAAGTTTATAGTAGCTTCCATGACCCACTGGATAAAGTCCAAATATCTAAACATGGGACTGAAAGCCTCCAAAACCCGGCTGTCGCCTGCTCCATTCTGACACTGGCTATTCCCTGACTGCCTCTGCATCTGTCCAGCCTCCACGCCTTTCCTCATGCAGTTCCTCCTGCTTGGGACCCCACCCCATCTGTTTTCCCTCCTTGCATCTCAATCCAGCCCACCCATGGGGTCCATGGCACTCGTGCTTTGTAAAACACCATGGTGTACAACTGCATATGCCAGCCCCTGCCTGCCCTAGAGACAGCAAGCCCCAGAGGGCTGGGAGGGCTAGGAGGGCTCTGCCCCACCCTTCTGTTACCACAGCACATAGCAGGCTGCCCTGCACATGGTAACCAACCACATTCTCTACTGCTGAGGATGACCAGCTGGATGATAAAAACTAGAAACCACAGACCGGAGTCCTCAGGCCAGAGCTGGACCGGATGTGATGTGCATACAAACCCCCAGTCTCGTTAACATGCAGGTTCCAAGTCAGCAGAGCCAGGGTGGGGCCTGAGACTGTGCATTTCTCACAGCTCCTCCATGGTTGCTGAGCTACGGGTCCACGGCCCTGCCTGCAGGAGCAAGCAACCGAGGGCCAGAAGCAACACCTACCTCCAAGCACAAGGTTCTGCCCCAACACACCCAGTGCAATGGAACTGTGCTCCCTGGCCCAAGGCCTTGGCCTGACCCTCAGGGAACCCACCAAGGCCCCCCATGCCTCCCTAGGCACCTGGGAGGAGCTTTGATGAACACCCTTTCTAATGCAAATCACTCATATGTTCCTGCAGATGGAACCAGCTTTTGTGTTTAACTTCATTGTTCTCTACAGTTAAATAAATGACTATAAAACTGGCTTCTTAGACCCTCTTAATTACTCAGAAGAAATCCCACAAAAGATGCATTTCCCTGAACAAAGCAGGTGAGCAACTACAATAACATTTCTTGAACAGAGCTGATGTTCCTCCTGGGGTAATTTAAATAAGCTACAATGGTACAATCATTAAAATTGATTACACAAGCCTAAAAAAGCCACAGGATGGGAATCAGAGGACAGGGTTCCAGTACTGGCTGTTTGGTGAATTCACTGGTATGACCTTAGCAAGACCCTTAGCTCTTTGCAGCTCAGGTTTCTCCTCCAGAACAGGAAGTACGGTTGAGAAAGCTGTGGCTTACAGACTGCTGGGGACCCACAGGCAGATCGCCAAGTGAGTTTATGGGGCAATGAAACCGAAGACCACACAAAACGCATCACCTCTAATGAGAGTAAGAAACTGTCTCCTGAAACTTCTGCTTGAGGTCTATAATGTAGAGGTATCCTAGGTGGTTAAGTAAAATGTATTTTTTACGGGGTTGAAAATCAAACTGTCTGACAAAGTCCTATAATTCTAGGCTCTGTTCACTGCAACAAATACAGATGCGCACAGCGTCGGAAAGGCCAGGGGACTGGGTGAACCGTGAGCAATGGGGCTGGGGGTGGGCCGGCTATGCCTCTGGCCCTGCTCTCTGCATAGGAAACCAACCCTACCAGTCGGTGTCCACATGCACATGGCCCTGAGGGCCAGAGTGAGGGACCCTCCTGGACAGAAATCCACAGAGCACACACATGGTCACCAAGCAGTCAGGTGTTAGAAAGGTTCCCAGGTTTGGAGGATGCCAAACCAGATGGGGAAAGAAATTCCCTGATTGTCCTCCAGGTGTGCCCAGGACTAGCAGGAGGCAGGTGAGAGGCCAGAGTGCAGCATGGCAGGAGGCCCTCACTCCTAGATGTCAACTGTGAATTTGCTGCAGCCTGACCGTGAGCGCCGTCTTCAAGAAGATGTCAGGACTGTGAGCCCAGGGCTGAAGAAGGCAGACCAAGCCCCCAACCCCCACAGGCTTCCTGTCTGGAGTGGCACAGACAACAATAAACAAATAAGCTACAGAATTAATGTGGGGGTGCCTGTGCATGGTGGGGGGTTACCAGCTCAGGGATGTGGGCCAGTACCAAAGTCCGCAGAAGCCACCTGCAGAAGGGAACGTTGGAACCAACACGAAGAAGGTGATAAAGTTATTAGCCAGGCAGGATTTTGCAGGATAGAGTTTTAAGAAATAAAGTCAGTTGAGGAGGGGCTTCCAGCATTTACTCTTAATGGGATGGCCAGGGAACGGAGAGCTCTGGTCGGAGGAGCATTCTCATTTAAGTTTGTATGCAATAAACCAGCTGCTGAGCAGACACAGACTTGGGTGGGAAGGTATGCAGTCAGTGTGGAAACAGGAACCATCAGGAAACTGGCACAGCAATCTAGCAAGGAGATGACAGGCTCTCATCGCACGGCAGCGGTGCCGGTGTGACCATGGGCAGCTTACGGAACAGATTCCATGTGGGGTTTAAGAGAGACAGGAGTCAAGGTTGGCTCCAAGTCTATGGTCTAGGTGTCCGGAAGCATGGAGCTGCCATTTACTGAGATGTGGAGATTGGGGTTGAGATGGCCAGGGACAGCTTGGTGCCTGTTGTGTGGGGACGTCAATTAGAACTCTAAGGGAAAGCGCTGGGTGAGCAACAGGGTGTACAGTCTGGAGGTCAGAAGAGAAATCAGAGCTAAAAGATAAATGTGAGCTCCTTGTGCCACAAGTCGGAATGAGGTCAACCATGGTGGGAGTGTGGACCGAGCGGAGAAGAGGGGCATGGACTGACCGCAGGGACACTCTGACACTCACGGGTCAGTAAGGGGACTGAGCAAAGTCCAGTGAAGCAGGAAGAAAATCCCAAGCACAGAGTGCCCCACAAGCCAAGGGAAGAAGGTGTTTCCTAGAGGGGACGACTGTGGCAAACACTGCTGGTCAGTCACATGGGAAGGGACCGAGAGCTGACCACTGGATCTGGAGACTTGGAGTCTTACAGATCTTGATCTCTAAGTGATGGGGTCAAAAGTGTCAGGAGAGGTGTCTGTGGAAGGGGCAAAAGTCCGACTGGAGCGGGTATAAGAGAGAACGGGAAGGGAGGAAATGGAGAAAGCCACTGCAGACAACTCTTTCCAGAAGTTCTACAGCAAAACAAAGCACAGAAATAGGCCAGCAGCAGGGGGTGGGGCGGGGGGAGTGGGAGCAAGAGACTTCTGTTCTCTTTCCTATGATGGGAGCGGAAGGCAGCTGTTTCAATGCTGAGTGTGAAGGCCAAGATCCCATGGACCACAGGCAATGCTGCTGGAGGGCAGCGTGAAGCTGAGAGGCAGCATCTGGTGCTAAAATAAGGAGGGGCTGACTTTTGAGCCAACTATACATTATTTCCAACTCGGGAGGAGAGGAGGATTCTGCACAAACGCTGGTAGGGAGTGATGAGGGGGTGGGAGTCTCAACCAGCCATATGGGTCCTCATTTCATCAAAACTCCTGGAGCCTGCAAAACCCAGATGGAGACTGGGATTCCAGGCTAAGGGAGACACCAGGACCTCCAGGTCCCAGGGAAGCAACAGGGTCACAGAGTAACCAACAAGACCCGCCTGTTCTTCCTTTTCCTGATGAATCTTGACATTTATGTCATACAAAGAGCATGGACTAGGGCTCTGAAGGTACAAATGTAAGTCGATCTCCATTAGCTGCTTGAAATTAGCAAAAATCACATCATTGCTCTACATTATCAGTTTCTCTATCTATACAATGGAGATAGTGACTCTTGCTTTTCTCAGGATTGCTAAGAAGATAAATACATGTAAAATGTCTCAGTTAATGAAAATTCAAGTTGTAGGAACACAGTAAGGTATCATTTCTACAAAGTTTGAAAATATCATAACAATGGGATATATCATTTAGGCATACATGCAGTGTAAAAATAAAACATGCCTCCAAAAAACAAACAGTAAATTCAATTTACTGGGTTTCACAGGGGTGGCTGGGGAGGCATGCTCATGGAAGGCTGAATCATATTTGTACATGTCTTAAACTGGATAGCAGGTACCCCAGATACTCCTTTTTTCTTAAACAGAGTCTTGGTCTGTTAGCCAGGATGGAATGCAGTGGTATAATCATGGCTCACTGCAGCCTCAACTTCCCAGGCTCAAGTGATCCTCTTGCCTCTGCCTCCCACGGAGGTGGGACCACTGGTGCGCGTCACCACACCTGGCTTTTTTTTTTAATTTTTTTGTAGAGACAAGGTCACTCTATGCTACCCAGACTGTTCTTGAACTCCTGGGCTCAAGCAATCCTCCTGCCTCAGGCTCTCAAAGTCATTCCTCTTATTATTCTCTGTATTTGTGTATACTTGGAAAATATTCTTTAAGCCTTCCAAGTCTTTTTTGTTGTTGCTGCTCCTGTCTACACAGTAAGTTGTCCAAGTTTTCCTTTCTACTATGTGACACGTGGTCATGGTTCCCATGAGTGATCAGAAGGCTAGGTCCAGGGCTTCGCCGCCAGATGGGGTCGTGCATTCAAAAAAAAGCTATGGGACACAAAAATTAGCCAGGCGTGGTGGTGCATGCCTATAATCCCAGCTACTCAGGAGGCTGAGGCAAGAGAATCCCTTGAACCCATGAGGTGGAGATTACAGTGAGACAAGATTGTGCCATTCACTCCAGCTTGAGCAACAGAGGGAGACTCTGTCTTAAAAAAAAAAAAAAAAAAAAAAAAAAGGCTGAGTGCAGTGGCTCACGCCTGTAATCCCAGCACTTTGGGAGGCCAAGGCGGATGGATCATGAGGTCAAGAGATCAAGACCATCCTGGCCAACATGGTGAAACTCTGTCTACTAAAAGTACAAAAATTAGCTGGGTGTGGTGGCACACGCCTGTAGTCCCAGCTACTAGGGAGGCTGAGGCGGGAAAGTTGCTTGAATTTGGGAGGCGGAGGTTGCAGTGAGTGGAGATCGTGCCACTGCACTCCAGCCTGGCAACAGAGCAAGGCTTTGTCTCAAAAAATAAAAAAATAAAAAAAAACTATGGGAGATACATATGTATACACAGATTAGCATACATGCATATTTCCTAGCTCTGTCTGCTGAGAGGGCCTGGAAGCAATGTACCTCGGTGACAAGAAGAACCCTGTCTCCAGACCTTGGTTTCTAGATACCATTCTTCAATAAAATAAGGCAGGGATCCTTGCAGAAATAGCTGAGTCCAGGACTGGGTAGGAAAAATTCAAGATGAGCCTGAGTATCTTGTGCCAGAAAGAGGTACAGTTTTCTTTGGGTATCTGTAAGGGATTGGTTATCTAGGCCCCCCTGTAGATACCATAATCCTCAATGCTCAAGTCCCTTCTATAAAATGGTGTAGAATCTGCATATAACCTATGCACATTCTTCAATATATTTTAAATCCTTTCTAGATTATTTATAATACCTAGTACAATGTAAATGCTATATAAATCGTTGTTATACTGTATTGTTTAAGGAATGATGACAAGACAAAAAGTCTGTTCAGTAGAGATGCAACCATCTATTTTTCTCCCAGATATTTCCCATCTAAGGTTGGTTGAATCCACAGATGCAGAACTCACGGATATGGCCAACTGACTGTACTCAAAAAAACAAAAAGGTAGGGATCTCTCTAAGGGACATGGGATGCCACCTGAAAGAGCTTCATATAGTCAAAGCTGGGACAGTTTGAGCAATAAAATAAATAACACAGCACTGGATTATAAAGCAAGGTATAAATTATATATCCACAAATCCATATTGATGTAAATGTTTGAATAAATAAATGGGGGAGAATAGATAAGTCCCCCATACAGAAATATTCCAAATAATTTATACAGATATCCCCACCCCCCATGAAGGAGTGGAGTGTAACTCCACATTCCTTAAGCATGGGCTCTGCACATCGACCTCCTTCCAGGGAGGACTATGGAAAGAAGGTGGGGTAATCTTTTTTTGCTTTCTTTTTTTTTTTTTGAGACAGAATCTCACTCTGTCGCCTAGGGTGGAGTGCAGTGGCGTGATCTCAGCTCACTGCAAGCTCTGCCTCCTGGGTTCACGCCATTCTCCTGCCTCAGTCTCCCAAGTAGCTGGGACTACAGGTGCCCACCACCACGCCTGGCTAATTTTTTGTATTTTTAATAGAGACGGGGTTTCACCATGTTAGCCAAGATGGTCTCGATCTCCTGACCTCATGATCCACCCACTCGGCCTCCCAAAGTGCTGGGATTACAGGCATGAGCCACCGCACCCCGCTGAAGGTGGGGTAATCTTACAGTGAGCAACTGGCACATGCTACCTCAGCCAGCTGATCGGGGTCAACATCGATAGTTATGAGTCATATTGATATCATGCAACATTGATGTATGTTGAAAATGGTGCTTCGCTTCTGTGGTTTTCCTCCCCCAAACCCATAACTCCAGTCTAACCATGAGAAGAACAGCAGATAAACCCAAATCGAAGGATATTCACAAAGACCTGTACTCTTGAAAACTATCAAGGTCATTAAAAACAAGGAAAGCTGAAAAACTGTCACAGACCAGAGGAGGCTAAGGAGACGCAAGGACTATAGGTAACGTAGTGGCCTGGACAGGCTCCTGGGACAGAAAAAAAACATTAAGCAAAAACTAAGGAAATTGGAATAAACTGCAGAGTTTAGTTCATAGCAATGGACCCACGTTGGTTCCTCAGTTATGCCAAATGCACCGTGTGATGTAAGATGTTAACGAGAGAGAAGACTGGAGGAAGCAAGCATGGGAATTCTCTGCAGTCTTTGCAACTTTTTTATAACTTTAAAGCTGTTCTAGAATTAAAAGTTTACTAACAACAACAAGAGGCCGGGTGTGGTAACTCACGCCTGAAATCCCAGCACTTTGGGAGGTGGAGGCATGAGGATCACTTGAGCCCAGGAGTTCGAGAACAGTCTGGGCAATACAGTGAGACCCCGTTTCTACAAAACATTTAAAAATTAGCCAGGCATGGTGGTGCTCACCTGAAGTCCCATCTAATTGGGAGGCTGAGGTGGGAGGATCGCTTGAGCCTGGGAGGCAGAGGCTGCAGTGAGCTGAAATCGTGCCACTGCACTCCAGCCTGGGTGACAGAGTGAGACCCTGTCTCAAAAAAACAACAGAAGCAATGGAATAGGCACGGCTCCCAGGAGGGCAGGCACCTCTCCTCCGTGATGCGTAGGAACTGGCTGGTTAACGCATCCATCCATGCACCCTGGAAAGTGCTCTTCCGCAGATACCCCAGGGGCTTCTGCCCGGCCCTGACTTGCTGCCTCCACTGAATCTTGGTCTTCTGGAAGCTCTGCTCCTTGCAAGTATTCCTCTCCCTGATGCACACATGAATACACACCTGCCCAAGTCACTCTCTGGGTGGCTTGCTTTTCGGAAGGTTTCAGTGGCACAGCAGTCTGTATCACAGCAATGCAAACAACGGCACATGAACGGACAACCTGTCCGGGTGATTGATTCCTTTACCACCCTGCCATGACGCTCAGCCAGCCTTGCTCTCCTCCCTTCTCGGTGTGTTCTCCTCACTTGAACAAGAAACAAAACAACTAAAAGCGAAGCCAAACCTCTGCCATTTCTTACACAGAGCCCCTGAACCCCGTGGTGTTTCCTCGAGCTGGACTTGCTGGCTGCCCCACCCCCCGCTTTACAACTCTGCAGCCTTGGACGCCCACCCCTGCCTATCCTCACCAACCCCCCAGCCTCTCACTCAGCAACATTTACTGAGCAGCTGCTCTGTGCCTGGCCTGGGACATTCAAGATATTCCACCATGTGGCTCATTCCCAAACAACTGCTTCCTGCCCCTATTTGCAGTGAGCACTAGCAAAGATGCCGCCGCAAGGCCCTAAAAACCACAACCGCAGGGCACAGACTGTATCAGCGTTTACAGTATCTGCCTATAATAAAACAACAGGTACAGTAAGACCACAAAACACTGACACAGACAGAACACGACAGAAGAAAGCGAAAAGAAATTGCTGTTAAATATTCCAGGGCGTAGCCGTAAGCAAAGGCTGTGGCTCTGACAGCCAGTGAAGCTGCGGGGACAAAACTGGACACACCAGGACTCTCCAACAGGCGTGTCCCCATCACCTACCAAACTCTGAAGTTACACAGGGCAGAGAGCTAACATGTCAGTCCAAAAATCTCTACGAAAGGGGACTTTACCTCAGTCTCAAGCTCCCAGAGTTTTAATTTTTTTTTTTTTCCAAAAATAATCAGAACTCACCAGTGGCCAAAGGGAAGAAGGATATGGGGTGGAAGGAGGTGGCCATTATGGCAAAGAAAGGAAAAGGAAAATTTCTGTCTTGCAAGAAAGAAAGCGCCGTGGCCTCAGCCCAAAGGGCCCCTCTTAGGAGCTGGTGACCCAGCAAACCCTGAACCTCTGTGAGCCTCTGATTCCTTCTCTACATGAACTAACCCCTGTGGGGATGCTCTGAACATCTAATGAAACCACAGATGCAAATGCCCCCTGAAAACAGTAGACTCTATACATGGGAATAACCACATCATCACCTCTCTGGATGGTGCAAGGACCCAGAAGTCCATGGCCCTGGGGTGGAGAACTGGCTCCCTAACACCCTGCAAGGCCAACCTAGAGCCACGACTTGGCTCTGAGTCTCCTAACACGAGGGATTGTTTGTTAGTGCTCCTTGAAAAGCTGCTTTATTTATAAATAAGTTGCCTGACAGCAAATCTTGAAGCAGAGACATTAGTCAGTTTTGAAAATTTCCACTTCAAACATTAGCAATTTAGAGGAAAAACCCATAAATGAGGTAGTATGTAGTCCTGGTACTGAGTAAAAAGTCAATCGTTCACTCCCAGTGAGATTTACAAGGTGGTTTGAGTCTCTAGAGGCGCTTTGCTGAGGCCTCCTGATTTTAAGGCTTAGTTCTGTGATGACCCAGGCAAGGAGCTCTGGTTCCCAGGAGGCTGTGGGGCTGCCTCTCCATTCTAGATGATGGGCCTGGGCTACGGGCCTCTCATGTCACAGATTCCAGTGGTGGAGCCGCTCCAAAGATAGGAAGAAGCCTGCAGAAGCCAGGCCTGAGCACAGCCACCTCATCCCCTAGCCTGAGAGGCAGCTCAAGGAACACAGCACTCATGACAGGACAGGTCAGGCCAGGACAGGTGATGGCTCCCTGATGGCTCTGGCTCCAAAAGAAGCCGAGAGAACGCACAGCCTCTCAAGGATACTCCAGCCTCTGTCCACCTGCACACACACCAGGCCACGCCCACGAGGACGGCCAGTCAGCATGCAGCCAATACACCCACAGAGGGATGGGGAGCAGCCCTCAGTGCCAGCTCCAACAGGCCCACTGCAGGTCCTGTCACTGCACCCAAGGAGCTGCCTTCCATTTCACCTGACATTTCCACTAAGGGCCCAGCGTTTATCATTCCAGAAGAGCAGCAGGCAGAACCTTCACCTCCCAAGAGCTGCAAGTGCGCTGTGGCAGGAAAAGAAGATCTGGCGTCTGAAGTCAGCTCCTGCTCTCCAGGAAAAGAGGGACGATGACATAGGACTTGAGCAAAATGAGAGCCCCGTGATGGGAGAGAACAACTGATCAATCTTGCTGCAATGGAAAGGCTTGGTCCCTGAGTCTCTGTGTTAGCTTCCTATGGCTGCTGTGACAAGTCACCATAAATCTAGTGACTTCAGACAACACCAACTTGCTCTCTTACAGTTCTATAGTTCAGAAATCCCACAGAGGGCTGAGTGCAGTGGCTCACGCCTATAATCCCAGCACTTGGCGAGGCTGAGGCAGGTGGATCCCTTGAGCCCAGGAGTTCAAGAACAGCCTAGGCAATATAGCAAGACCTTATCTTTACAAAAAAATGCAAAAATTAGCCAGACATGGTGGCATGTGCCTGTATCCCAGCTACATGGGTGGTTGAGGCACGAAAATGGCTTGAACCTAAGAGGTGGAGGTTGCAGTGAGCTGAGATGGCGCCACTGCACTCCAGCCTGGATGACAGAGCAAGATCCTGTCTCAAAAAAAAGAAAAGAAAAGAAAGAAAATAAAAAGAAAGGAATCCCACGCAGGTCTCCTTGGGCTAAGGTCATGGTGTCGACTGGCCTGGTTCTTTACGGAGGCTCTAGGCAAGAATCTGTTTCCTTGCCTTTTCTGGCTTCTAGAAGCCACCTGCATTCCTTGGCTTGCAGCCGCTTCCTCCATCTTCAAAGTGCATCACTTCAATCTCCACTTCCATCGTCACAGCACCTTCTCCTCTGACAATTAACTCCTCCAGCTTCCTTCTTATAAGGGTCACCATGATTATAAGGGCCCACCTGAATAATCCAGAATAATCTCTCCATCTCAAGATCCATAACTTAATCAGATCTGCAAAGTCCTTTCTGTCACATAAAGTAACAGATTTACAGGCGCCACAGCTAGGGTGTGGATATCTCTGAAGACCATTTTCCTGTCTACCACAGTCTCTGAATGACAAACGCTCTTTAAATTGGAATCCTATCTGCAACAAAATCAAGATCTAAATTAAGATTTTGAAACTCATTAGGGAGAGACACATGCATGAAGAATGCAACTGGGCCGCCCACATTTGCATAACAGTAATAGGCTTGTTATCCACTGCTTCAACCCGTCACACCCAGTGTGGGCACAAACACCAAACAGCCTTATGAGGCGGAACCCTCATACACTGTCGGCCCAGAGTCCTCCTCCTCATCACGACTCTATCTAAGACGGCTGTAAACACAGGATCTCCTCTGTGGAGAGTGTGTTTTCCCTCCATCAATCTTCCTGGGAACAGCAACAAAATGTAAGGAGCGGCACCGCCTGTAATCCCAGCACTTTGGGAGGCCGAGGTAGGCTGATCACCTGAGGTCAGGAGTTACCAGCCTGGCTAACATGTTAAAACCCTGTCTCTACTAAAAATACAAAAATTAGCCAGGCGGGGGGCAGGCGCCTGTAATCCCAGTTACTCAGGAGGCTGAGGCAGGAGAATCGCTTGAACTTGGGAGGCCGAGGTTGCAGTGAACCAAGATTGGCCACTGCACTCTAGCCTGGGCAACAGAGCAAGACTCCATCTCAAAAAAAAAAAAAAAATCAATGAGCGGGGATCCTGATTTTCAGATGTCTAGCCACCAATAACCCTAAACACACAAAACTGCACTTCTCCCTTTTTTGTAACGTGAAATTTTCATAACAAACCCCCAAATCCTGAGTGCTGACAAAACCATCCCAACGACATCACCCAGAGTGGTTATTTCCTGCGCCTTGGACAGCTGCGAGAATCAATGTGATTTCAAACACGAACAACTGTGAGTGGCCAAGGTCACCCTGAGATGTCCTGAGTTTTGACTTACATTGCTTCTGACTTTCACTTTTTAATGGTCGGCTGAATACTTAGGCTCTACCAGTCTCCTTCCCTCTGGTCGTCCCCGCGCCAAACAGAAACCTTGTTTTTCACAGAGTCCTGACAGTGACGCCGCGGCTGGCTGTGAGTTGCCAGGTGGATCTCCGCATGCTCTGCTGCACCTCCTGTGTGGCTGTGGTGTGCTGGGAAGAAGCATCAGGCTCCCCATGAACAAGGAAGGCCCAGCTCTTCAGGGCAAAGTTCAAATGAAGGAGGAAGCTCACTGCCTCCCTAGGCAAAGCGGGGGCAAGGCCTCTGCCAGCCCAGGACCCTCAGGTTCCCACCTTCTAGCAGCTTCCACTCCACCTGCTCTTCCAGGTGCCACCAGACTCCAGAACCCACGTGGGGCAAGCAGCATGGCGGGGCTGCAGTGCTGCCCGGACCTTTCTGCAGGGCTTCATCCCAAACCACAAAGGAGCATCGGGCAACCACATTTCATGTTCTTTTCCAGTGTCTCTTTTTCACACTGAAGTCTGAAGTGGAGGCTTCCTCCTGCCCCTCTCTGCACGTATCTCTGCACAGTACAGCTGTTCCATTCATTTCTCAACATCGCCTTGGTTCCTTCGGCACGCCGAGCAGCACACCAGGTTATAAAAGGCACAGGTTCTCCTGCTCACCAGGAACTCACACCTTAGGGGACATCGACTCTAAGAAACAGATGGGCTTGAGGGCATGTGGCCAGTATTGCGAGGAGCGAGTCCGCAGGGTGGTCCAGACCCAGCCTGGGAAGGTGTCCTGCGGAAGGGCGGAAGTAGATGCCATGTGCAGAGGAAAAACGAGTGAGGCGGGTGATGGAGACCCAGGAGGCATCCCAGGCAGAGGGTACCGGATGGACAGTGACACGGAGGTAAATCCAAGGGCCGGAGCAATTTTCTGGGGTGACTGAGCGTACAAAATAGAGGATGGCAAGAGGCAGGTTGGCAGGTGATCTAGGCTCCTGCACACCTTTCTGCATGGCTTAATCCCAAACCGCGAAAGAGCTCTGGGTGACCGCAATTCATGTTCTTTTCCAATGTCTCTTATCTGATGTCTCTTTCGGAAGAGACACAATTTGATCCTGAAAGCAGTCGCAGCCATCAGCAATACTCAGTCACATGTGCTGCTGGAAAAGATCACTTGGCTGCAGAGTGGAGAGTGGGCCAGGGTGAAGAGTAGGCCAGGGTGGAGAGTGGGCCAGAGGTGGCAGGATGCAAGGTTTAGGGCAGGAGGCTGTTCAAACGTCCAGCAGACACAGTAGGGAGTTGGGGAGCATGGGGGCCACGGCAGGGCACTGTGTAGCGGCCACCCCAGCCTCCCCAAGCAGGACAAAGGGGGCCCTCTGGGATCCATAAGAGCCTGTGGGCACACCATGTAGGGGCGGTGTCTGGTTGGCCCATGGGCCTTTGGGTCTGGAATGGGTGGAGCCCAGGGTGCAGCCACAGCCCAAGGAGGGGCCAGGGCTGGAGGAGCCAGGGCTGGAGGAGCCAGGGCTGGAGGAGCCGGGGCCATCGATGAGCGTCCTGGGGAGAAGGGCCCATGATTCCTGATGGAGGAGGCCCAGAACACTGTAGGCATCATGTACTCAGTGCTGAGTGAAAAGCTTCCCGCCACTCAGAATGGTCACGCTCGGGATGGCTGAGACATCTGCAACTCACAACTCTCACCTCCCAGCTGTGGCACTGAAAGCCTCCCTCAGAGCCTTGGTTTCCTAACCCACCGAACAGGATTAACTGCACTTGCCAGAAAGGGCTTGTGGTAGCATTTCATAGGACAGTGCAGGCCAATGCTCTTTGGAAGTCGCAGATGCAGGGCACAGATGGGAGATGGCATGGACAGGTCCTGCTCGTCAAATAGCCGGGGAGTCTCCCATGCTTCTTGGTCTCCCTAAGCTGGGCCACATGGCAGCTCTGATCCATGGCACGTGAGCAGAGGGGACCGTGTCACTCCCAGGCAGAGGCAGGTCTGAGCTGTGAGCCCTGTAGCCTGGCCAGAACCGGTGTCCCAGGGCAAGGAAGAAGCCTTTAGTATGTTCACGCTGTTGAGGCTCACCCAGCCTGACTGGCCAGAAATCAGTTAGGCCACAGACAACCCTGTGGCCTCAGGTAGAAGGCCACTGTCTCATTCTGAATGGTAGTTTTCAAAAACTCAAGGAACCGCGTGAGGAAGGAAGGGGGATTTATAAATTCCTGATTCCATTAGCTTTGCTCTGTAATTTTGGGTGAGTCACAGCATGCACAAATTAGAGGGCTGAAAACATCTCCCAGACAGTCTGGCAGAAGCCCCCCCTGAGAACGAGGAAACCGAGGCCCAGGAAGGAGCAGAGTCGCTCAGGGGCTGCTCCAGCGGCCACGGGCCTCGGGGACAACGCAGGCCCAGCCCGGGGAGAAGCCCCACGCCAGCCTTCTCTCTCTCCCTGCAGGGAAGAGGCAGCCACACAACTGGGCATGTCCTTCTGGCCTGCACACCTGGGAGTCTCCAACAGACGCTCACTCGGGTCCTGGGGTAAGGATACCTCCCAGGTCGCTTACTGGAGAAGGAGCCACACATGTGTCCCTGGGTCTGATGGTTGCAAGAGGAAATGGAAAGTGGGGGATCCCGCGCTGGCAGGAAGACCCTGGCAGTCTGCATCAGGCAGGTGGGTCCAACAACCGACCTCAGGGTGGGCTCAGGCTGGAAAAAACCACACCGAGTTCCTCCCCCAAGAAATACTGAAGACAGCAGCAATAAGTTCCATGTGCTCCCCATTCGCCCCTCACAGAAAAGGCCAAAAGGCATGACCATGGAATCATCAAACTATTCCCAACACAGTTCCTTATGGGAAAGAACATGGAATGAAGTCACAGCCAACAACAGAACTCCAAGGTCCCCTAGTAAAGCGCAGACCCCAGACAACAAAGATACGAGTGGGTCTGAGTCAAGACAGAAGACAGGATTACACGGGAAATGGCAGCAGTGAGCTGCGAGTGCTGCAGGAAGGAGCGCGGCCCACAGTGGAGGGAGACAGCACTCCCACGACGAAGCGCCACATCCTGCACCAGCAGACTGTTCACAATTGCCCACTTGCACCTTCAAGACCACTTCCAGGAACTTCTTCCTTTGACTTTTATGTTGTTAAAATAATTTTACTTTTTTAGAAAACATAGTGTAAATATTTAGCTTAATAAATGGCTATGAGGCCAGGCGCAGTGGCTCACGCCTGTAATCCCAGCACTTTAGGAGGCTGAGGCGGGCGGATCACGAGATCAGGAGATCGAGACCATCCTGGCTAACACGGTCAAACCGTGTCTCTACTAAAAATACAAAACAAAATTAGCCAGGCGTGGTGGCGGGCACCTGTAGTCCCAGCTACTCGGGAGGCTGAGGCAGGAGAATGGTGTGAACCCGGGAGGCGGAGCTTGCGGTGAGCTGAGATCGCGCCACTGCGCTCCAGCCTGGGCGAAAGAGCGAGACTCCATCTCTAAATAAATAAATAAATAAATAAACAAACAAAACGGCTATGAAACAACCTTTACAATCCTCAGGCAGGGAAGAAGAGGGGCCCTACCGGCCACTCCAGCCCTCGGGACCCAGCCTCCCTGTGTGCCCCTGACCACATCCTGGTTGTAGGGTAATCATAGCCCCACCCTGCTCCATGTAGCACATGTCCCTACACACACACTATGTGTGCCTTTTATGTCCCCTTTAACCGTTGGTTGTGCTTCCACCTCTTTTTTTTTTTTTTTTTTTTTTTGCCTCCCAAGTTATTAACTGAAGAGTCGTTGGTCACACAGCATTTCCCATGGTTTGGCTTTTGATGGCCAGGTGCCTGAAGCACAGCCAAACATCGTCCTCTGTCCTTTCCGTTCCTGCAAATCAGTGGTTGGATCTGGAAGTCGAATGAGATCCCTGTTAGAATAGGGGCAGACCAGCTCCCGGGCAGTGTGGCTCTTCCTCCCTTCCTGAGATGTCAGCAGGCCCCAGGGCCACCAGCGCCCAGCTTGTGAATTCAGATGTGCTGAGACGCTTCAGACACAGAGGTTCCATCCTCTATACATGGAACCTCCCAACCTGCCACCTGCTCACCCAGTAGTGCGGCCTGCATAAGAAAAGCAGGATATATATTTCAGAGCTTTCCCTTATTTACCAAAAATATATAATTGGTTCCCTAGCATTCTCCAAAGGTGACGGATTAGGTTTATTTCCTGAGTATTGTTAAAAAAACTCATGGACTTAAACATACTGCATACATTTCAACCTACTGTGATTTTTACTCTTACTGATGTTCAAATTGTCCATCTCTGGCCTCATCAGGTGAGCTCACGAGTCCTTTTAACACTATCCTCATGGACTTTGACTTTAATAGTTTTTTTCCTCTTTTAATGCTCTCTCTCAGCAGAATCACATCCTCACAGTCCAGGGTGGCTCCTTTATTATCTGCTATGACAAAGCATTTAGGTTCAACTTGTACATTTCCCGCCCCCAACCCGGTATCAACCATTTGTCCAAGTAGTCTCAGCTTCTTTCAGCAGAAAACTGAATTTCAAGACATGACCCGGGACTGGGGGTGCTCCGTGTGATTGGTTTGGCCACTGATTCCAGGCCTCTCCAGGGAACGCTCTAGGGCTACTTATGGATTTGTAGTTCCGGATTCCAGAGGCTTTGTTTTTCTTTTTCTTTTCTTTTTTTTTTTTCTTTTTTTTTGATACAGAGTCTCGCTCTGTCACCCAGGCTGGAGTGCAGTGGCGTGATCTCGGCTCACTGCAAGCTCCACCTCCCGGGTTCACCCGGGTTCACGCCATTCTCCATTCTCCTGTCTCAGCCTTCGGAGTAGCTGGGACTACAGGTGCCTGCCACCACGCCCCGCTATTTTTTTTTTTTTTTTTTTTTTTTTTTTTTTGTATTTTTAGTAGAGACGGGGTTTCACTGTGTTAGCCAGGATGGTCTCGATCTCCTGACCTCATGATCCACCTGCCTCGGCCTCCCAAAGTGCTGGGATTACAGGCGTGAGCCACCACGCCCAGCCTCCCGAGGCTTTCTTAACCCGCAGCACCTTTCCTCCGTATCTCCTTTCTCCTCGCCACTGAAAATCCTGGTCAAGGTCCTCAGAGTTAAAAGATCACATCAGTAATCATTTGCTTCATCTCACGTTACACACAAAACATGCTAGGAATAACAATGCTGAGACTCTCACTACCCACAGGATTCCGGGAAACCACACGGGACTTTTTCTCTCCTGTTTCTTCCATTCTCTTCCCACTTTGTAGGGCTGTAAGCACGGAGATGGAGCGCACAGCCACGTACACTACACTTGCCCCTCAGCTGCCTCCGTGGATCGTGGTTCCACACAGAACTATGGACTGGACGTTCCCCCCAGTCCTTACGGCTCTGTTTCTGTGCTTATCTACTCGTCTGAAGCACACTGTCTAGTTCCATGGCTCCCAAGCTGCACGGAGGCACCCTAGGGGCCCTGCTGCACCCACAGGGGCACTGCAGCACAGCCCAGATGTCCATGGGGAAGGCAGTGACCCTTGGCACCTGTCAGCACCGCATGCACCACTGCCTTGAGGCAGCTCTCGTTTCCAAGGTGAGATCACACTACATTCCTCTGAAAGACGTCTCGTGAGGCCAGAAGTAGCTGTAATTAAAAGCAAATTCCTGCTATCACGCTTGTTGGGATAGTACCATTTAAAAAAGGAAGAAGAAAGAAAAGAAAAACAAAAAAAATGAAAACACAAGTGCTGGTGAGGATGTGGAGAAATTGGAGCCCTTGTACACTGTTGGCATAATAGAAATGTAAATGGGTGCAGCTGCTGTGGAAAATAGTATGGCACTTCAAAAAATTTTAAAAAGAGCTACCATATGGTCCAGTAATTCCACTTCTGGGTATATCCCAAAAGAACTGAAAGAAGGGACTCAGGGAGACATCTGTACACCCCTGTTCACAGCAGCATTATCCACAATCCAAATGGCGGAACCAACCCACGTGTCCAGCAGCAGAAGAACAGATCAACAAAATGTGGCATATTCCCGCAATGGAGTGTTATTCAGCACTAAAAAAGGAAGCAATTCTGACGCATGCCACAACGTGCAGGACCCCTACGGACACCATGCGAAGTGAAATAAGACAGTCACAAAAGAACAAATACTGCACGATTCCACTTACATGAGGTACCTAGAGAGGTGAATTCAGACAGAGGGAAAGTAGAGTGGTGGCTGGGAGGGGCTGGAGGAAGGGGGAAAGGAGAGGTACTGTTTCATGCGCACAATTTAAGTTTTGGGAAGATGAAAACGTTTTGGAGATAGCTGATGGTGATGACTGCAAAACAATGTTGATGTACTTAATTCCACCGAACTATACACTTAAAATGATTAAGATGGTATTTTATGTTATGTGTACTTTGCCACAATTAATAATGTATATGCTTATATTAAAATACCACATGTAGGCCAGGTGCGGTGGCTCATGCCTGTGATTCCAGCACTTTGGGAGGCCTAGGCAGGCAGATCACTTGAGGCCAGGAGTTTGAGACCAGCCTGGACAATGTGGTGAAACCCCATCTCTACTAAAAATACAAAAATTAGCCAGGCGAGGTGGCGTACCTCTTGTAGTCCCAGCTACTTAAGAGGCAGAGACATGAAAATCGCTTGAACAGGGAGGTGGAGGGTGCAGTGAGCCAAGATTGCACCCCTGCACTCCAGCCTGGGCTACAGAGCAAAACTCTGTCACGCTGTCTCAAGAAAAAATATCACACGTACCCCCATAATATGTATAACTATGATATGTGTATAAAAATTAAAAATAAAAATAAACTTTTAAACAGCAAGTCCCACACAAAAGTCAGCATCAAACAGGAAATGAGAATGGTGCCAATCTCATTCAGCAGACACACTTCCGTTTGTAATTGTGGTTTAGGATGAAATACATTTGTTTCAATTTATGAGTATTATTTCTCATGTGGCTTCCAAGTTGTTGGGACATAAATACCATGTGGTTTGGACCTAGCTACTTAAAGAGTAGAGTTGTTAGCTATGTGTTTTGGTCTAGAAACACCATGAAATTGCTGAGATCCAGGGCACCGTGGTCTGAGAAAGTTTGGCAATCTCTGCTCTGGAGGCTCCTAAGGGTGCTGGTTGCTTTTTAATAACTAAGTCCAAATCCCTGATGACCTCAGGACACCTGCTTATCAGGTGGGGGGTTGGGGACATTCACACAGTGGCAGAGAGGCCACAGGACTGGCTGGAGCTAAAGACACTAAGTCCCTGACTTACTTCTAATGAACGAAATACTCCAGAAGGGGGCCAGGCGCGGTGGCTCATGCCTGTAATCCCAGCACTTTGGGAGGCCGAGGTGGGCGGATCACGAGGTCAGGAGATCGAGACCATCCTGGCTAACACGGTCAAACCCCGTCTCTACCAAAAATACAAAACAATTAGCCGGGCGTGGTGGCGGGCGCCTGTAGTCCCAGCTACTCGGGAGGCTGAGGCAGGAGAATGGCGTGAACCCAGGAGGCGGAGCTTGCAGTAAGCAGAGATGGTGCCACTGCACTCCAGCCTGGGCGACAGAGTGAGACTCCATCTCAAAAGAAAAAAAAGAAAAAAAAAAGAAACTAAATCCAACACCCTCCATCCTCAGTGGAATCCCTGAAGCCCGGAGTGGGAGAGAGGCCTAACTCTAGTGACCAGGCACTTCACAGTGGGGCAGAGTAAGCAGCCACCAGGAGGCCCTTTCTCCTGCAACCTCTGAGCTTCAGGAACCGAGGGAACCTGGGCACAGCTCCCCAGAGCAGCGAGGCTCCACCTGACCTGCCAGCGATGTTCAGAGCCACACCCCAAGCGCACTCTGCAATGTGGGAATTCAGTCACGGCAAAACTGTCGTGACAGGGTTCTGTCCCTCAGAAGATGGCACACCTGAATGTGACCCTCTCAATACATCCTTAGATATTGCCCTTCCTCCCCAGCACCATCTGAGCAAAGCACCCCCGGCCCACAAGGAACTAGAAGAGGCAGGAAGTGCCTCAAATCCTAGCTCAGCATGCCACTGTATGACACCTCTTCTGGTGCCCCTCCTGGCAGCACACTGTCCCCGGTATAGAGGGGTGGATGATGGCTCAGATGACCTCGAGACCACCACCGGGCACATGGGAGGCCTGTGTCTCGTGAGAGAGCGGAGGCATACGATCCTGGAGGTAGAGCCAGGAAGACCTGAATAATGCTTTGCAGTTGCAAACTGCTTTCTCTTTCTGCACAGATTTATTAGTGAGAGGCATCATTTCTATTATGCCCATTTCGCAGACTGGAGGGAGGGAGACTAAGGCTCAGAGACACACAGGGCTCCCGGTAGAGGCCACCATCTGCATGAGGGTAGATCGAGGACCATTTCTGCCACTGGCCCCTGGTCTCCTGTCTGTCCCAGCAGGGCCCCTGCCTCCCATCCCCCACCAAGTCTCAGTTTCACCAGAGCCTCCAACTCACATCCTGTGCAGGCCCCACTGTGCTTCCCTTTAACTTTACTTGGGGTCTATCTGCCTGTCCCCAGGTGGCACAGCCCAGTCAGGGAGCCCTGGGGCTCTGCGGACACTGGCTGTTACCAGCCAACTCTCTGCCTCGCTTGCCTCTGCAGGGGACAGCCAGTGATAGAGAGGAACAAAGGAGACACTCAAGCAGGCACCCAGCACGTGCCTAACGCGCAGGCACTAGTGCCTTGGGAATAAAGCTGCTATCACTTCTGCGAAATACACTGGGGACTACGCTGGCCTCCGAAACACAGAACCGGTGTATCCAAACCCCCTTCTGACCTGAACAGCCATTCGCCAGGTCCACATGGCTCCGGGACAGACCTGGGCCTGGGTGCTCTGCTCCTGGCTGTGCACAAATGCTTTTCCTGCCCATGACTTTGTAGCCTAGTAGGAGGGGCTCATAGCTCCCTAAGCAAAGCTGGCTGGCGGGTCACAGAAGGACAGCAGGCTGGGGACTGAATGGACCATGGCTTCTATTTAGAACATCTCACTCAAGAACTAAATGTGCAAGAGAGCTGGCAGAAAGACAGCTATGGGGCACAACTGGAGGAGCAAACGCAAAACCATCACGTCTTCCACATTAAAATGTACAGGGCCGCTTCTAATGCCGCAATCAGTGCAAGCCAAACTCTGCGTCTATTTTCTACTAGATTGGAAAACCTCTCAGGAGAAAGAAAAATTTTCCAGAGGGCCAAAAAACTTCATTCTTCTGCAAGCAATCAAATAAACATGTAACAAAACAAAATCAAGACTTCAAAAATTGATCTGAACACACATGCACTGCATTTCACCACTCTGGTGTGGGAATAGGGCTTTCTGCCTAATCATACATTTTGATTAATAGAGATGAGCTCTGCATGAATAACCTATTGTTAAAGAACATGAACTAAAGTAGTCTAAAACTTAGCGAAACAGAAATTAGGCCTTTTCTTCTTCTCTTGGACAATTAGGGGACCCAAATTAGGAACAAACTCACTGGCCCTTGCCCCGACTCCCTTCCTGTAACCTCAGCCGAGACCAGGTGGCTGTCCTCATGCAGACCTGGCCTTGGATCTGTAGTGTCTGGAGAGAGGCTGAGGGGAGGGCTTGGCTGACTCCTCTGCCTCCTCATGCCAGTCCTGCAGATTGAACCCTGCCCTGCTAGGCTGGGCGCTGCAACCCTGAACTTCATGCTGCAACCTTGAACTTCAGCCCCAGATACCTCTACTTCCTCTGTTCGCCCCCTAGCGTCCTACGCCCTGACAGCCACTGTCCATTTCCAGAGGGGCTCCCCCAGCAGCTCACTGCCTGGAGGCCCAGACAGCAGCGGCAGTGAGCTCTGCTGGCCCTAGAATCCCCCAGGGGCAAATTAAAATCCACCCGCCTGGACCCTAAACTGCAGGTTCCCACTCCCCATTCCCATCCTTGCCATGCAGATGACACGTTTCCAAACCCATGCGAAGTGCTGTGCATGGTGAGCAGGTAAAGACTGGGCCACGAGGTGCATCGGATGGAAGGGGCCCCAAGGGTCCGGGCCACCGTGCAGGGCTCTTGCTCTCTTTAAGGCGACCTGTGATTTAGGGAGTATCAACCAGCATAAAAATCCAAAGAAACCTAGTGTTGGAGAAATACCAGTCTCTCCTCGTTCCAGTTCACTCTGTGGGGAAGTGGAGAATCCCTGCTTTTTTCTCTTACAACAACAAGGCTACACTGAGCATGCCAGGAACTGTGTGGGCATCATTCATGGATTATAGTCACCATGCCATGGGAGCACTGAGAACCCCTGCCCTCATTTCATAAGCACGCAGCGTGTCAGTACAACAGAGCAGAGGACACCCAGGTCTCCGGGCTCTATCCCAGTTCAGGGACCTGCCTCCCTTCCCACCTGCTCTCCTGACGGGGAAACACTGCCAAAGTAATCACAGCAAGGTGTAGGTGGCAGGGCAGAAATCCGCTCAGCCCATGTGGGCCATAGCCCATCTCTGTGACAGCCCTGGGTGACCGAGCTTACCAAGCACAGCATGGGGCAGTCCTTCAGAGGTGAACCATCTCCTATGGCTCTGAGGAGGCCCCAGGGGATAAAATACTGAGAATGACAAGTGACTGCCCTGAGCCACCACCAAATCCAGCAACCAAAGCACCTAGAGCCAAGGCAGAGCCCAGTGTGGCATTTGTAGCTGGCCCCAAGCCCCTGGTTTCCCGCCTTCCCACACAGGCGCCAATAGACCTCGCACACCTAGACCCTGTGGGGATGTCACTGGTCACTACAAGGTCTTCGTCCTGCCTCTAAAGTTTTCCCTTTTCATTATCTCAGAAAGACCAGCGTTGAGCTGCCAGACCTTGACAACAAGGTCTACAGACCACACAAGGACAGCTGGACTCCAGGCAGATGGGCACCTACTTAGCCCAATCAGAACCCACACTGAGCCCTGGCACTCACCTGCAGACAGGAGTCCACAGCTGCTTGTCCTGCCTCCCACCCCAAACCATTCCCCACACTCACAATCATACACAGCAAGCTCCACTGAGTCCCTCCTGGCTCCAAAGCCTGCAGTGGCACCGGCCCCAGGACATAGGACACAGTCCAAGCTCTTCACTCTGTTCCCAAGGCTGTGGAGGGCTGGCTGGCCTGTGAGTCCTGCTCTCCTCCACCCCCGTCTCTTCTCCCCAGCCCCCTCTTCACAGGTTTAGAGACCAGGCGGAAGGAGCTGCCCACTCCATGCCTTGTTTTCCCGTGTGCAAGCTGCTCTCTCTGCCTGGAACCACCCCCACCTCCAGCCCATGCCCCCCTTTCTCCTGGGCTGCCTCTACTCCTGCAGCCTCGGCACACAGTCACTTCTTCCTGGAACTTCCCCAGGCCCTCTGCTCCGCCCATGTGGGCAGCCCCTCCTTGCGCTCCAGCATCAAACCCCAGATAGTGGACTCTTTGAGGGGAGGAGCTGTGCCTGTCATTATTCTACCCTCAGTCCCTGCTGGGCCTGGCACAAGGCAGAGGGGATAGAGGTGCTCTGGAGAAAACTGCTCCACAGGCCAAGCACGCAACCTGTCGGGCTCCAGCAGGCCCTGACTTTGGACCAATAAAACCTCAGGTCGAGGACTTCGCTCCTAACTCAATGATAAGGTCTGAAAATCCGAGCCAGTGTGGGCTTGCCATTGCTCCTACAACTGTCTTTACTAGCAGACTGTGAGCCCCACACTCTCTTTCAAAGAGCAGGACATTTGTTTGAAGGGAGTCTTATTCCATTCAGGGTACTCTCACAAAATACCATAAACTGGGTAGATTATACATGACAGAAAGTGGCTTGTCTCAGTTCAGGAGGCTGGGAAGTCCAAGACCAGAGAGCCAGCAGATTCCGTGCCTGGTGAGTACCTGCGTGATGGCTCAGAGACGGCAGCTTCTCACTCTGTCCTCACATGGTGGAGGGCGGGAGGCTCTCTCTGCAGCCTCTTTTAAAACGGCATTGATCCCATTATGAGGGCTTCACCATCAGGACCTGATCACCCACTGCTATAGTTGGAATGTGCCCCCCCAAAGTTCATGTGTTGGAAACCTAATCCCCGATGCAACAATGTTGAGAAGTGAGACCTTTAAGAGGTGATTAGGTCCTGAAAGCTCTACCCTCATGAATGTATTAATGCCATTATCGCGAGAGTGGGTTAGTGACTGAGGAGCAGGTTCCTAATAAAACAATGAGTTTGGCCCCCTTCCCTCTCTCGCTCACTATATGATGCCTTCCACCATGTTAGGACGCAGCAAGAAGGCCCTCAGCAGATGCAACCCTCAACCTTGGACTTCCCAGCCCCTAGAACTCTGAGCCAAATAATGTTCTGTTCATTATAAATTACCCAATCTGTGGTATTCTGTTTCAGCAGCAGAATACAGATTAAGACACCTCCATAAGGCCCCATCTCCTTGGGAATGTGAATTCCAATGTCTCCCTCCCAAAGGTCCCATCACTTTGGGGATAAGAATTCCAAAATATGGATTTGGTGGAACACAAGCATCAGATCACAGCAAAGAACCCCTCATTTTCATTCCCTCAGGAGCCACGATGGGACCTGGCTTTAAACAATCCACTATCACAATAGGCAGCACTGACCACTAAGGCCACACAGGTCACTTCTGCTGGCGAGATGGGACCAACCCCCTATGGGGCCGTCCACCATCTCCACTGTCAGGGAACCCTGGCTGTCCTGCCACAGGCTTTGCAGGAGGCTAAGCCACTGTGGACGTTGCTTTTACTGCCCTGGTGGATAAAAAGCATGGCAGAAGCCCATGGGTGTCTCTGAGACTGCAGCACTAGGCCCACCTGCATTGTCACATCCTGCATGTGCTCAGAGGAGAGGGTCTCTAAACACCATGGGGCTGTGCTCCAGGGAGGGCTGCCTTCTGGGTTTTAAACCCTACCCCACTGCAAGGGATGGGTACCTCATGGCACTGCACTACAGTACAGAAGCCAGCACCCCATGCTGTGGACTGCAGGGGTGCTCCAGGTGCCCCCCTCAGCTCTCCAGGGTTCAGAAAAACCTGCTCCCTGGTGAATGTGAACCTCTCTTCTGCCAGCATGAGGGTCTGCTCCACCCTGTCACCCTCCTACCCCTCATCTCATTGGCTGGCTCCCTTCCCCTCCCAAGGACATCTTACCAAAGCAGAGACAGTGATCCTGACACCAGGTCGGTCTAGGCAACTGTGGCCTGTGTGGCCGTATCCCCTGGGATGCAGCAGCACAGAAAGGAGGGCTAGACTCAGCTGCAGCCATGCCCAGACCCAGTTGGGAGGGCTGTGTGCTGTAGATCCTGTCCTGGATGCCCCTCTGCCAGGCCAAGGCTCACACGCAGGGACCTTTCTCCACTTGAACGTCTGTGCATTGTAATATAACTTCCCAAAATATTACTCTGCAATTATTTCCAAAGACTTAAATGGGATCTCCAAATACGTACAATTAAGACTAAAATTGTAATTTTAAATTACTGATAATTTGAATAAACATAAAACTTTCCTATCTCTAAGCCAAATGCAGACAATAACATCCCAATTAACCCTTAGGTACTGCCAAACTCCGGAAAACAACCACTTTGGACTCTCAGAGGGAGAAACAACTCCTGAACTACATGGAGCCTGGCAACAGACTCTGGAAATAGTCATGATCTTCCACCTGTGCAAAGCCAGATGCTTCCCCGGCTGGACCCTATGGAGCAGCGCTGCCTTGCTAAAAGGGCAGTGGATGTTTGGGCCCACGGTGGCAACAGCACCAGGTCCCAGTGAACAGGGGAGAAGGACGCAAGGTCATCCCTCATCAGTCCCACTTTGCTAGGGGATGGGGGCACAGGAGGCAGTGGCGTGAGACTCCCTCTGAGTCTCAGCGGCTTTAGTTAGCTCTGGAACCTCCTTGTGGCCTCCCATTCCCAGGCCCCCGCTAAGATCCAGGAGCTACAGGGGGACCGACTGGAGTAGTCTCTCACCAGAGGCCACCAGCAGCGGGATGAGATGTTCATGTAAGCTGTCCTGCTGCCCTGAGGGCCAGGAGAGGTGACAAGCACGCCTGCATCCCACATCAACAGATGCTCCCAGCTCCCCACCCCAGCATGGTTTCTGGCCTACGGGGTACCAGAAGAGGAGCAGGGACTTTCCGTGAAGGGCTGTGCCTCATGGAGGGGGCTGGGGAGGTGGCTTCACCATGATTCCCAAACAGGGCTTCTAGCAGACCCCTAGGATAGCTGTACCGAGTCCCCAATGTCTGCGGACGCGGCACCCGAGTTTCCTGAGAATCCAGAGGCAGGAGGCCATGACCAGAGCTGCCTCACAGGGGAAGAGGAGGAGCTGCCCAAGGAGGAGCTGCCTGCTGCTCCCACCAGTGTGGGGCCAGCCTGGGGCCGCCTTGAAGGAACAGCCCAGGAGCACTCCCGAGGGGCATGGTGGAGGATAGGGAGAGCAGTCAAGGGCATCAGCCCAGCAAGGCCTCCCACAGGTCGCAGGGAAGAGCTGCAAGTTCCCAGCAGGGTCATCTCTAAGAAACCTACCCGAGGGTCACTGGAGACAGGAAGTCCAAGTGAAACATCTGCTGGACCCCAGAAGTGCCACCCAGCCCACTTGTGGAGAGAATGCCCTCTCCCCAGACACTCCATCCCTCGGAACACTCCCTGGCCAGCAAAAACAGAGGCAAAGAAAGAAAGAAGGAGACACACAGCCCTCCCTCCCCAGCCGGCTCCAAGACAGGTCAGGCTCCAGCCGGGTGGGAGAAGCTCCAAAGAGTCTATAATTACTCCTTTTCATGACTGACCAACAATGTTCCTGGGACTGAAAGTAACCAAAGAACCTTCTATTGCCTTAGAACGACAGAAAGCTCCAGGGCCTGCCTGGAATGTTCATTTGAGCAGAAAAAGAGCTCACCCCCAGGGCAGGCTCAGAGGGACCACGAGGGTGAAGATGCTCATGTCTATCCTGCTCCCATCGTGGAGAGCTCAGCGCCCACCCAGATGGACCTTATGGTCCTTATGACTTCTGAGGGGAAGTCAAGCCTGAAACTGGGCCTTCTTCTGGAAACAGCCCTAGCAGCAGCAGGGACCACCACAATGCAGCCCTGCCAGCCCATTCCCACCTATACTGGCGGGGGCTGGAGGGTTGGGGGGCTGCACTGTCAGGGAGGGACGGGAGACATAGCTTTTGCCCCCCTTCCACCTCCCCAACTCAGCTCCTTCCACCTTTTCCTACCTGTTTTTATAGAGATGCGAATGGGCCAGTTTTACCCTCTAGGTAAATAACTGCTCAACAGCTTTGAGGATGGGCAGAAGCAACCTTTCCTTTAGTAGGTGGGTGGCAGATCTACACTTCCTCATACAAGAACTGTGGTCTTTAGGAATACATATTCTCCCTCCCCTTGACGGAATTAGGAAAGTAATACTTTTTACACTTGAAATTAAGAGCAGAACAGATGGTGATGGTTTAGAAATCTGTTCATAAGAACTGATGCTGGCAGTGGGACCATCAACAAGACATGGATAATGGGGGCAAATTGGTTTATTGCAATGTGCACCCAAGTCCCACTACTGCAATCCGAAAAGCCAAATACTGAGAATGGGGGACAGGTATGGACAGAAGGTTTAGCCACAGTAAGAGGGCAAAACAACTAGCAACGCGGAAGTGACCACAGAAAAACCCCCTTCTTCTTGTGTGTCGCCTGGGCCAACGCTGTTGCCCCAGGGAAGCCTGGGCGCCAGCACCATACAAAGTGCCATGCTAAAGACAGCCCATCAGCTCCCAGTGATAGGCGGGAAGTGCTACACCCTTGGATCTGAGTGGTCACTCCTCTATTTGTTGAGGACATCTGGGAGCCTCCCATTGGCAGCATCACTCATGTGTGTCGCAAATTCACTGAAACCACAAGGCACGAGAAATCCTACGGATTAGCAGCCACCCATAGCCAGGTGGCTTGGCCTCGTTATTTATCCCTTTCGGTGTATTCATTCAGAATGTGCCAGGCTGTCTTGTGGGTGCAAGGACGCAAGGGAACACTGACACTCCAGTTCCCTGGAGCTTATGTCCTAATTAGGAAGACAGATGACAACTGAGTAAACCATCAAATAACAAACATGATTCCCGGTTAGGGTAACAGGAAAATCAAAGCAGGGGAAGGATTGGAGTTTCCGCTCCAACACGTAAAGAACTTGGAAGTCATCACTCCCATCCTCATGACTAGAAAATGGTGCACAAACTGAAAATCAATGACCTTCTTTGGACTCATCAGTGAATTGAGTTTGCAACCCGCCCCCCTGAAATCTAGAGACACAGCCAAATCCAAAGATCCACTGACCTGGAACAGAGCCTCCAGGGCCATACCACAGTAGTTTGGGTAATTCTGACAAATTGCTGCAGGCCAAGGGTGGACTCCCATGACTGAGAAACTCCTAGAAGCCACAGTCTTAGGGGGGCCCAAAACTTTCATGGGCTTTTCCTCCAGGATCCCTACTAGGTTCTCACCATGAAAACCCAAGAGACATCTCCTGGTGACTCTGGCAGAGGGAGGACAAACGTCATCCTGGTGAAATGCATCCAGAGCCTTCTCTAGGACAAAGGCCTGCTCCCCGCAGGGAAAGACTTTACCAGAACCTTGTTGCAAAGCCACGGAGGAAGGGCATTCCTGAGTCCAGCCCCCTCTGGCCTCCTGTTTGGGGTCTGGAAAAGCTATATAAGAAGAAACATCTGTGACAGTCACAGCCCAGGGAAATGGGACCACAGAAAGACTGAGATGTAATCAGAAGACTATAGACCGCTGGCCCTCCCCACACCCTACAACTACACCAACAGGACTCCAGTGTACAACAGCAGGTGAAAGCTGGGAGAGCTGCACGACACTCACTCTGTCTGAGGAAGGGAATTTAGGGAAGCCCAGAGCCAGAGGACAAAAACAAGGGCACTGCAAGGATCGGAATACGCCGGCACTCACAGCTACAACAAACATTACACGTAGCCCATAGCCAGATTAACAGAAAACCTCACGTTAAAGGCCTGTTTACCTCAGTTCCCATCACCCTATACATCATATCTAGCTTCAAATAACTTACAAGGCATGCTAGAAGACAAAAAGGACAACATGTTTCTTTTTTTTTTTTTTTTTTAGATGGAGTCTCGCTCTGTTGCCCAGGCTGGAGTACAGTGGAGTGATCTCGGCTCACTGCAAGTTCCGCCTCCCAGGTTCACGTCATTCTCCTGCCCCAGCCTCTCGAGTAGCTGGGACTACAGGTGCCCGCCATCACGCCTGGCTAATTTTGTATTTTTAATAGAGACAGGGGTTTCTCCATGTTGGTCAGATTGGTCTCAAACACCCGACCTCAGGTGATCCGCCCGCCTCGGCCTCCCAAAGTGCTGGGATTACAGGTGTGAGCCACCGCGCCCAGCCCAAAAGGAACCTATTAACAGAAATGAAGAATGCCTTTGACGGGCTCATCAACATGGCTGAAAATAATCAGCCTGAAGACAGGTCAACAAGAACTTCTCAAAATGAAACACACATGCACACAAAGAATGGTGGGAAGACCGGGCACAGCGGCTCATGCCTGTAATCCCAGCACTTTGGGAGGCTGAGGCGGGGGGATCACCTGAGCTCACAAGTTGAAGATCAGCCTGGGCAACATGGCAAAGTCCCACCTCTACAAAAAAATAAAAATAAAAAAATAATAATAATGGGTTGGGGAGGGGAACAGAACAAAGTATCCAAGAACTGTGGAACAACATCAAAGATGTTACACGTGTAACTGGAATACCAAAAGGGAACAAAAGAGACAATGGAGAAGAAAATCATTTGAGGTAATGATGGCCAAAATATTTTCAAAATTAATGACAGATCCAAGCCACAGACCATGGAGGCTCAAAGAACACCAAATAGAGTAAATACTAAGAACAAAACAAAACAAAAAAAAAACAAAAAGCAAAATACCCTACACCTAGGCACACCATATTTGAACTACAGAAAACCAAAGACAGAGAAAATGACTAAGGCAAATGACCAGCGGGGTAGGGAAACACCTTATCTATAGAGGGGTAAAGATAAGAATTACAGCCCACTTCTCATCAGAAACCAGTAAAGGAAGAAGAGGGTGGATAGGCCAGGTGCGGTGGCTCACGTCTGTAATCCCAGCACTTGGGGAGGCTGAGGCAGGCAGATGATTTGAGGTCAGGAGTTCGAGACCAGCCACGGACAACATGGTAAAACCCCATCTCTGCTAAAAATACAAAAATTAGCCAGGCATGGTGGCTGGCGCCTGTAATCTCAGCTACTCAGGAGGCTGAGGCAGGAGAATGGCATGAACCCGGGAGGCAGAGCTTGCAGTGAGCCGAGATAGCACCACTGCACTCCAGCCTGGGCAACAGAGCGAGACTCTGTCTCAAAAAAAAAAAAAAAAAGAGAGAGAGAGAGAGTGGAGTGAAATCCTTAAAATTTTGAAAGAAGAAACCACCAACCTAGCATTCTATGTTCAGAAAAAGTATCCTTCAAAAATGAAGGAGAAATAGTTTATCAGGCAAACAAAACCAAGGGAATTCATTACTGGCAATATATACCCTGAAATAAACGTTAAAAGATTTTTCTTCATACAGAAGAAAAATTATATAGGTTGAAAACTTGGATCTACATAAAAAAGAGGTATTCAAAAAGGAATAAATGACAGTGAAATAAAATTTTCTATTTTCCTTACTCTTATTTGATATAAAAATAAATTTATTTACTGCAATAATGGTAACGATATACTGTATGATTATGACATATGGATAATTGAAATAATTAACAGCAATGTCACAAGGGACAGGAAGGAGGATTTGGGAGTATTCTGTTATAAGGTAGTTGTACTAAATGGGAGGAGGTATAGTGTTATTTGAAGGTGGGCTTAGATTATTTTGAAATACATATTGTAAACATATATTGTAAAACTTTTAAAAAGAAGTATGAGTGATACACTATGAAAGGAGATAAAATGGCATCACATAAAATGGTCCATTGAAACCAGAGGAGAGAGAAAAAGAAGTCTCTGGCAAGTACAGAAGACAGTTACTAAAAAGTTTGATATTAATCTAAGTACCTCAATAATCATTTAAATGTGAATGATCAAAACACACCCATTGAAACAGAGATTTTCAGAGTGGATAAAAAACACAAGTCTCAACTCTATGCTATCTACAAGATATCTACTTTAAATGCAGAGACACTGGTAGGTTAAAAGTAAAGGGATAGAGAAAGGTATACCATGCTAACTCTAATCAAAGTAAGTTGGAGTACCATTATTAATTTCAGACAAAGCAGACTACCAACCAAGGAAAATTATCAGGGATAAAGAGGCGACATTACATAATGAGAGAAAAATCAATTTTTAAGAGGATGTTACAATCCTTAAAGGCTATGCACCTAACAACAGATAATTGAAATATATGGGGCAAAATCTGAGAGAATTTTAATTCTAAATGAGAAATTGGTAAATCCACTATTATAAGTGGAGACTTCAAGACCTGTCAGTAATTGATAGAACAAGCAGACAGAAAATCAACAAGGACAGTTCACTTGAATAGCATCATAAATCAACTCAACAGAATTGACATTTATAGAATATTCCATCCAACTACAGCAAAATACACATTCTTCTCAAGCTTGCACAGAACATTCACAAAGATAGACCACATTCTGAGCTATGAAGTACACCTTAACAAGTATTTTAAAAATAGAAATCATAAAAATATGTTCTCAGACTACAATAGAATTAAACTAAAAATCAGTAAAAGGAAGATAGATTTCACTGGTGAATTCTACCAAACATTTAAGGGAGAAATTACACCAATTCTTTACAACCTATTCCAGAAATTGGAAAAGAAGAAACACTTCCTCACTTTATGAAGCTGGAATTATCCTAACATCAAAACCAAAGAAATTATAAGAAAATGACATACCACTGCCTCTCAGGAGCAAACAACTTAAAAATCCACAACAAATTATTAGCAAATCAAATCTAACAACGTTTAAAAAGAATTATACACTACAACCAAGTGGTATTTTTTCCAAGGCTGCAATGTTGGTTCAACATTAGAAAAATCAATGGATATAATCTACCACATCAACAGACTAAAGAGACAAAATCATATGATCAGATCAATTGATGCAGAAAAAGCATCTGACAAAAATCCAACAACCATTTCTGATTAAAAACCACTCACTAAATGAGGCAGAGACCATCTTCAGCTTGATAAAGAACATCTACCAAAAAACCTATTCAGGAAATGCCAATAAACAGTCAGACCCCACTTCCCACCCATAGACTGGCCATCATGAAACAAAGAAACAAAAAACAGAAACTAACAAGTGTTGGCTAGGATGGGGGAAAATGAGAATCCTCATTCAGTGCTGGCGGGAATGTAAAACGGTGCAGCTGTGGTGGAAAACAGTTTGGCAGTTCCTGGAAAAGTGAAACAGAGTCACCACAGAACGCAACAATTCCACTCCTAAATACATACACAAAAGAGTTGAAAACAGATACCGAATCTAACACTATCCACACACACTCACAGCTGCATTATTCCTGACAGTCAAAAGGTGGAAACTACCCAAACGCCCATCAAATGAAGGCACAAACAAATGTGGTGTATCTGCAGAATGCAATATTGTTCAGCCTTAGAAAGGACTGAAGTTCTGACACATGTTGCAACATGGGTCATCCACATAAACTTCATGCTAAGCCAAAGAAGCCAGAAAGAAAAGGTCACAAATTATATGATGTCTAATTTATGGGAAACATTCAGAATATGTAAGTCCATGGAGACAGAAAGCAGATTGGGGTTGCCAGAGACTGGGGTAGGGAGGCTGGGGAGTGACTGCTTAATGGAGAGTTCCTCTCTGGGATGAAGAAAACTTGTTGGAACTAGACACAGATAGTGGGTGCCCAACACTGCAAATGCACTACATGTTACTGAATTACACACTTTCAACTGGTTAATGGCTAATGTTATATGAATTTTACCCACTTTTTTAAAAAAAAAACCTACAGATGACATCATATCTCATCATGAGAAACTGGGCATTTTCCTCCTGAGGTTGAGAACAAGGAGGGGAGAGGGAAAGCAACAGCACCAGGGCTGCCAGCACTCGGGAAGGCAAGGACTGAAGTCCTGTGTTGAGTCTGTCCTCGTGGGACACTGTCACAGCAGGGCAACGGGGCAGGGGGCCCACTAGAACAGGCTTAAGGGTGGCCAGGTTGACCGCTGGCTTTTAGAGGTGGGGTCACAGCCTTTCTGCATCTTCTCTTGAAATCACTCAAAACCAACAAAGAATGAGAAATGAAAACTGCACCTGCAAATCTTGCCAGACGAAGTGCTGAGGCAGCACAGGGATGAGGAGCCCCGGGGGGGCGGTGGAGGCAGAGAAGCCTTTTCATGCCCAGCCTCACGGCCCACCTCTAAAACCCCAAAAGGCCCAAGCACTGAGACACCAGCACAAAAAGGGAGTGAGGCAGAAAGCAGGGGGCTACTCAATAGTCTAAACAGGGAGCAGTCAGACTCCCAGCCACTCAGAGGAGGACTATCCTGACCCCTGAGCAGGGATGCCCTGGCAAAAGGGCACCACGTGTTCCATATGAGAAGAGGGCAGGGAACATGGTGACACCAGTGAGCACCTGTCTGCTGAGCGCTGAGGCCCCTCCCCCCACCCCACACCTCCCCCAGACTCAGCACCCACCCCCAGGGCAGGAGGCTAGAGAAACGGAACTCTCTCAGGTCTGGGGATGCTTGTTCCTGCATCATGAGGCAGCCTATCCTGACTGATACACACTGCATAAGGGTTCACCTAAATGATGACATAACTCTATATATCAGAGTTAGGGTTAGGGTTAGATGGAGCAGCTCTCAGGAGGGAAATCTACGAGTTCAACCATCTTGACCACAACAGAAGACTAAGAAATAGCAGCGTGCCCATATTCTTTACAAATGTGGAGATAAATCCAGAGGAAGAAGCAATAAGAGCTGGAAGTGGTAATCTATGGGGAGTGGGCAGGGCAGGGGCGGTGGGGAGATGGTCTGGGAGGCCAGGGGTCTGCTATTTTTTTCATAAAACTTATAAAACTCTTTGACATCTTAAAATATGCATATGTATCAGGCTGACAATATAAAAACTGTGTCTGAAAAGTAGACCAAGCCTTTGAGGTGCAAAGGGGACAAGGATGGGTGGTCTGAGTAAGCATTCCAAGGCACAGGCCAGTCCTAGCTGCCTGGTTTCCCCAGCGTCCTGCACAGGGCGTGGTGTGGTGACTGAGGTGTGGCTGAGGCCCTGAATTCCAGTTCTACCACATGGGCAACAACCTCAGTTCTCTCACCTCTAGTGACCATTAGGGGAGTGACCGTGGCTTCCTCAGCACGGTGCATGGTGCATGTGGGATAAATCCTGCTGTGCCTGCTTCTAAGGTCTCACCGAATACCTGAAGGACCTGCAGTGTTCTGGGTTGAGAGGCAGGAACAGGACAGGCTGGGCAGGTTAGGATGTCTCCTGAGAGAGGGTGTGGAGCAGGATGGTGCTGAGCCAGCTCCTGGGAACAGGGTCTGGGTTACAGATCGAAACCATGGGGAGGCCAGTGGGAGCAGGGTCATCGAGGGAGAGCAGTGTGTCAGAACAGGCAGGTGGAATGTGGCTCAGACGGCCCACTAAAGGACAGAGCATGGCTGTGACACAGCTGTGGCCCCATTGTGCACTGCACTGAGATATTCCACTGGGCACAGAGCTCCTGCGGGACAATGGCTGGCTGTAGAAGATGCTCCCACCTCTGCAGGAGGGGCTGAGCTGCTCCCACAACCAGACCCTGCAGGCAGCTCGAGAACATGTCCTGCACAATCGCCTTGTGGGGACTAACTGTGGTGGCCACCAGTGTCTTGGGCTGCCCTGCTGCTGCCCCTGGGGAGGGCCCTGCCCACACTGGTGGTGCCTGGGACTGGCTACCTGGGTCAAGGCAAGCAGCCTGGGGTGCTGAGCAATTTAGGAATTGTTATTGCCAGGTCGAGCGGAAAGAACCTGCCCACTTTCTGCCAGCCCCTCCTCCTGGGTCCCTGGGAAGAACTGACCACCGGGATGCCCCCAGCCTATGTGCACCCCATGGGGAAGGGAGGCTGCCCAAGAAAGCAGCACAGCTCCACCAGGAGGACAGAGGCACTCAGTGCAGCTGGGAAAAGGGACCTGGGGCACTCCAGGGACAGGATCTCCGAGGTGAGACTGACAGGGTTACAGGGAATGCACAGTCTTCTCCTAGCAACTGGTCCCCTGTAAATGTCTGTTCTTCCCCTTTCGCCTCAAAATAAATGTAAGCGTATGTGAAGTTTGTGAAAGCAGAAAGCAAAAATATTTACCGTAGCTGTGTTTAAGCTTTTATTAGAGAAAGGTGAGGGCCATCGTGGCTATAACTCTTCTTACGGCCCCCAATTAGCACATCAGCCCAGACTCATTCATGAATGCCACATTAAGTGCAGTGGGGATCATAACGGGTTCTACTCACTCAGAATCTCCAGACACAAGAAGAGGCTCACCCCGTCTGTCCACAGGACAGTCCTGGCCTATTGGTGGTTTGTCCACAGGAGATTCAGCAACGCGTAAATATTCAGGAGACTGTAAAGAAAAAGAACACAAACAAATGAAGCGTCAACCAGCTGAGAAAGGAAACCACTTATTCACCCACAGAGGGGCAGGTGTGGATGGCAACGATGGGCCACACGCTCATATGGGAGGCTAACAGCTCCCTCCCCAGAACCTCTAGAGCAGCTGGAACTCCAAGGCTCTCCAGAGCAGCTGAATATCTGAAAAACCAAGCGTCACAAGTTGACCGTGATTCTCCCCCAAGTCTTCAAGTGAACCTTCGTGTTTATTTCCAAAGGTCAGTGAGTATGGACAACTAATGATTTCGGGCCACAGGTAGCAGAGCTGCATGCTAAGCTTGTGGGGAGTACATTTTTCAATGTAGGAAGATTTTGTAGGAAGATAAGGGAAATCTCGTGCCATTAATATTTCAGGTTTCATTTGCTCTGACAGGAAATGAAACACATTCATCAGGGTTCTGTTCCCAACTTGTTTTTTCAAAGTACAAAATGCTGCCTGAGATACAGAGCTTGTGGCATAGAGCATGCCACACCTAGTAGGCTGGGGGATGTTCTACCAAATACACTAAACAAACCCCCTGCAGAGAAAGGGTGATGGTGCCCACGTGCTGGTGCCCAGAGAAGCCATCAGATTAGCCAGTGACACTGTTTCTCCTTGAGATGCAGGTGGCCATCAGCGCTCAGCCAGCACCCCTTACTGATCAGCACCATCTGCCTGGACTTCGCACAGAACTGAGCTGCAGAGATAGACGTCCTAGCTCTGCCACTGACATCCTGAGAAGACTATGTAACCTGCCTGTGCCTCAGTTTCCTTATTATGAAGGATGATGGCAGCACTGAGATATGGGGGTTCAGGCTCCAGCTCCAGCACCTGCTCCCAACCCCTCTCACCCTCATCTTCCTACCACACCAAACGAGGGAGCTGACAGCCATTCCTTAAGAGGTTCCTCCAGCTTTAACATCCACGGCTGCTGCCTTCCAACTTGATACTTCCTCTAATCTGTGTTTCCTGCCTGGGAGCAGGCCACCCAGCTGGAGGCCTCCTAAACCCAAACATTTATTCCCACTCCACGGGCCCACTCTGATACTGAAGCACAAGAAGGAGTAGTGTCCATTTTGGGGAAACCCAGGCCAAACCCCACCTGCCTGCTCCTACCGTGGTGTGGGCATGAAAGGCACACCAAGAGCCAGGGACTCTAATGGGGCCCAGGGAGGCACAGTTCTGCATGACAAGGCCATTGCCTCCAAGTCATGGCATGCAAAGCACCTGAGGTCCTGGGCCTAGACCCTGCCCATGGCTTCCTTGCCCCATCACACCCCAAATCCCTGTGCCATCTGTGCCTCACCTCTTCTGTGCCCATGTTTAAATCTTTTTGTTGCTGTTGTTCCTCTAGAATCTTCCTGGCAAACTCCTATTCATTCTTCAAAACCCAGCTGGTGCAGGCATCTCTGAATTCTAGGGGAAATCACACTCTTCTCAGCCCTGTCTTCTTTCTGCAGTCCTCACAATCATTCGTGACCACTTCTCCCATTCCCTCTCAGGCTCCTACCTGGCCCCGAGAGGGCACACAGTTTATAGACTGCACATGATGCTGCTGGCCAGTAAACCCTCAAAAGCAGCCTTAAAGAAGGAAGATAAATGAAAGCAAATGCAAAGGCCGAGGAGGGGCCTCTGCTGGGTGAGGAGGGAGCATCGGGCTGGGAGTCAAAGACATCGGGCTACAGAGGAAGCAAGCTGCCACAGAACATGCCACTGTCGCCACACGGAGCACCCACAGCCATGCTCAAGCCCATTCTTATCCCACGGACAAACGGGGCCTCCAGATGTTTCGGACTGAGGAGGGGGTTATCACATCAATATGGATCAGGATGACCTGGGGGAGCGGGGCTCATCTGGGAGCCCCCAGAAAGGAAATGCAGAGGTTGCCCTCAGGGCCAAAAGTACACAGCCCTTCTGGGACAAGACAGCTGCAGGATGCTCACTGAGTCCCCGCTGCAGGGTGTGCTGATGAAGCTGTTCAGGAGACACAGGGAAAGAGCTCCTCCCTGACCTCTGCCTCCTCTGGGAAGAACCAGCCCTGCATACTGAGCCAGAGAAAGCCTGGCCTGCCCAGCTGTGCCCCTGCCGGCCCCCACAGCACGCCACACTGCAAAACCACCGTTACCTGCCACGGGGCCGGGGGCTGCCACCTGCCACATGTTCCTGAAGCTAAGCATACAGCCGGTTTGACCCGGAGCAGAGGGGCAGTGATGCGGCACCCAGGAACCAGGAAGTCAGCGGTTGTTCATTCTCCCTCCGTTCAACAACCGCGGGCGGGGCTCAGGCTCCTGGCTTTCTGTGTGTCGCAGTGCCCAGCAGATGACTCTCCCTGCAGGGCGTGTGTGGCATCCTGCCTCCTTCCCTTGACTCGGCCTCTCCCCCTGCCCACCCAGGTAAAAGGTTCGCAAGGAAGTGCAGAACACTCCAGCAACTCTCAGATAATCCCCACAACCGGCCGGGCGCAGTGGCTCACGCCTGTAATCCCAACATTTTGGGAGGCCTAGGTGGGCGGATCACGAGGTCAGGAGATTGAGACCATCTTTGCTAACATGGTGAAACCTCGTTTCTACTAAAAAACGCAAAAAATTAGCCGGGCGTGGTGGCGGGCGCCTGTAGTCCCAGCTACTCCGGAGGCTGAGGCAGGAGAATGGCGTGAACCCTGGAGGCGGAGCTTGCAGTGAGCCAAGATAGCGCCACTGCACTCCAGCCTGGGAGACAGAGCGCGACTCCGTCTACAAAAAAAAAAAAATAATAATCCCCACAATTAACTGGCAAGCGGCCCTGCCCAGCCTCGCAGTGAGTGGGCGGGACAGGAACGTTCGCTCGGTGATGTGGGCAACAACCCCAAGCAGGACGCCAAGCGACCGGTCGCCCGCTCTCCAGCTGCCATGGCGACACCAGGCCCAGCAGTAGCCTCTGCAGCCCCCTCCAACCGGGATCCTGCATAGGCCCCGCTGCAACCACCCCCAGCCCCACCCCCACCCCCAACCCCACCACACCCACACGCATCAGGCACTCCTTTAAAATACATCCCGCCCGAGTGTTCCCACAATGACGCGGACGCCAGGGGGCGACCAAAGGGAAGGCTGGTGGAGAAGAGCACCGGGATTCCTCCTTGCAGTGGGGGAAGCCATCTGCTTCACCTCTCCCACCTGGGAGTCCTGCTTCCTCCAAGGACAGGGACTCGGGGCCTGGAGGGGGCGTTGCGCATCAAGGCTGCTCCTGTGTCCCTCTCCCTTCAGGAGTGAGCCACGCCTCCTTTCATGAGTTCTCCCTGTGTGCCAGTTGGCCAGGTGGCCATTCCAAAATAAAGAAGGGGCTTGGCTGCCGAGGGCAGTGGCCTGGGTTGAGACCCGGCTCTGTCACTGACCGGCTCCGTGGCGCCAGGAACGCTTCTGCACCTCCCTGTGCCTTTTCCCTCACCCACGGAGACCGCAGGCAACGCTGCAAAACTCAAAGCAGACCACCTCAGCCTGCAGGCCTTCCCTTCCCGCCGAGCCTATGCCTCCCAAGTGCTCAGCAAACACTCGCGGTGATTCTTATCCCTATCTGGGCAGAATCCTCGGGGACCGACTGGGGGCAGCTTCCTTGCCCCACAGTGGCATCTAAGCAGCAGGCAGCTGAGCTGGGGTAGGCAGGTGAAAGGAGCAAGGGAGGCTGCTGAGACCAGAAAGGAGCAGAATGGGGCGGGGGCAGGATGCAGTGAGTGCTGCTCCCCAGAGACCAGCTGGCCCCCAGTACCCCTGCCCCACGCCACAGTAAGCCGGGGTGCAAAAGGATGTGACAAAAAGTTCTCCTCAAAACAAGAGTCAGCTAATAAGACAAAAAGCAACTAACGATCTACTAAAACAAAGACATGGTAGCTGAGTCATTCCCCATTTGTCAAAACTCATAAAATATACAACATGAAGAGTGAACCCCAATATGTTTTAACTATGGGCTCCAGTTAATAATAATACTGCCCCATCAATGGTAACGAATGTACCACACCAATGTAAGATGTTAATAATGAGGAAACAGGGGAAATGGGGTGAGGGTGTACAGGAGAACTCCCTAAACTTTCTGCTCAATTTCTCCATAAACCTAAAACTGCTGAAAAAAAAATTAAATCTATTAATTTTTTAATATGGTGGTTGATTCATTCAAAAGGCTAAATGTGAGAATGGGATACCATTAAACGGCCAATGGGTAAAGGGAAGATGGGGCTACAGGATTCTCCCAGAATGCAGTGCAAGCCGGACCCTAGGAAGGAGCCCTGGAGGGGAGCAGGTTTCTCCTGAAGCTGGTGAGGGCCATCAGGCTCTGGGTACCATCTCAACCCCCCTCATCACAGTCCCTCTCTCTCCAAATTGAGGAGTGTTCATGAGAATTC